>NC_000018.10:12710449-13010499 GCF_000001405.40 Homo sapiens
ACATTTCCTGTGAACTTTTTGAAGACCCCTCATATATCCGATTGTTGTGCTGTGCCCTTGAAATCTCTTTTACTCTAGAGCAGTCCCTTTTTTTTCATCACAAACCGATTTATTGAAGAAAAGACTAGGTGTATTGTTTTGTACAATGTCCCACCTTCTGATTTGTCTGATTACGTCCTCTTGTCACTTGGCTTGTTGTTCTAGCCCCTGTGTTTTCTGTAACTGGAGTTAGCTCTAAAGGCTTGATTAGATAAAAGGTTAATGTTTTGGGGCAGAATACAGAAAAGGTGTTGTTGCTTTCGTAATGTATCACATCAGAAGAAAAAAGTACTAGGAAACAGGAACCTAACAACAAAAAGAATTGCATAGGCCGGGCACGGTGGCCCATGCTAGTAATCCTAGCGCTTTGGGAGGCCAAGACGGGTGGATTGCCTGAGCTCAGGAGTTCGAGACCAGCCTGGGTAACATGATGAAACTCTGTCTCTACTAAAATACAAAAAATTAACCCGTTGTGACGGTGTGCATCTGAAATCCCAGCTACTCAGGAGGCTGAGACAGGAGAATCGCTTGAACCCAGGAGGTAGAGGTTGCAGTGACCCGAGATCACACCATTGTACTCCAGTCTGGGTGATAGAGCAAGACTCTGTCTTAAAAAACAAACAAAAAACAAAAATTAGCCAGGCGTGGTGGTGTGCTCCTGTAATCCCAGCTACTTGAGAGGCTGACACACAAGAATCACTTGAACCTGGGAGGCAGAAGTTGGAGTGAGCCGATATCGCACCACTGCACTTCAGCCTGGGTGACAGAGCGAGACTCTGTCTCAAAAAAAAAGAATTGTATGATACGCTGATGAGGAGAGTATTGCTATCACCGAAGAAGTGGTAGCTTACATTTTAAAAAGCTTAGCCTGTCCACCCCCTACAGATACATTCTTTTCAAACCTAGGTCAGTTGAATTGGACTACATGTGTTTGTCACAGATAGGTTAGAGGCTGAGTAATCTTTGCCTTAGTCTCTTTTCCCTAAATTTATACCCTTTTCCCTAATTCCTAAACTTCCTTTGGACTGAACATACCTGGTGCTTGCTAGATTTGCTGAGTTCAGCATACCCCCCAGTCACACCACATCACGCCAGCCATAGGAGACAATTTCCGAAAGACCTGTAACAGTAGAGACCTGATCCACCAAAGGATTTGCTGTTATTTGCAATCTGTTTATGGTAACCAACACTTACCCCTTAGCACAGTAGTAATCCTGTGTCCTTAGAGAGTATTTTATCCCTGACTCAGGAGCTTCTCATTCTTTTTTTTTTTTTTTTTTTTTGAGATGGAGTCTTGTTCTGTTGCCCAAGCTGGAGTGCAGTGGCGCGATCTCTGCTCACTGCAAGCTCCGCCCCCCGGGTTCACGCCGTTCTCCTGCCTCAGCCTCCTGAGTAGCTAGGACTACAGGTGCCCGCCGCCAAGCCTGGCTAATTTTTTTATTTTTTAGTAGAGACGGGGTTTCATTCACCATGTTAGCTAGGATGATCTTGATCTCCTGACCTTGTGATCCACCTGCCTCAGCCTCCCAAGGTGCTGGGATTACAGGCGTGAGCCACCATGCCCAGCTGCTTCTCATTCTTAGAAATGAAGTTGGGCAGGGAAGCCTTAAGCATTTCTAGAGTGTGCCCCTTGTAGAACCTGATGAAAGCTATGGATCCTTTTCCCAGTAAAAAATACAAACACATTGACTCACATGACATTTTATGTTATTTCAGATCCTTTAAAAAGTTCTAAGGAACACACATGTACCTATTTCAGGATTTTATTACATGGCTAACATTCTCCTACCTTTTACTGTTTTTTCTGTTAATCCCAATGAGTGTTGCTGTTCTCTGGAGACAAAGAGGGGAGAATATCAAAAGCCAAAAAGTTCAGTTTTCTTAAGGATGATTTTATTTGTCATAATACCAGAAATTTTCAGGGGAATACTTCTCTGGTTTTGCAGTTAAAGTCAAAAGAAAAATAATTTTTTATATTTTCTTACAGTTAACTTTTCAGAAATGAATCTGTTCCATAGAATAAAGCCCACTGGCTTATTTTAAGGTACTTCTAAAAGGTCTTATTTTAACCAGATGTCATATATGTTCCGTATTTTAATTATTGAAAACATTTAAATGCAAAAGGTATTATAATTCAATTTTTGTTTATCATAATAATTTCAACTTGTATAACTTCACTGTCATATGATTTCATTTTCTTCTTGTTTTTATAGTGTATTCATTGCCTTCAAGAAAGCTGGTGGCTCTACAGTTAAGATCCATTTTTATTAAGGTTAGTATGTTGTAGTTTGCCTTTTTGTTTATTAAAGTGTAATGAGAAAATAAGTAACATTAGGGATTAAGATTCAAAAATTACTACTGTTTTTACCATATGTACAGTTAAGATCTGATTCTACAGAGAAATAATCTTACAATATTTCAGATGTGTTACTGTCTTTTCATGATTATATAGAAAGGAAGCAGGGCTTTTATCTTGAGTGTTAACATATTTTCAGTTCGGGTAGCATTGGTGAAAAAATGTAAGCATATTAATATTAGAGGTTTATTCCATTTGTATTACCTTTCAGCTGGTGGCATCTACATATAAACTATGTATATATCAAATTATGTATATGTCATAAAATATTCTGAATCCGACTTCTTTCCTCCTCCACTGCTGTCATTGAGTGCAAACCAGTGTCATCTTCATGCCCCTGACTAACTTGCTGATCTGCCTCCCACAAACAGCAGCACTGATGATCCTCTAAACGTACACCACATCACTACTCTCTTTGAAACCCTCCAGTGGCTTCTCCTCTCACTCAAAATTGTGATCCAGGAAAAGGGGCTCGCTTCCTGATGCACTGTGACACCAGGTTTTTGAGACAAGAAAGGCTTTATATTGCAAATTGACTCCCAAGGAGACAGGAGTCGACCTCAAATCTGCCTCCCTGTGCTGACTTCAAGGCAGTGTTTTTATTAGAAAAGGTTCAGAGGGTGGATTCTGAGATCAGTAGGTGAGCGATGGAAGGAAAGGGGACATCTGGAAGGTCCTTGGGCATGCACAGTTATCTCCTCATGCTAACTCATAGGGCTCATGTGCCAATTCAGGGGAATGAGTATGAAACGTGATGGAGAGTCAGCTTGCGACACCAGGAAGCTTGTTCTCTGCAGACTCTACTTGGCCATATTGGTTCCAACCAATTTCAGCCAGTTCTTTTATCCCATAAGGGGAGGAAGTTTCAGTATTTTACCAAGTAGTTTCTTATCTGCTACCCTGCAAACTCAATAATTTCTTTCTTTTTTTTTTTTTGAGACAGTCTCCTCTGATGCCCAGGCTTAAGTGCACTGATGTGATCTCAACTCACTGCAGCCTCTGCCGTCCTGGGTTCAAGTGATCCTCCTGCCTCAGCCTCTGGGATTACAGGGACACGCCACCACACTGGCTAATTTTTGTATTTTTAGTAGAGACGGGGTTTTGCCATGTTGGCCAGGCTGGTCTCCAACTCCTGCCCTCAAGTGATCCACCCACCTTGGCCTTTCAAATGCTGGGATTACAGGTGTAAGCCACGCCCAGTCCAAACTCAAGAATTTGTTAGTCATTGGTTTCTTTAACTCTTTGAGGATGGTTTCAAATTCACAGCCCTTACTGTGGCCTATGAGGCTGTATATCTGTGCTAATACAGTAGCCACTAGCTACATGTAACTATTTACAGTTTAATTCATAAATTTAAAATTCAGTTCCTCACGTTCCAAGTTCGCAGGAGCCCCATATGCAAAAAGCCAGCATAACAAGAGTCATGCTCACAGGAGCTCTGCCAGACTGCTGCTTTGCAGAGCCTAACCTGCAGCCACACTGGCTTCCCTGTGTTGTTAGACATTAAGCTCATCCTGTCTCAGTCTTTCCACTAGCTTCTCTGCCGAAATTCATTTTCTTAGAGACTCCAATGGTTTGCCTCCTTTACTGTTTTCTTAAATGTTTCTTCATGAGAAAGGCCCTCCTAAACAATCCTTTCTTCCTTTTTTTTTTTTTTTTCCTTGAAACAGGGTCTCTCTTGCTCTGTCACCCAGGCTGGAATGCAGTGGCGTGATCTTGGCTCACTGCAACCTCTGCCTCCCAGGCTCAAGCCATTCTCCAACCTCACCCTCCCGAGTAGCTGGGATTACAGGCATGCACCACCACACCCGGCTAATTTTTGTATTTTTTTGTAGAGGTGGGGTTTCGCCATGTTGCCCAGGCTGGTCTTGAACTCCTGAGCTCAAGCAGTTCATGCTTCAGCTTCCCCAAAGTGCAATGGCGTGATCTCAGCTCACTGCAACCTCCGCCTCCTGGGTTCAAGTGATTCTCCTGCCTCAGCCTCGCAAGCAGCTGGATTACGAACGTGTGCCATTGTGCCCGGCTAAGTTTTGTATTTTTAGTAAAGATGGGGTTTCACCATGTTGGCCAGGCTGGTCTCAAACTCCTGACCTCAGGTGATCCACCCACTCCACCCACCTCAGCCTCCCAAAGTGCTGGGATTACAGGCATGAGCCACTGTGCCCGGCCCTCTTTTTTTTTGAGGCAGAGTTTTACTCTTGTCACCCAGGCTGGAGTTCAGTGGTGCAATCTCAGCTCACTGCAACCTCTGCCTGCTGGGTTCAAGCGATTCTCCTGCCTCAGCCTCCTGAGTAGCTGGGATTACAGGTGCCCGCCACCACACCTGGCTAATTTTTGTATTTTTAGTAGAGATGGGGTTTCACCATGTTGGCCAGGCTGGTCTCAAACTCTTGACCTCAGGTGATCTGCCCGCCTCAACCTCCCAAAGTAGTGGGATTACAGGTGTGAGCCACCACACCCAGCCGAAAGTAAGCTTCTGAAAGGAATGATGAAGTGTCATTTACTTTTATATCCCCAGCTCATAAGATAGTGTCATGCACATAGAGAAGCTCTCAGTAAATATTTGCTAAGGGATTTTTTGGAATGACCTGAGGTATCATCTTTTCAGGAGGTTAGAAATACAGGATTTTAGTGACATGGTTAACTGCATAGTACTTTTTATTTTAACTTTTCTTTTTGAGATGGAGTCTTGCTCTTGTCGCCCAGGCTGGAGTGCAGTGGCGTGATCTCAGGTCACTGCAACCTCCGTCTCCTGGGTTCAAGCAATTCTCTTGTCTCAGCCTCCTGAGTAACTGGGATTACAGGTGCCCGCCACCACGCCTGGCTACTTTTTGTACTTTTAGTAGAGTTGGGGTTTTGCCATGTTGGCTAGGCTGGTCTCACACTCCTGACCTTAGGTGATCTGCCCACCACAGCCTCCCAAAGTGCTGGGATTACAGGCGTGAGCCACTGTGCTCAGCCATTATTTTAACTTTTTATCGAAGTATGACGTACATGAGAAAAGTGCACAAATCATAAATATACAGCTTGGTGAATTTTCATGCAGTAAACCCTCTGTGAAACCAGCTTTCAGATCAAGACATAGAGCATTGTCAGCATTCCAGAGGACCCCATAATGCGTCCTAGTCAGTATTCTATTGGTGGAATTCTGTGGTATATACTTACAGCATCTAGCTTCCTTTCTTAACATTCCCTTTGCGGGGTTCACCCATGTTGTTGGAAGTAGCCATAGTTCATTCGTTCTCATTTCTCTGTGGTGTTAAGTTGTATACATAAGCCATAATTTTTCCATGGTACTTTTGATGCTACATTTGATTATTTCCAGTTTGAGACTATCATGAATAGTGCTGCTAAGATTATTTTTAATTCTTATACTAGAATCACTGCTTTCTTTAGTTAACATTATATACCCAAAGTTTTGCAGTTAGAGTTGGTAACATTTTTACATTGTGCCACATGGCTTTTTGTTCTCTTTCTAATCAGTGTAAGTTGAAAAATTATTTAACGTATAATATAAATTTTTGGCAGCTGGAAGTAAAGAGTGAATTTTTTTTTTTTTTTTTTTTTGAGACGGAGTCTCGCCCTGTTGCGCAGGCTGGACCGCAGTGGCATGATCTCGGCTCACTGCAAGCTCCACCTCCTGGGTTCACGCCACTCTCCTGCCTCAGCCTCCCGAGTAGCTGGGACTACAGGCGCCCACCATCACGCCCGGCTAATTTTTTTGTATTTTTAGTAGAGACGGGGTTTCACCGTGTTAGCCAGGATGGTCTCGATCTCCTGACCTTGTGATCTGCCCGCCTCAGCCTCCCAAAGTGCTGGGATTACAGGCGTGAGCCACCGTGCCTGGCCACAAGACTAATTTCAAAATAGCAAACATTTATTGAGCATTGATTCTTTGTGCTGATACTGTTCTAAGTACCTTATATTTATTACTTAATCCTCATGACAAACCTATAAGACAGATACTAATATTATCCTTATTTTTCAAAGGAAACACTGAAGTACAGAAAGATTAAGCAATTGCCTGACACATGATCTTAGGGAGGCAGGACCAGCACTCTAACCCAGGCAGCCTGGCTCCAGAGCTTGCCTTTTTTCTTTTACTTTTTTTTTTTTTTTTTTTTTTGAGACAGGGTGTCACTCCACCCAGGCTGGAGTGCAGTGGCACAACTATGGCTCACTACAGCCCTGACCTCCGAGGCTCAAATGATCCTCCCACCTCAGCCTCCTGAGTACCTGGGGCTACAGACGTGCACTACCATGTGTAATAATTTTTTTTTTTTTTGTAGTAACAGGGTCTCACTATATTGCCTAGGCTGGGCTTTAACTCCTGGGCTCAAGTAGTCTGCCCACCACGGCCTCCCAAAGTGTTGGGATTACAGGAGTGAGCCACCTTGCCTGTCCCAGAGCCTGCCTCTCTTAACTGCTGCACTAGACTACCTTCTTATTTTAAAAGTTAGCCTGCATTTCTCTTACCTGCATTTTAAATTTTATTGAGTAGTTATTTTATGAGCAGTCTTTGAAAAATTTTCATAAAGCGGGCTCCCCCTGAAATTTTATAACCCACATTCCAGATTTACCAGCTGTGAATGTCTTGCCACACCTACTTGATCTCTCGCTATGCGCGTACACAGTTTCCTTCTTCGAAACAATCCAGAAGTAGGCTAGCAATGGTCACCCCTACATACTTCCGCACACATCTTTCAAGAACAGGACACCATTACCACACCCAAGAAAACCAGCATTTAATGAATTTATTCAGGAGTATCATCCAACATACTCAAATTTCCACAGCTGTTCCGAAAGTATCCTTCAATTCTGGATCCATTGATGGTTCACAGGTTGTATTTGGCTGTTACATCTTTTTAGTTGTTATCCTTCAGAGTAAAACTGGCCTGCCCCTCTTTCTTTCTTTACAATATTGACTCCTTTGAGGAACCGGGGCTGGATGTGGAGCATTCTCCATTCATCTGATTGTTTCCATGTGACCAGATTCGGGTCACAAATTTCTGGCAAGAACCCTTCACAGATGACCATGTATTGGTTATTAGGTAACAATAGATTACTCAAGTAGAGAACTGGGAAATTGTCCTTTGTCCATCACAATAGATTTTTTTTGAAATCTAGATTCCTCATGATTCATTGATTTCTTTTCTTTTTCTTTTTTCTTTTTTTTTTTTTTTTGAGAAAGTTTCACTCGGTTCCCCCGGCTGGAGTGCAATGGCACAATCTCGGTTCACTGCAGCCTTCACCTCCTGGGTTCAAGTGATTCTCCTGTCTCAGCCTCCTGAGTAGCTGGGATTATAGGTGCCTGCCACCATGCCCCGCTGATTTTTTTATTTTTAGTAGAGATGGGGTTTTACCATGTTGGCCAGGCTGGTCTTGAACTCTTGACCTCAGGTGATCCGCCTGCCTCCCAAAGTGCTGGGACTACAGGCGTGAGCCACCATGCATGGCCATTGATTTCTTAATTATAAAGATACATTAGATAATTCATTGCTCTTTATCATTCACTTTCGGTTTAAGCACAGTAAGTGGATCTGAAAATAATTTCAGTATATATAAATTATATATCATTATCACATAAAGTTGATGAAATAGTATATAGAATGTTTGTATGCTCTAAGACTAACTTTTAGATTTTCTTTTTATTCTCTCAATGGTGTGCAAAGTATAAATCAAAGCCATTCTGTGAAAAACTGCTTTCCTGGGTGAAAAGCAGTGGCTGTGCCAGAGTCATTGTTCTTTCAAGCAGTCATTCATATCAGCGTAATGATCTGCAGCTTCGTAGGTATGTTTCTGCCTCTGGAAAGTTATTTTTGGTATGGTTTATACTATGATAATTTCTCTATTAAAAAGTTAAACTTTAAAAGCCACGTAGATCCTTACCTCTTCTTACTGGAGTTTAGAAAGAGGGGGGTAAGAGAAGGTCAGGAGATGGGAGGGAGTACAGTTAGGCAGATCTTTTCAGTTCCTGTGAGCTTAGTAGAGTTGGGGCATGGGGAAGACATCGTGTAGAGAGAGAGAGTTTGGGAACCATGTTTTTAGTGTTTCCCGTCACATACATGGCAACATCACAGAGCTCAGCTAATTGAAGAGAATAAGCAGAAAAGGTACTCAAGATTTATAAAGTTGCTAACTTTTGAAAGGTTAATATTTTCAGTTATTTCCATATGTTACCTTGAAAGATTAATATTTTCAGTTATTTCCATATATGCTACCATTTTTTAAAAAACATTTACTTTTTGTAGAGACAGGGTCTAGCTATGTTGCCCAGGCTGGTCTCGAATTCCCAGGCTCAAGCAGTCTGCCTGCCTCAGCCTCCCAAAGTATTGGGATTGCATGTGTGAGCCCCCCGCACCTGGCCACATGCAACCATTCGTATTTGCAGAAATCCACTTGCCTAAAGGGTAGCTCCCTGGCATGTCAGAGTGAGTTCTTAAATGTAAGACAGAGTATCCCAGAAATAGAACTATAAGCTATCATTACCACATAAAGTTGATAACATATCATATAGAATACTCTTATACTCTAAGATGTAGCTTTTATTTATTTATTTTTGAGACGGAGTCTTGCCCTGTCACCCAGGCTGGAGTGCAGTGGCATGGTCTCAGCTCACTGCAACCTCCACCTCCTGGATTCAAGCGATTCTCCTGCCTCAGCCTCCTGAGTAGCTGGGATTACAGGTACCTGCCGCCACGCCAGACTAATTTTTGTAATTTTAGTGGAGGCTGGGCTTCACTGTGTTGGCCAGGCTGGTCTCAAATTTCTGACCTCAGGTAATTCGCCTGCTGGGTCTCCCAAAATGCTGGGATTACAGGCATGAGTCACTGTGCCCGTCCCCAGGATGTAGCTTTTTTTTTTTTTCCTCTTTTTTTTTTTGAGACGGAGTCTTTCTCAGTTGCCCAGTTCTCAGTTGCCCAGGCTGGAGTGCAGTGGCGCAATCTCGAGTCACTGCAACCTCTGCCTCCTGGGTTCAAGCGGTTCTCCTGCCTCAGCCTCCCGAGTACTTGGGACTACAGGCGCATGCCACCACACCCGGCTAATTTTTTGTGTTTTTAGTAGAGACAGGATATTGGCCAGGCTGGTCTCGAACTCCTGACCTCAGGTGATTTGCCTGCCTGGGCCTCCCAAAGTGCTGGGATTACAGGCATGAGCCACCACGCCCGGCCCCAAGATGTAGCATTTAGATCATTTATTTTTTATTTTTTATTCTTTTGGGGATGGAGTCTCACTCTGTCACCCAGGCTGGAGTGCAGTGGCACAGTCTTGGCTCACTGTAACTGTTTTAGATGATGTAGATCATAACTTTTATCACTTAGACACCTATAAAACCAGGATGAAAAAATACCAACAAGCCAAGAGTTACCTTTCAAAATGAGCTAATTTCCAGGACTTTCACAAAAGACATTACAGGCTTCATGGCAGAAGGGAGGAAAGCTGTGGGAAATTTTTGCAATGGGCTTGCCTAAGTGTTTCTGTCTTTTTATATTGTCTCCTAAGTAAGTAAGTAAGTAGCAAATCAGAGCAATATTTTTTACTTAAGTCTGCTGAAACTTGTGTTTTGCCTGTGCAGCAGAATATATGGAGACCAAGAGAATTTTAGCTAAAGAACCGATGTTTGCTTTAGAGTTTTTAAAAAGTTAACTATATGATTATTTCTAGTACTCCCTTCCGGTACCTACTTACACCTTCCATGCAAAAAAGTGTTCAAAATAAAATAAAGAGCCTTAACTGGGAAGAAATGGAAAAAAGCCGGTGCATTCCTGAAATAGATGATTCCGAGTTTTGTATCCGCATTCCGGGAGGAGGTATCACAAAAACACTCTATGATGAAAGGTGAGTTTGTTTGCCTGTTCATTTGTTTCCCACTTTACTTAAAAATGAAATTAATGCAGTGAGCTGAGATCGTGCCACTGCACTCTAGCCTGGGTGACAGAGCAAGACTCTGTCTCAAACAAAAAACAACAACAAAAAAAACAAAATTAAGTCAGAGAATGTATTGGATTACTTACTGAAACTTTGAGAATATATTGCTAGGCCGGGCACGGTGGCTCACACTTGTAATCCTAGCGCTTTGGAAGGCCGAGGCAGGCGGATCACGAGGTCAGATCAATCAAGACCAGGAGATCGAGACCATCCTGGCTAATATGGTAAAAACCTGTATCTACTAAAAATACAAAAAATTAGCTGGGCGTGATGGTGGGCACCTGTAGTCCCAGCTACTCGGGAGGCCGAGGCAGGAGAATGGTGTGAACCCGAGAGGCGGAGTTTGCAGTGAGCCGAGATCGCGCCACTGCACTCCAGCCTGGGAGACAGCAAGACTCCGTCTCAAAAAGAAAAAAAGAAAATATATTTACAAAACTGGTACTATTGTAGAGCTCTTGCATTTAGGGGAAAGATTTAAACTTGGTTATAGAAGAACTGGTTTCTCAAAAGCCATATTTAATGCTTTTATTTTGTGTGACTTTTTAGGGATTCTAATACTTATTCTTTGCAACCTCTACACGCGCACTTTTTTTTAATTGTGGTAAAATATACATCGTGCAAAATTTACATTTATCACACATTTTAACTATATTTAAGCGTACAATCAAGTGCCATTAATTCACAGCATCTGCATCCATCAGCACTGTCTACTTCTAGAACTTTGTCGTCATACTAAATTAAAAAATCTGTACCCATAAATAATAACTCCCAACTTTATTTCTGTAAAATTGGTGTTGATGTTCCCATTTTCATTTCTTATTTTAATAATTTGAGTCTTTTCTTTTTTTTCCTAGTCAAGCTAGCTAAAGATTTGTCAGTTTTGTTTTTCTTTGAAGAACCAGTTTTGATTTTGCTGATTATTGTTTTTCTATTCTCTATTATTCTATTATTCTCTATTATTTCTCTCTTACCTAATCTTTATTTTTTTCCGCTAGCTTTGGATTTGATTTGCTTTTTTTTCTCTTTTCCAAGGTGTAAACTTAGGTTATTAATTTAAAAGTTTTTTTCTTTTTTACTGAATGTGTTTACAGCTGTAAATTTTCCTCTTAGTGCTGTTTTCACTGCATGCCCTGGGATTTGACATGTCGTGTTTTCATTTTCACTCATCTCAGTATTTTCTCATTTCCCTTGTGTTTTTGTTCCGTGTTCCTCTCTTGTCCCCCTTGCAAACACCTACCTCCTTTCTAAGAGTCAACTTACCCTTCACCTCCTGTCTGCAATCTTGCCTTTTCCTGTCTTCTAGACAAGGAAGTTGCGTCTGCACTCCCACTGCACTCCACCTCTTCTATACTTTGTTGCACTTACTTTACCAATCAATCCTCCTAAACTTTTGCTTCTGACCAAGACAGAGTAACTGATATCAGACTTGCCCTCCTGCCATAAAAATACTGGAACCTGACAATTTATGAAACAACTGTTTTCCAGACATTGGACTACAGGCAGCACATAGCTGTCATCCCTAAGAGAAGGCAAATTTTAAGTCTACAGTTGCCTGGCTTTCTGCTTGAGATACTTTCTGGACTGCAGCACAGGGAGCGGAACCCAAGCAGAGCTGAGTGGAGGAAATCAGTTAAGACTACAGGGAGGCCGAGGCAACTGGAAATACAGGGCAGAGAATCCGAGGGCAGGGGTGCTGCTCATCAGAGTCCAGGGGTCTGTTTCCTTGGGTCTGTCTTCTTGGGTATAGGGTGAAACTATGAGGACAGGCAAAGAACAGCTTCTGGTTAGCTATAAGCTTGCCCACAAAGTTAGCGGTGATAAACAGAAAGTATTATAAAAGTTAGACCTACTCAGCATCAAACATTCAGGAAATGCGGATTTTACCCTGAAGAAACAATATTTAAAATACTCAGTTGTATCAACCAGAATAAAATAGTTCCAAATAAAAAAGTAATAATAATAGTCATCCTCTGCCTTTCTTTTTAGCAGAAGACCAGAGGGTAATATTGAAATGATTATCCCACACTGTGTGACAAACTAATAAGAGGCGCGATAAGCTGAAGAGCATACCCCTGCGCTTTCCAAGTTAGAGCCTTGAAAATGCAAGCACAGCCTCGGAGCCAGCCTTCTCCAGGCGAGAGCCTTGCCTGAGGCCATCACAGCAGACGCATTTAGGAACTGGAATTTTCTGAGCCATCAGAGCTCATAGTGGTTCCATACAAAGATTGAGAGCCCCTAAGGTGTTTGAGAACCAAGTACTGGGCTAGGGTGAGTGAGGCTAACAGTTTCTACTTTGTAGTTTTTAGAGACAGAAACTAAAGTTAGCCTGGTATCATCTGAGACTTCCGAATGTATATATCAGAGTCTCCTCGGTGCCTTTCCTTCCTTAGAACTCGGCTCACTTTTATTTCTGTAGCTCTCTTCTCTGTCAGTCTCGTGCTTTCAAGTTTTGGCATGGCATTTTTCTCATAGTTCTTGGTTTTAGGGTGTTAGGAGTAATTTTTGCATTTATTGGCAAGCAGGAAACTTTTTGCCTTGGTGTATCTCCATCTCATCACTAGCTTGAGGCGTTTATAGTATGATAGGAGACTATGTTTTGGAGTTAGAGAGACCTAACTAGATATAGTTAGATATAGAGACCTTACTAGATATAGAACTTTGGGCATGTTAACTATGTATTAAATCTTTTTTTCTTCATTTGCGACAGAGTCTTGCTCTGTCTCACGCAGTTCTCCTGCCTCAGCCTCCTGAGTACCTACAGGCACATGCCACCATGCCCAGCTAATTTTTATATTTTTAGTAGAGACGGGGTTTCACCATGTTGGCCAGGCTGGTCTCGAACTCCTGACCTCAAATGATTTGCCCACCTCGGCCTCCCAAAGTGCTGGGATTACAGGCTTGAGCCAGCGCGCCCAGCCTGTATTCAATCTCTTTAAACCTGTTACCTCATAAAAGTAGCTAATACTTCTTTCATATTTACTGTGTGGTCACTGTTTTAAGCATTTTGCCTCCACTACCTCCTTTCAGCCTCACAACAACCTGTGAAGTAGGTTCCATTATCATCCCCCTTTTATAGATGAGGAACACCCCTGGTTAAGTAACTTGCCCAACATATCTGGTAAGTTGAAGAGCTAGAATCTGAATCCTGGTGTCTGTCTTTGTTCCCGTTATTCCAAACTGATTCACTTATAAAATGGAGCTAATTATAGCTTCTTCAGGATTATTACAGGGATTGTCATAAAATTTGCAGATAATGCTTAACACATAATAACCACTCAGCGTTTTCGGAAGAAGTAGGAACTTTTATTTCCTTTAATGATTCCATTCTCTTCCACAGTTTCCCTCACTGCTTTAGATAGTAACTAGGTGTTATTTTCTTTCAGTCTCTGCTGTGGTGCTTCTGAAAATTACTGTCTTCTGAAGTAGGTTTGGGGAGTAGGTCAGAACATACCTTATCTGCTGTAGCCAAGGACAGAAAGGCTGGTTTTTCATGCAGCCATGGGGTGAGGCATGATTGTGCGTGTTCCCCAGTGGGTGTTACAGGGGCCTGCTCTCACAAGTAGAAAACTCTGTGTGGGGCGAAGGGAGATGATAAGTGATCTTATGGTGTGGCGTCTTTTCCTTTCCTAAACCAGGTAGGTTATCGTAGCTGTAAAAACAGACACACTAGAGTCAGCTCTTGTACCCTATGAAAGAATACTGATTCTTATTTTTATTTCTTGTAGCTGTTCTAAAGAAATCCAAATGGCAGTTCTGCTGAAATTTGTTTCAGAAGGGGACAACATCCCAGATGCATTAGGTCTTGTTGAGTATCTTAATGAGTGGCTTCAGATACTCAAACCACTTGTAAGTTCTATTATAGCTTAAGCCTCTTCTTTGTCTGGTTGTATTCATTAACTCGCACTTTATATACTACCTAAGTAGACCAAGTAAGTGAACGTTTGTATTAAATATAGACATATCTTTACATAAAATTTAGTTTAAGCTGAACTTTTGAAAATTAGAGGACAGTTAACCAACCTATTATTTACAGTTTTTTCATTAAAGCTGACTTTCCAAAAAGGAAAATCCTTAGTTCTTCATTGTACTTACTATTCATGTTAGATTAATTATGCCAGACATAGTCTTGCAATAATAAACAAGCCTTCTGTGGAATTCAGGAATTTTTTTAGGGAAGTAAAAAGTATTGCTATGTGAGCAATACTGTAGCTATTGAATATGTATTACAGTTGATATTTTTCTCTATTATGAAATGAGAGCATTACACCCAGGGAAGTGAGTTAGCCTTTAGGCATAACAGAACACTGAGCATAAGGCTGCTTTCTAAGATGGGTAACTAGCTTTTTAATTCATGCTTTTGCCAAGAACAAATTGATACAAATCACATAATGCTGATTTTTTTTTTAATCCCTATTCTTTTTGAATGTGATTTTCCCTAATAAACTTCATCTACAGCCTTTCTGGCATATCTTTATAATTTGGAACTTAAAGAAATTTATCTTCAGTTGACATGAAGACAAAGAAACTTTATTTTTCCTTAACAATAAAACCTGGCTATAAAAGTGCCAACCAAAAGGAACACAAAAGGAGAGTTTTATAATTCACTTTAAAAGGAGATTTGATGGTAAAGTTTAAAGATTAAAATATTTTGTTCTTCAATTACAGAGCGATGACCCCACAGTATCTGCCTCACGGTGGAAAATACCAAGTTCTTGGAGATTACTCTTTGGCAGTGGTCTTCCCCCTGCACTTTTCTGATCTAATTTCTGTTTTATACCTTATACCCAAAACACTTACTACCAACACAGCTGTTAAACATTCTATACAAAAAAATTGTATGATCTGGTATTAGGAAATTACTTTCACAGTAAATATCAAAGAAAAAAGATTAAGGGTCTCTTTGCCATGCTTTTCATCATATGCACCAAATGTAAATTTTGTACAATAAAATTTTATTTCCTAAGTAATTTTGTCTTAAATGTATTTTTTTTAATTTCAGACTCTCTATTAGCTTCCTAGTTTGTCTCTAATAAATCACCACAAACTTAGTGACTTAAAACACACCAGTTTAATTTTTTCATTAACTAATTAATTAATTTTCATTCTGTATTTTAAGTAAAATGAGACGAGGTCTTGCCATGTTGCCCAGGCTGGTCTCAAACTCCTGGGCTCAGGCAATCCTCCTGCCATGTCCTCCCAAAGTGCTGAGATTACAGGCATTACACCACTATGCCCAGCCACAAATTTGCTTTTAAATTCTGACTTCTGAGTTCTAGGAGTCAGAAATCCAACAGTGGGTCTGACGAGACTAAAATCAGGGTGATCGCAGGGCACTGCTCCTGAGGAAGGCCTTAGGGAGAATTTGTGTTCTGCTGTTTCCAGCTTCTAGAGGCTGCCATATTATTTGGCTCATGGGCCCTTCTATCTTCAAAGCCAGCAGCTTAGCATCTTCAAATCTCTCAGTTATAAAAGGACCCTGTGATTGCATTGGGCCCACCCCAATAATCCAGGATAGTTTCCCCATTTTAGAATAATTTTACTATAAAAGAAATAATAAAAATAGTTATCATTTTCGAGTGCCTGCTGCATACTAGTCACTGTTCACCCCTAGTCTTTGGGATGTACGATTTCACTGTGTTACCTCTGTGCCTTGGCTCTCTCATCTGTAACACAAGGGCTTGTAATATTTAAGGATACAACTACTTCCCAGCACTCCGGAAAGGTTTCCTTTTGATATGTAAATCATGCTGGATTCTGTGGCCTATTTCTGTTTCCCTTTTGGTTAAAATATGAAATGGGGGTTGACATCAGCAAGATGGCAAAATAGGAAGTACCAGTCCTCATTACCCCACAGAGACACCAGTTTAATTTATAGACCAGGATACCAGAAACCAGTTAAGTTGCAGTATCCCCAGGTGAGTGCAAAATTAAGAACAGCCACGTTGAAATGAGTAAGAAGAGTCATTTCACTTTACTCCACCCAGGATGACAGCCCAGCATGATGGCGAGTACGCCAGCTCCTGGCTTTTCCCTGGGTTGAAGGGGGCAGACTCGGTGAGGGGGAGAGAGGTAGAGAACGTTGGAGCATGTGACCAAGATTCTGACTCTTTCGTCTTGTCTGACTTGGAATACTGACAGAACTGGCATCCTTTGGATGTCTGGAGTCTGCTAAAAGCACGGGAGAGTTGGAGGATCGTTTGCCGTGCCACCAGAGCCTGTAGTACCACAGACAGGCCAGTGTGGCTGGACACCACCAAGAGAAATCACCCAACTTGCATTTTCTCTCCCAGGAGGAATGGAACTTACACGCCAGCATTGCAGCTTTTTGTAGTGCTGCCCAAGGGACTGTTGCCCATCTCATCTAACTTGGGGTGCTTATAGGAAGCTGTCATGCTTTGCCAGAGAGCCACTGAGAACAAAGGGGCGACTTGCAGCTGCAGCACTAGGGAACGTGCAATTCTGAAGACAGACACCAGAGGGAGCAAGAGATTACAAGATGAAAAACCAGCAACCTTCAGTTGGGAAATAACACAATCCTAAAAAGTTGAACTTGGAAAAACATTTAAGAGGTTTCAGAATCTCTACCTGGGCTAGCTGGTGAAGGTCTGCCCTGTACAAAGCCAGTATGCAAAGATTGGGAGTGGCCGAGTGTAGTGCCTTACACCTATAACCCCAGCACTTTGGGAGGCTGAGGTGGGAGGATCACCTGAGGTCAGGAGTTCGCGACCAGCCTGACCAATATGGTGAAACCCCATCTCTACTAAAAATACAAAAAAACA
Source organism: Homo sapiens (assembly GCF_000001405.40). NCBI lineage: Eukaryota > Metazoa > Chordata > Mammalia > Primates > Hominidae > Homo > Homo sapiens. Next base: position 12,727,553 of record NC_000018.10, read on the forward strand.
AATTAGCCAGACATGGTGGCACACACTTGTAATCCCAGCTATGCGGGAGGCTGAGGCAGGAGAATTGCTCAAACCCAGAAGGCGGCGGTTGCAGTGAGCCAAGATCATGCCACTGCACTCCAACCTGGGCAACAGAGCGAGACTCTGTCCCAAAAAGAAAAAGAAAATATGAGGCTCACTGGCAAACTAAATATAGACAAATGCAGAATCCTTCAGGACTATAATGGTAGTGCACTTTTAATTCTGGTCCAGAATTGACAAGACAAAGCATAAAAATAACTGTAACTGGCCAGGCACGGTGACCCACACATGTCATCCCAGCACTTGGGGAAGATTTCTTGAAGCCAGGAGTTTAAGACCAGCCTGGGCAAAAAAGTGAAGCCCCATCTCTAAAAATCAAAACAAACACTGTAACTATAAAAATATGTTAAAATATCTTAATGGGTACGCACTATGTAAAGGTGTAATTTGTGACATCAATAATTTTTTTTTTAGCTTTTGCACAGCAAAACAAACAGCAGAGTAAGCAGACAACCCACAGAGTGGGAGAAATTTGCAAACTATGCATCCGACAAAGGAATAATATCCAGAATCTATAAGGAACTCAAATGAGCAAGAAAAAAATAATCCCATTACAAAGTGGCAAAGAACATAAATAGACAATTCTCAAAAGAAGATATACAAGCAGCCAACGAACATGAAAAAATGCTCAACATCGCTAATCATCAGGGAGATGTTAAGACCGCAATGAGATATCACCTTACTCCTGCAAGAACGATCATAATTAAAAAGTCAAAAAAACAATAGATGTTGGTGTGAATGTGGTGAAAAGGGAACACTTCTACACTGCTGGTGGGAATGTAAATTAGTACAACCACTATGGGAAACAGTGCGGAGATTCCTTAAAGAACAAAAAGTAGAACACCATCTGATCCAGCAATCCCACTACAGGGTATATACCCAAAGGAAAATAAGTCATTATATGAAAAAGACACATGCACACACGTTTATAGCAGCACAATTCACAATTGCAAAGATATAGAACCAACCTAAGTGACCATCAACCAATGAGTGGATAAAGAAAATGTGGTATATTCATCGTGGAGTACTACTCTTCAGCCATAAAAAGGAATGAAATAATGTCTTTTGCAGCAACTTGGATGGAGCCAGAGGCCATTATTCTAAGTAAAGTAACTCAGAAATGGAAAACCAAATATTGTACCTCTCACAAGTGGGAGCTAAGCTATGAGGGCTCAAAGGCATAAGAATGATATAATGGACTTTAGCAGGCCAGGCACAGTGGCTCACACCTGTAACCCCAGCACTTTGGGATGTCAAGGTGGGTGGATCACTTGAGGCCAGGAGTTCGAGACCAGCCTGGCCAACATGGTGAAACCCTGTCTCTACAAAAAAAAAAAAATACAAAAATTAGCTGGATGTGGCGGCATGTGCTTGTAGTCCCACCTACTAGGGAGGGTGAGGCACAAGAATCACCCAGGAGGTGGAGGTTGCAGTGAGCCAAGATTGCACCACTGCACTCCAGCCTAGGCAACAAAACAAGACTCCATCTCAGGGTAAAAAAAAAAAAAAAGAATGATATAATGGACTTTGAGGACTTAGCCAGGGAGGTTTGGAGGGGGTGAGGAATAAAACACTACATGTTGATTATAACATAGACTGCTTGGGTGATGGGTACACTAAAATCTCAGAAATCACCACTGAAGAACTTATCCAGGTAACCAAAAACCACCTGTACCCCAAAAACCATTGAAATAAAAATTTTAAAAATAATTTTTTTAAGATGAGAGATCTTGCTATGTTGTCCAGGCTGGTTTTGAACTCCTGAGCTCAAGCCATCCTCCCACCTTGGCCTCCAAAAGTGCTGGGGTTACAGGCATGAGCCACTGCACCTGGCCCTACATCAATAATTTAAAAGTAGAGTTGTAAAAGTGGTTTTTGTATATGATTGAGTAAGTTGTTATCAGCTTAAAATAGATTATTACAAGTATAAGATGTCTCATGTAAGTCCCAGGATAACCACAAAGTAAATACCTATATTCTTTCAAAATTGAAGTCAATCCTCTGAAACCCTGCCGCTGCTTTGTCAACTAAGTTTATGGAATATCCCAAAATCCTTTGTTGTCATTTCAACAATGTACACAGCACCTTCACCAGGAGTAGATTCCATCTCAAGAAACCACTTTCTTTGCTCATCCATAAGAAGCCACTCCTGATCTCTTCAAGTTTTATCATGAGATTGCAGCAATTTATTCACATCTTTAGGGTCCACTGTTAAATTTAGTTCTTTTGCTATTTCCATCTTGCAGTTACCTCTTTCACTGAAGTCTTGAACTGCTCAAAGTCATCCATGAACGTTGGAACTGACTTATCTTAATGTTGATATTTTGACCTCCTCCCATGAATCAAAATATACTTAGTGTCATCTAAAATGGAGAATCCTTTTCAGAAAGTTTTCAATTTACTTTGCCCAGATCCATCAGAGGAATCACTATTTATGGCAGCTATAACCTTAGGAAATGTATTTCTGAAATAAGACTTGAAAGCTGAGATTACTCCTTGATCCATGGGCTGCAGAATGGATGTTATATTAGCAGGCATGAAAACAACATTAATCTCCTTGCACATTTCCATCAGAGCTCTTGGGACCAGGTGTATTGTCAATGACTGGTGGTATTTTGAAAGGAATCTTTTTTTCTGAGCGGTAGGTCTCAACAGTGGGATTAAAATATTCAGTGAGTCATGCTCAAACAAATGTGCTGCCATTCAGGCTTTGATGTTCCACTGATAGAGCACAGGAAGAGGAGATTTAGCATAATTCTTAAGGGCCCTGGAATTTCTGGAATGGTAAATATTGGCTTCAGCTTAAAGTCACCAGCTGCATTAGCCCCTAACAAGTAAGCCAGCCTGTCCTTTGAAGCTTTGAAGCTAGGCATTGACTTCTGCTTTCTAGCTATGAAAGTCCTAGATGGCCTCTTCTTCTGATAGAAGAATGTTTCATCTACATTGAAAATCTGTTTTTTGTTTTGTTTTGTTTGAGACAGAATCTTGCTCTGTCGCCCAGGCTGGAGTGCAGTGGCGCGATCTCGGCTCACTGCAAGCTCCGCCTACCAAGTTCACGCCATTCTCCTGCCTCAGCCTCCGGAGTAGCTGGGACTAGCCTACAGGCGTCCGCCACCACGCCGGGCTAATTTTTTTGTATTTTTAGTAGAGACGGGGTTTCACTGTGTTAGCCAGGATGGTCTCTATCTCCTGACCTCGTGATCCGCCCGCCTCGGCCTCCCAAAGTGCTGGGATTACAGGCGTGAGCCACAGCACTGGGACGAAAATCTGTTGTTTTGTGTAGCCGCCTTCACCAATTAGCTGGATCTTCTGGATAACTTGCTGCAGCTTCTATATCAGTACTTGCTGCTTTACCCTGCATGTTTACGGTATGAAGACAGCTGTTTTTTCTTAAATCTCATAAACCTACCTCTGCTAGCTTCCAGCTTTTCTTCTGCAGCTTCCTCACCTGTCTCAGACTTCACAGAATTGAAAAAGAGGTACAGCCTTGCTCTGGGGTAGGCTTTTGCTTCAGAAAATGTTGTGGATGGTTTGCTCTTCTATTCAGACCACTAAACTCTCCACATCAGCAATGAGGAGGCTGTTTTGCTATCATTTGCGTTCACTGGAGTAGCACTTTTTTTGTTTTTGTTTTTGAGACAGAGTCTCACTTTGTTGCCCAGGCTGGAGTGCAGTGGCACAATCTTGGATCATGGCAACCTCTGCCTCCCGGGTTCAATCGATTCTCCCACCTCAGCCTCCTGAGTAGCTGGGACTGCAGGCATGCACCACCACGCCCAGCTAATTTTTTTTGTATTTTCAGTAGAGATGCGGTTCGGCCATTTTAGCCAGGCTGTTCTTGAAATCCTGACCTCAGATGATCCTCCCGCCTCGGCCTCCCAAAGTGCTGGGATTACAGGCATGAGCCACCGTGCCCGGCCTGGAGTAGCACTTTTAATTTCCTTCAAAAACTTTTTCTTTGCCTTCACAACTTGGCTAGCTGTTTGATAGAAGAGGCTTAGTTTTGGGCCTATCTGAGCTTTTGAATGCCTTCCTCAATAAGCTTAATCATTTTTAGCTTTTGATTCAAAGTGAGAGACTTGTGACTCTTCCTTTCACTTGAACACTTAGAGGCCACTGTAGGGTTATTAATAGGCCTCATTTCAATATTGTTGTATCTCAGGAAATAGGGAGGCCCAAGGAGAGGGAAAGAAAAGGGAGAACAAATGGCTGGTTGGTGGCGCAGTCAGAACACACACATTTATCAGTTAAGTTCTTTATCTTACATGGGTGCAATTTGCGGTGCTCCAAACCAATTACAACAAGTAACATCAAAGATCACTGATCACAGATTACCATAACATATAATAATAATGGGAAAGTTTGAAATATCTTGAGAATTACCAAGATGTGACACAGAGACCCAAAGTAAGTACATGGTGTTGAAAAAAACGGCACAATAGAACTTTCTTGACACAGAATTGCCACAAAACTTCAGTTTGTGAAAAAGCACAATAGCTGTGAATAGCACAATAAAGTGAGGGGCAATACAATGAGGTGTGCCTGTACTAGCAACCCAAATTCAACAGTACATTAACAGGATCATATACCATGACCAAAAGCAATTCATCCCTGGATGTGAGGATGGTTCAACATATGGAAATGAATAAATGCACTACAACACCTTAACAGAAAAAGGACAAAGATCATATGTCAATTCACGCAGAACAAGCACTTGACAAAACTCAACTCCCTTCCAATGCAAAACAATCAATGAACTAGGACTCCAGGGAAATTACTTCAACCTTGGTAGTCAAGGTCATATATGAAATGCCCACAGCTAAAGTCATACTCAATGGTGAAAAACTGAACGCTTTCCATTCTTACCAATTTTATTCAATGTAGTTCTTAAGTCCTAGCCAGAGAAATATACAAGAAAAAGAAATAAAAATGCATCTAGATTGGAAAAGAAGCAAAATGTTGTCTGTTAGCAGAGGACATGAACTCATATGTAAAAAACCCTTAAAATTCCATGAAATGTTAAAACTAATAAATGAATTCAGCAAAATTGCAGGATACAAAATCAACATTCCAGCATCAGTTGTGTTTCTGTACACAATGAACAATCCAATAAATAAATAAAGAACATCCCGTTTACAATAGCATAAAAGAGAATAAAATAAGTTGGGCATGGCGGCTCATACCTGTAATCCCAGCACTTTGGGAGGCCAAGGCAGGCAGATCATGAGGTCAAGAGATTGAGACCATCCTGGCCAACATGGTGAAACCCCATCTCTACTAAAAATACAAAGTTAACTGGGCGTGGTGGCGCGAGCCTGTAGTCCCAGCTATTTGGGAGGCTGGGGCAGAAGAACCGCTTGAACCGGAGAGGCAGAGGTTGCAGTGTCCGAGATCACGCCACTGCACTCCAGCCTGGTGACAGAGCGAGACTCCGTCTCAAAAAACAAAAAAAAACAAAAAAAAAAGAGAGAATAAAATAGTAATAAACTAAACCAAGGAGGCAAAAGAGTTATATAATGAAAATGATAAGACATTGCTGAAAGAGATTAAAGAAGACACAAATAAATAGAAATACATCTCATGTTCATGGATTGGAAGACTTAGTATTGATAAGCTGTCCATACTACCTGAAGCAGTCTACAGATTCAACGCAATCTGTATCAAAATCTCAATGGCTTTTTTTTTTGCAGACACAGAAAAAAAATCCTAAATTCATATTGAATCTAAAAGGACCCCAAATAACCTTGAAAAAGAACAAAGCTGGAGACCTCACGCTTCCTGATTTCAAAGCATATTACAATGTTAGAGTAATTGAAACAATATGGTACTGGCATAAAGACAGACATATAGACCAATGGAACAAAATACAGAGCCCAGAACAAAATACAAGGCATATTACAAAGCTATAGTAATTGAAACAATATGGAATTGGCATAAAGACAGACATATAGACCAATGGAACAAAATACAGAGCCCAGAAATAAACCCTCATGTTTACTGTCAAAGATCTTCAACTAAGATGCCAAGACTACACAATGAAGAAAGGATAGCTCTTCAACAAATGATGCCGCGAAAATTGCATATCCACGTAGGAAAGAAAAAAATGGGCCCTTAATCTACATCATATACAAAAATTAATTCAAAATGAATTAAAGACCTAAACCTAAGACCTGAAACTACGAAACTAAAAGAAAACATAGGGGAGAAACTTCATAACATTAGGAGAAGGGCAATGATTTCTTGGCTATGACACCAAAGGCACAGGTAACAAAATATAAAATAGACAAATGGGACTACATCAAAAACTTCTGCACAGCAAAGAAAACAACACAGTGAAAAAGAAACCTACAGAATGGGAGAAAATACTTGAAAATCATTTATCTGATAAAGGGCTAACATCCAGAATATATATTTTTAAATGTTCAAGGGATACCTCGTTTACCCTGATATTATTATTATACATTATATTCTCGTATCAAAATGCGAGTATCATATATATATATATATATATATATATATATATATATATATATATGCCTACTATGTACCCATAAAAATTAAAAATTTTTTAAAAATGGGCTGGGCGGGGTGTCTCACACCTGTAATCCCAGCACTTTGGGAGGCCGAGGCAGGCGGATCACCTGAGGTCAGGAGTTCAAGACCAGCCTGGCCAACATGGCAAAACCCTGTATTTACTGAAAATACAAAACTTAGCAGGGCATGGTGGCACGTGCTTGTAATCCAAGCTACTTGGGAGGCTGAGGCACGAGGACTGCTTGAACCCAGGAGGTGGATGTTGCAATGAGCTGAGATCATGCCACTGTACTCCCGCCTGGGCAGCAGCATGAGGCTCCATCTGAAAATAAATAAATAAAACTAGGCCAGGAACGGTGACTCATGCCTGTAATCCCAGCACTTTGGGAGGCCGAGGCGGGCGGATCACCTGAGGTCAGGAGTTCGAGACCAGCCCGGCCAATATGGCGAAGCCCCGTTTCTACTAAAAGTACAAAAATTAGCTGGACGTGGTCGTGGGCGCCTATAATCCCAGCTACTCAGGAGGCTGAGGCAGGAGAATCATTTGAACCCAAGAGGTGGAGGTTGCAGTGAGCTGAGATCACACCACTGCACTCCAGCTTGGGCAGCAGAGCGAGACTCTGTCTCAAAATTAAATAAATAAATAAACAAAAATAAAAATATGGGCAAAGAATAGACATTTCTTCAATGAAGATATACAAGTGAGCAAGTGTATGAAAAGGTGCTCAACATCTCTAATCATCAGAGAAATGCAAACTAAAACCACATGTAGTCTGTAATCCCAGCATTTTGGGAGGCCGAGGCGGGAGGATTACAGGAATTCAAGACCAGGCTGGCCAACATGGTGAAACCCCATCTCTACTAAAAACACAAAAATTAACTAGGCGTGGTGGCATACCCCTGTAGTCCCAGCTACTTGGGCGGCTGGGGCAGAAGAATCACTTGAGCCTGGAGGCGGAGGTTGCAGTGAGCTGAGATTGCACCACTGCACTCCAGCCTGGGTGACAGAATGAGACTCCATCTCACAAAACAAAACAAAACAAAACAGGCCGGCACAGTGCCTCATGCCTGTAATCCCAGCACTGTGGGAGGCCAAGGTGGGCAGATCACCTGAGGTTAGGAGTTCGAGAGCAGCCTGGCCAACATAATAAAACCCCGTCTCTACTTAAAAAATGCACAAATTAGCTGGGCATGGTGGTGTGCACCTGTAATCCTAGTTACTCAGGAGGCTGGAGAATCACTTGAACCCGGGAGGTGGAGGTTGCAGTGAGCCGAGATCGCACCACTACACTCCAGCCTGGGCAACCGAGTGAGACTCCATCTCAAAAACAAAACAAAACAAACCACGTGAGGTATCACCTCATACCCATTAGGTTGGCCATTATTAAAAGAAAAAAATACAAGCATTGATGAAGACGTGGAGAAACTTGAACTCTTGGACACTTTTGGTGGGACTGTAAAATGGTGCACTTGCTATGGACAACAATATGGAGGTTCCTCAAAGAATTAAAATAGACATAATATAACCCAGCAATCCTACTTCTGGGGTATATGTCCAAAAGAAGCAGAATCAGGATCTCAAAGAGTTATTTGTGCACCATGTTCATTACAGTGTTATTCATAATAGCCAAGATGTAGAAGCAGCCTAAATGCCCAGGGACAGATGAATGGATAAAGAAAAGGTGGTATAACAGGTAATGGAATATTATTCAGCCTTAACAGGATGTAAATCCTGGCATATGTTATAATACGGATGAACCTTGAGGACTGTCTTAGTCCATTCAGGCTGCTATAGCAAAATACCATAAACAGGCTGGCTTATAAACAACAAAAATTTATTTCTCACAGTTCTAGAAGCTGGACCTTCAAGTTCAAGGCAGATGTGGTGTCTGTAAAGAGCCAGGCTTTCTGGCTAATAGACGGCACCTTCTCGCTGTTCCTCACATAGAAGGGGAAAGGAGTCTCTCTTGGGACTCTTTTACAAAGGCACCAATCCCAGTCATGAGGACTGCACCCCCATGACTGACCTGATCACCTTTCAAAGACCCCACCTCCTAACACCATCAACTTGGAAGGCAGTGTTTCAACAAAGGATTTCAACATAGGAATTTGGAGAGGGGACACAGACACTCAGACCATACCGTCAGGAGAAATCAAATCTTTGAACCTAAAAGATTTGGTAGCTACACCAAAAATAATGTGGTTTACTCTTAGCTTTCGTCTTCCCTTTCTTTAGGAGGTATTTTCAGTTCCCTGCGGCATATATAAAGGTACTAATGTGTGGGAATAGGGAGGAGATGACCCTAAGCCAGCCTGGCTGTTCCAGTGTGAGGAGGTGATGTCCAAGTGCAGTAAGAGTTAACAAATTGAGGGTGGGGAAGCGGGTACCGGGCAGAGAGAACCACTTGGACGGAGGCAGGGGGCCGAGAAGCAGTGCGGTGGGGTGGATGCTCAGGAGTGCGTCTCACCACTGCCTTCATCTTTGCACCCCACTGCCTAACAGCATTTGCTGAGTAAATGTCTGCTCAATGAGTAAACAATAATATATGCAGAGATTTTCATCTGAAAGAGCCCAGTGAAAATGAACAATGAGCAGAACATATTGGGCACACGGGGGTGCATTATCATTATGTGTGTGTGTTTTAATTGTGGTTGCAGGGAGTAGAAACCAGATCACTAAAATTGCTCTGCGCGTGAGGAAGGAAGGATTTCTTTGTGGCCTCTAAGGAGGACAGGAGGAATCCGGCCATTAAGACAGACTTAGCTTTGTGCTGGCGCTGCAGGGTACAGCAGAGGCCTGGGACAGGACAGCTGAGGGATGGGTAAGGCCAAAACTTCTAAATTGCACCCTTTCTCCCCGGGTTTGTACCGTGTACACAGGGACCTCTACTAACTCCTCCATCACCCTGGCCACGTGGCCATGCTAACAAACCTTGGTAACGTTTTTGTTTTCCAATTCCAAATGGTGGTTGCACTTGACACATTCAGATCTTTGATTAATTCTCAAACACTCCAAATATTTTCAAAAGGTCTAGATTTAGTTATTGATGTTAACAAATCTGCCAGGCCTGGGTAAATTTTCTTTTGCTTTTCAAAAAAAAAAATAAGGTTTCTTTATTGTCTTGGATGCAAATATAGTTTTAAAATGCACTGTGGTGTTGAATACAGCTGATGGAAACGTGCTTCTTGACGGCAGAGCATCAGAGGGGTGTACTCAGGGTGACATGGGCCGCAGGGGGCCTCTGGCCAAACCAGATTCTTCTCCAGTTTGTTCTTCAGACCACGAGGTGGAACCGTCTCCTCAAAGGAGCCCTGCCACAATCACCAAAGCTCACACCAGAAAAAAACACCATTTACACAATAAACTGAACCTGAACAAGAAACAGAACATGGTGCTTCCGCCGTGAACAAAATCCGCAAGCGAACCCGCTTTCCTTTCCCGGGCTGTTCGAAAAAGATACAGCTAGAGAAATGGGGGCACTGTGGGCGGCCTGTGGGGGACGGGCTGGAGCTGCGGGGCCCGGGCTGAGCCCTTCCAGCCTTTTAACTGCAGGATGTAAAATCTAAGGAAATGTATAGAACTTCAGTTTCTCCCAACCGTCCACAACCTCAACTCTTGAGACCACCAAATGTCTGTTAGGAAACGCAGAAGAGAGTCCTTCAAATGAGCTACACCCAGGTTCAGAGCGCAGAACCAACAGTGTGACTGGGGCATGGAGGTAAATTCTAACACATAATTGGAGGGGAATTTCACAAAAACAAAATCCTGTGAAGTAAACACGCACATGCAAGCTTGTGCAAGTGCGCACGCGCGTACACACACACACACACACACACACACACACACACACGCAAACACAGTCAACATTCAACGTGAAGAGTTCCCTTTTCTTTCTTGAAGGTTGATTTTTACAAGCTCCGACAAGGAAAGAGTCCCATGCGGTGGCCGGTGGGGCCAAGACCTCAGGATGAAAAGGCCGCAGCTGCTCTGCCCTCACCCACTCTGGAGGCCAGCCCTGGTAGAAGCATGGGGGTGGGGGTCCTAAAACACTTCGTCAGCGTTCCTGGAGCCTCCGCCAAGCTTCCCACGTGCCCCGTGTGTGTCCCTCACATCACAAAAACCTGTCCAGCCGCCCAAGGGCCTGGGTAAATTTTCATATGACTTTGGAGGCAAGGGACGGACGTGTGGCAATGATGCTATTAGGAATGAATGGGGGCCCCAGGCGAGGCTTCCTCATCCCCTACAACCCTCTACCGAGGTCATCTAGGTAGCCACACCTCAGGACAGGGGCCCATCTTGATGGAACAGCTGCCTCTGCTTGCTGGAAAACACAGCAGGCAGGCCGTGTCCTCCCTCCTGAGTCCTAAGGTGTTTACTGGGCACTGTGATTTCCAGTCATGCTGGGAACACTCAGGCCTGCAGGACAGCCCTGTGCAGATACCCAGGCATTGTTAACACAAGAGAATTCCACATCCATGCTGACCCTGTCTGCCCGAGGAGAGCCATCTTGTGCACACACAAAGCAGGCAGCTGTGTTTTCCATGTGGACCGTGTGAGAACTGGAATGAGAACTAAATTTAAACCATTCTTATTGGTCCCAGGCTTATTATACAATATATTCATTTCAATTGTCCTGAATACATACTTTTGTTTTTTTCCTGAGATGGGGTCTCACTCTGTCACCCAGGCCGGAGTGCAGGATGCCTCAGCATCCTGAGTAGCTGGGATTACAGGCGCCCGCCAGCACGCCTGGCTAAGTTTGTATTTTTAGTAGAGACAGGGTTTCACCATGTTGGCCAGGCTGGTCTCGAACTCCCGGCCTCAAGCAATCTGCCCGCCTTGGCCCCCTAAAGTGCTGGGATTACAGGTGTGAGCCACCTCGCCTGGTCCTGAGTGCATATTTTAGAGAATAAAATCACCCAACTGCCCAGCAGATACATGAGGATGAGTGAGGTTAAAGAGGACACAAGCTGTTTCTTAGATATTAATGTCAAATAAAAGGTTAGTTATCGGCTGGGCGCAGTGGCTCACGCCTATAATCCCAGCACTTTGGGAGGCCGAGGCGGGTGGATCACCTGAGGTCAGGAGTTCAAGACCAGCCTGGCCAACATGGTGAAACCCCATCTCTACTAAAAATACAAAAATTAGCCGGGCGTGGTGGCGGGTGCCTGTCATCCCAGCTACTCGAGAGGCTGAGGCAGGAGAATCTCTTGAACCTGGGTGGCGGAGGTTGCAGTGAGCCGAGATGGAGCCACTGCACTTCAACCTGGGCGATAGAGCGAGACTTTGTCTCAAACAAACAAACAAAAAAAGCTCCTGGATTCACATAACTAGAATCCTTTATTTCCCTAGAATAGATGGCCTGCATTCCATTTTTAGGAGAAAGACAGAAGAAACAGTTGTCAGAGATTTAGTTAAGGCAACCCTGCCTTAACTGTCCTGGAGTCCGTGTGGGAACAGCTCGGGCTCCAGGCCTTCAGCACTTCACTTCGTTTGCTCTGTGGAGAGAACTAAAGATTGGACTGAAGAGCCTCTTCCAGAATATTCAATTCTTAAAAACAAAGTCTGACTATCTTCAGCATACTCTACTTAATTTGTCAGGATGGCTTTCAGAAAATTCTTCAAAAACAAGAGCATTCTCTTATTAGTATTGGATGAGTCCTCGGGAATGAGTGTTCGTGGGGGACTGATCTGAGGAGAACAGGCTGCCTACTTGGCCTTTCATTGTACTTCCCCAGCCGTGTGTCCATCTTCCTGCATTCCTAAAAAGAGAAAGGGATGATTTCAGATCTAAACTGTGCACTTTTTCTTTTTAATTTTACAATTTGCATACCATAAATTTATCATTTGTAAATACAAAACTCAGTGGTTTTGTTTTAGTATATTCAGAGTTGTGCAACCATTACCACAATCAATTTTATATTTTTTATCTCAGAAAAAAAAAACCAAAACTCCTTACTCATTAACCTGGTAAACTTCATTTATTTATTTATTTTGAGATGGAGTCTCGCTCTGTTGCTCAGGCTGGAGTGCAGTGGCGTGATCTCGGCTCACTGCAACCTCCACCTCCTGGGTTCAAGTGATTCTCCTGCCTCAGCCTCCTGAGTAGCTGGGATTACAGGCATGCACCACCACGCCTGGCTAATTTTTGTATTTTTAGTAGAGACGGGGTTTCACCATGTTGGCCAGCCTGGTCTCAAACTTCTGACCTCAAGTGATCTGCTGGGCTTGGCCTCCCAAAGTGCTGGGATTACAGGCGTGAGCCACCACACCTGGCCTAGCTTGTAAACTTTATAAGCTGTTATAAAACTCTTCTCCCCTCCCCAACCCCTGCCAACAACAAATCTACTCTCTGACACCATGTATTTGCTTATTCTGAGCAATTCATAGAAAAGAAGTGATGGAATATGTGGCTTTTTGTGGCTGGCTTCTTTCACTGAGCGCATTTTCAAGTTCCATCCATGTCGTAGCCCATGTCAGCACTTCATTCCTCTTTTCTGCCAAAGAATATTCCATTTATGGATATAGCATAATTTGTTTATCCATTCTTCAGCTGATGGACATTTGAGTTGTTTCTACTTTTTAGCTATTATGAATAAGGCTGCTATGAACATTTCTGTCTATGTTCTTATGTGACCATATGCTTTTATTTGTCTTAGATGCTATATTAGGCTGGGCTCTCCAGAGAACAAAAACAGGACTTACAGGACACACACACACACACACACACAGAGTATATACACACACATACATATAGGTGCATGTGTATACACATATATACAGTATACACACACATGATTTACTATCAGGAATTGGCTTGTGTGATTATGGAGGCTGAGAAGTCCAAGATCTTCAATCAGCAAACTAGAGACTCAGGAGAGCCAGTGCTGTAAGTTCTAGTCCAAGTCCATGGGCTGAAAACCAGGAGAGCCAGTGCTGTAAGTTCCAGTCTGAGTCTGATTCTTATTTTTCTTTTTTGTTTTGTTTTTTGTTTGTTTGTTTGAGACAAGGTCTCACTGTGTCACTCAGGCTGGGGCCATCACAGCTCGCTGCAGCCTCGAACTCCTGGGCTCAAGCGACCCTCCTGCCTCAGCTTCCTGAGTAACTGGGACTACACGGGTTCGCCATCACCTTTTTTGTTCTTTGCAGGCCTTCAATGGGTTGAATGAGGCCCGCTGGCTTTGGAGAAGGCAACCCGTTTTGCTCTGTGTACTGATTCAAACATGAGTCTCATCCAGAAACACCCACAAAGACAGCCAGAAACATGTTTAACCAAACATCTGGGCCCCTTGGGGCCCACGTATGTTGACACAAAATTAATCATCACAGCTACACTCCTAGGAGTGGAATTGATGGACCACATGATAACCCTATGCTTCACTTTTTGAAAACCTGCCAAACTATTTTTCTACAGTGGCGGCACCATTTGACCTTATCGCCAGCGATGCCTGAGGGCTCTAATTTCCCCATACCTTGCCATGCCATCCTGCTGGGATGTGGCATCTCTTTGTGGTGAGAAGTGGCGTCTCTTTATCTCTTTGTAATTTTGATTTACATCTTTCTAAAGACTAAGAATGTTGAGCATCTTTTCATGTGCTTGTTAGCCATTTGTATATCTTCTTTGGAGAAATGTCTATTCAGATGCTATGTTTGTTTTTTTTTTTTTTGAGACAGAGTCTCTCTCTGTCACCCAGGCTGGAGTGCAGTGGCGTGATCTCGGCTCACTGCAAGCTCTGCCTCCCAGGTTCATGCCATTCTCTTGCTTCAGCCTCCCGAGTAGCTGGGACTACAGGCGCCCGCCACGCCCGGCTATATTTTTTGTGTTTTTAGTAGAGACGGGGTTTCACCGTGTTAGCCAGGATGGTCTTGATCTCCTGATCTCGTGATCCGCCCCCCTTCGGCCTCCAAAAGTGCTGGGATTACAGGCGTGAGCCACCGCGCCCTGCCCTATGCCCATTTTTTAATTGGGTTACTTATCTTTTTACTTTTAAGTTGTAAGAATTCTTTTTACCTTCTGGATAATAGAATCTTATCAGATACATAATTTTCAAGTATTTCTCCCACTCTGTGGCTTGTCTTTTTATTTTCTTGATAGTATCCTTTGGTGCACAAAAGTTTAAAATCTACAATGGACCTTTTTATTATTATTATTATTATTTTCAGACAGTCTTGCTCTGTTGCCCAGGCTGTAGTGCAGTGGCACAATCTTGGCTCACTGCAGCCTCCGCCTCCCAGGTTCAAGCAATTCTCCTGCCTCAGCCTCCCGCGTAGCTGGGATTATAGGCGTCTACCATCACACCAGCTAATTTTTGTATTTTTAGTAGAGACGGGTTTCACCATGTTGGCCAGGCTGGTCTTGAACTCCTGACCTCAAATGATCTGCCTGCCTCGGCCTCCCAAAGGGTTGGGATTTCAGGCGTGAGCCACCGTGCCCAGCTACAATAGATCTTTGAGTTGAGTAATACAAGCCCTGCTTCCTTTCCCCTAAAGAAGCTTGAGTCAAACCTACATTACTCATTAATGCATTAATGTGAGCACATTCTTTTGATATTGAGTCCATAAGAGAATATGTGCCTAGGAATTCACAGAAATCTAGCAGCTTGGACTTCCCCACACTGTAGAAATGGGGTTTGAGGAACTTCATTTCAGCACAGGTCAAGGGGCTCCAAATGAGTTTGGGTTATGCCACTATTAAGGAGATATTATTCACTATTATTCATTGCAAATATTGTTTACTACTTTTATTGTAATAACACACTAGTTTAGCTAAATTTTGGATAAGATAGACTTTTGAGAAGCACAACTTAAGAAGCACATTTAAAGCATTATGCCTATGGCATGATGTTTCAAGTTCTAAATAACCACATAATAGAAACACGCAATCCACAGAGAAATTGGGAACTTCCTACATATGATTTCATTAGTTATCTCAGTAATTAGTTTGGCAGATTTTGAGTAACCAAATTTTCATCTTTGCAATATATGTTTCTTTTCTTTTCTTTTCTTTTCTTTTTTTTTGAGACACAGTTTCACTCTGTTGCCCAAGTTGGAGTGCAGTGGCGTGATCTCGGGTCACTGCAACCTCCGTCCCCTGTGTTTAAGTGATTCTCGTCACTCAGCCTCCCAAGTAAGTAGCTGGGATTACAGGTGCCCTCCACCACTCCCAGCTAATTTTGGTATTTTTAGTAGAGACGGGGTTTTGCCATGTTGGCCAGGCTGGTCTCAAACTCCTGACCTCAAGTGATCTGCCTGCCTCGGCCTCCCAAATTGCTGGGATTACAGGTGGAGCCACTGTGCCCGCCCTGCAATATTTGTTTCTTAGGGAATAAACTCTTAACTAAATAACTGTTAAAAGCAGATAATGAGTATGTTAAAAATAATAATTGAAATGAGATTCTTTTCATTGAAAGAAAATACTTTTATGTTCTAATTTTTTACCAGACTTTAAACACTTTTTCTTGATAAATAGAATCAATTTCTAATTATAAGCCTGAGGCTGGTGTGGTGGCTCACACCTGTAATCCAGTACTTTGGAAGACCAAGGTGGGAGGATCGCTTGAGACCAGAAGTCCTAGACCAGCCTGGGCAACACGGTGAGACCTATCTCTACAAAAAGTAAAATGAAATTAAAAATTAGCTGGACATGGTTGTGCATGCCTGTAATCCTTAGCTACTTGGGAGGCTGAGATGGGAGGATCACTTGAGCCCAGGAGTTCAACGTTATAGCAAGACTCTGGCTCAAAAAAAGAAAGAGAGCAAGAGAGATGCATGCATGCTTATTATAAGATATTCAGAAAATATAGTTCAAAAGAATATATAAAAATAATACAAATATCACCCATAATCCTTATAGCCAGAGTTAAAAATTGTTAACCTTCTGGTGTGATACTACCCAAACTTTTGAAAATACATATATAAATGCATATATATGCATTTTAAAAAAATTACATAGAATTGTGTATGTTGCTTTTGAAAATTATTTAATTATATAAGTGATGAATACAGTCCCACTATAAACTGCTTCCTAGCTGGTCCTTCCTACCCTATGCCCCTCCTCCTGAGTGACCCATTTCCAGTTTGCTGAACGCTCTCTGACTTTTCTGTGAATCACAGTATGAAAGAATATGGCATGTCCAGCTTCCTATTAAACCTTCCAGTAGAGGGAACTGTTTGACTATCTTCTCTTTTGATGCATAAGTTCTATTTCTTTTTTCTTTATGAAAGTCTAAGCATTTTGTATGTTATTTCCACAATGCAGAACGGTATATCAGATTATAAAGTTAACTCTACTGAGTAGTTTCTAACCTAAATAAGATTTTTACATCTTATATTCCCTCTTCCACCTTTTCATTGGTTTTTGTTTTCTTTGACCTTGAGATGACATGGTTTTTAAAGGATATTGTATATTCGTAGGGAAAAAAATCATTACTGCTGGCAGAAATATAATTGTCTCTTTCCTTTGAGAAAAGGTAAATCAGGTAAAAGGAAATAAGAGGTGAGGACGAAGCTTAATTTATCTGGCAGCAATTCAATTTAAAATTCTAAACAGATTAAAACTATACTGAAACAAACAAAATGACCCTTTTTTTCTGACACGGAGTTTTGCTTTTGTTGCCCAGGCTGGAGTGCAAAGGCACGATCTTGGCTCACTGCAACCTCCACCTCCCAGGTTCAAGCGATTCTCCTGCCTCAGCCTCCTGAGTAGCTGGGATTACAGACACCCGCCACCAGGCCCGGCTAATTTTTGTATTTTTAGTAGAGATGGGGTTTCACCATGTTGGCCAGGCTGGTCTCGAACTCCTGACCTCAGGTGATCCACCCACCTTGGTTCCCCTCAAAGTGCCGTGATTACAGGCGTGAGCCACCGCACCCAGCCGACAATTTTTTTAAAGTTTCTTTGAATGGAGATGCTTTGTATTTAGATGCTCTGAAAATATTTGTTTTTCCAAGATAATAAATTCTGTGAATATAAGTATTTTCAATAATATTTTCTGTAAATTTTATATATGTATATATACTCTTTTTTAAAAAAAATTCCATAGCAGTTCTTAATTAAGAGAGCTCAGCAAAACCCGCCGGCATCTTCGGTCCATTGTGATGATGCAGTGGTGGTTTTGTTCTCACAGCTGTTAGCAATTTGCATATTAACTAAAATACCCTGAAATGGTGTAGTTAGGCAATGAAATATCCTAGTTATGAGAGTTTTCCAAATAACTGATACTCATTTAAATGCCAACACTTTTCATTTTTAACCACTGGAAGGAAATCTCTCTCAAGAGATTCAGCTTCTAAAGCAGGGGATATTGAAACCTATGTTTTGTTATTATTGACTGTGTTGTATTTTAATCCCTATGGGATTGTCTGTGTGCTCTTTGATCAGTTTTTCTCTCCCTAGCTGGCGAAGTGTGTTTGCACAGTGCCTGTATGTATCACTTGCTTAATGAATATGTGATGAATAAATGAATGACGATGACGAGACTGCTGCTCTCCAACTGTCATTTTGCATGTAGCAGCAGGTCCTGCTACTTGGCCATTCAAGCCCCGTATTCTCCCAGCTCCCCTCCCCTCCTGAGTCCCCCACCTCTTAGTTTGTCACATATAATCTGCTATGTGGAAAACCAAAATAGCCAAGTGTATTTATTAAAATTGTATTAAGAGTTAATGAAGAGTGGAGCTCAAAATGGGGACCTAAGAAACTTGGCCTTAGGAGCCTCTGTCAGCCATGACTGTTTCTAAAATAGATCATCCTTCTGAAGCAGACAGTCCAAGACTGGGCATTGCTTTTTGAAATGTGTGTGTAACTTATCTACAAGGATATCGTAAGCAAGGCATTAGGCTGGCTGTGATGGCTCACACCTGTAATCCCAGCACTTTGAGAGAGCCCAAGGTAGGAGGGTCATTTGAGCCCAGGAGTTCAAGGCCAGCCTGGGCAACATGACGAGACCCTGTCTCTACAAAAAATACAAAATATTCGCAAAGTGTGGTGGTGTACAACTGTAGTCCCAGCTACCCAGGAGGCTGAGGTGGGAGGATCACCTGAGCCTGGTGCCACTTCCAAGCATCTCCTGAATGTGACCATGTCTTATCATTGTCACTGTCGCCTGGTCTAAGCCACCATCATCTCTTATCAGAATTGTCTCCTGGCCCTGGCTCCCCTCTGGTCTCCTGTGGGGGACCTCGAAAGCTAGAGTTGCCTGGAAAGGAGGGGGTGATGGAGCCTGCAAATCTGGTCCCTGCAGGGTGGCCACTGGACAGACACAGGGTGAGGGGGGTGGAGAGAGACCCAGGGCCGCCAGCAGACACAGGAGGCTCGGGCCCTGCATTGCACGCCTGAATGTGGTCATTTGCTGCATAGTGTGGGATTTTTCAATGTATAAAGTGTCATCCTCAGTCAGACTGTCATTGCTTTAATTTCTTATAAAACGTGTGCTATGCATTTGAAGTGCACAAGACCATTTCCCGCTTAATACTGGGAAGACTGGGCTGGGCGGGTGGCTCACGCCTGTAATTCTAGCACTTTGGGAGGCCGAGGTGGGCGGATTGCTTGAGGCTAGGAGTTCGAGACCATCCTTGCTAAAACAGTGAAACCCCATCTCTACTAAAAATACAAAAAATTAGCTGGGTGTGGTGGCGGGCGCCTGTAATCCCAGCTACTCGGGAGGCTGAGGCAGGAGAATGGTGTGAACCCAGGAGGCGGGGATTGCAGTGAACCAAGATCAAGCCACTGCACTCCAGCCTGGGTGACAGAGCCAGACTCCGTCTCAAAAAAACAAAACAAAACAAAAAAACAAAAAACAAAAAAAACTGGGAAGATTGTTACTTTACAGGACATGCCCGGCATTCACGTGTGTGGTGGGAAGGGAGAAGTTGTGGAAAGAAAGGTGGACTCCATTCACAATGATGACATCCCTGAGAGGGTGAATGGGGGCAGCCAGGGTGGCAAAAGGACCTGCCGAGGAAGCGGCCGGCATCTGTGACCCCGTGGCCTGTGCTGCTAGAACAGGCACACGCCTGGCCGCCATCCACCAGCAGATGGTTCTTATTTAAATTCGGTGACAATGGCTGGGCGTGGTGGCTCACGCCTGTAATCCCAGCACTTTGGGAGGCCGAGGCAGGTGGATCACCTGAGGTCAGGGGTTTGAGACAAGCCTGGCCAACATGGTGAAACCCAGTCTCTACTAAAAATACTAAAATTAGCCTGTGTGGTGGTGGGCGCCTGTAATCCCAGCTACTTGGGAGGCTGAGGCAGGAGAATTGTTTGAACCTGGGAGGTGGAGGTTACAGCGAGCCGAGACAGTGCCACTGCACTCCAGCCTGGGCAACAGAGTGAAACTCTGTCTCAAAAATAAATCAATAAATAAAGTCAGTGACAGTGGCACATGTCACACAATATAAATGTGCACACACACACTGCCTCAGAGTTTAAATGTAAGATGAGGCCAGGTGCCGTAGATCACGCCTGTAATCCCAGCACTAGGGGAGGCCGAGGTGGGTGGATTGCTTGAGCCCAGGAGTTTGAGACCAGCCTGGGCAACATAGCAAGACCCCATCTCTACAAAAATTAGTCAGGCGTGGTGGTGCACTGGTAGTCCCAGATACTCGGGAGGCTGAGGTGGGAGGGTCACTTGAGCCCGGGAGGTCCTAGCTGCAGCGAGCTGAGATTGCACCACTGCACTCCAGACTGGGCAAAACAGTGAGACCCTCTCTCTCAAAAAAATAAAAAAATAAAAAATAAGTAAATAAATTTAAGATGATACACTGAGTTTCCAGTAGGTAGGCATCTTTGAAGGCTATTTTGTTCTGTGCTGAATGACCAGTGTTTGAAACTAAATTTGACATGCTGAGTGGCCATTCTTCACTGAGCTTTTATTTGGGGGGAAAATAATTAGTGGTTCCTGAACAGAGGCCAGCACTGTGGTTTCTTCCAGCAGCTCTTCATTCCCACCCCAGAATGGTTTCCCACTTCCCTTCAACTGCAAAATGACTCCTCCTGGTACAGCTGTGGCCGGGATCTCCCCAACCAGACCATCCTTCTCACTGTCAGGACTTTTAGAAAAATAGATAAATTCAGGCAGATGAGTTTCAACAGAGAGAAACTCTTACTTTTCAATATCTCTCTTTACAGTATTTGGCATTTTAAACATATTTTGGTCTTGAGAGAAATTTGAAGATAATAATTATTCAGCACATATTGACTGAGCACCTACTACGTGACAGACATGGTTCTAGGCACTGCAGACCCCTGCCCTCTTGAGGAGCTTACATTTTAGACAGGTGATAAACAAGCATGGGGAAAGTGTGCTCTGGTGACTGTAGCTAATAACAGCGGATAGTATAATTGAAAATTGCTAAGAGTAGGTCGGGTGTGGTGGCTTACGCCTGCAATCCCAGCACTTTGGGAGGCCGAGGCGGGCGGATCACCTGAGGTCAGGAGTTTGAGACTAGCCTGGCCAACATGGTGAAACCCTGTCTCTACTAAAAATAGAGAAAAATTAGCCAGGCATGGTGAGGGGTGCCTGTAATGCCAACTACAGGGGAGGCTGAGGCAGGAGAATCGCTTGAACCCAAGAGGCGGAGGTTGCAGTGAACCAAGAACACGCCACTGTACTCCAGCCTGGGCGACAAGAGTGAGACTCTGTCTCAAAAAACAAAACCCCAAAAAAAACAAACAAGAAAATTGCTAAGAGTAGTGTTGAAGGGTTCTCACCACACAAAAATGGTAAGTATGTGAGGCTGCAATGTTATTAGCTTGATTTCATAATTCAACAATGAATACATATTTTAAAACATAATGTTATGCACCATAAATACATATAATATTTGTTTATCAAAAAAAGGTACTCTGCATACCGTGTTGAAAAGTAACCTGGAAAAAGCAGATTAGTTTGGGATAGTCACCAGTGTCAGCTTGTTTTTCTTTTTTTGGTCACTTTCTTGCTCAGCGATCTCTGATGCTTCCTTTAGTTTGTCCCTCAGCCTTTGGGTCTGCACCCAGCCTCCCCTCCAAGCTCCACTGGGATCAGCTGTTTGCCTAAACTCCCCTCAGGCCTGGTTCTCCTGTCTTCCACCCTCCCTTCCAGCCCCAGCCCTTGCTCCCGTTTCTGCACTCTTGGAATCACTCTCACCTCGGGCGTGGTGGCTGCTTCCTGAAGTCTCTGGAGACACACAGTGGTGCACACGCTGGCCCTCTGGACTCGCTGGTGTCGGTCGCCTGCCCCGTGGCCACATCTCCTCGGATGCCGCTTCAAGGTCGCTGAGCTGCGTATGAACTATTTCCCCATCCACATCATCTCCTAGGGGGACAGTCACCTCCAGGATTTACCTCAGCTGCTCTCCATGGACACGATAGGCTCTCAGAAAAAGTTCTTTTGTTGATGAAATGGAAGAGAACCCATTAAGTAGACACACTCATACACAGCTTCTAAATAGATCTACCAGACCTCGTCCCCTGCTCTTAGAAGAGATAAACAAGTAAAAATTAATGCTTATTTTGTCATTCTATCTACCAGACATCAGTTTTTTGTTTTTTGGTTTTTGGGGTTTTTGTTTTTGTTTTTTTGAGACAGAGTTGCGCTCTGTCACCTAGACTGGAGTGCATTGGTGTTATCTCGGCTCACTACAGCCTCCACCTCCCGGGTTCAGGTGATTGTCCTGCCTCGGCCTCCCAAGTAGCTGGGATTACAGGCGCCCACTATCACGTCTGGCTAATTTTTTGTATTTTCAGTAGAGATAGGGTTTCGCCATGTTGGCCAGGCTGGTCTCGAACTCCTGGCCTCAAGTGATCCACCTGTCTCGGCCTCCCAAAGTGCTGGGATTACAGGTGTGAGACACCGCGCCCAGCCTCACTCAAATCTCTATCATGATAAACAGCATCGCTGGCTGTCAGACAAGCTCGTGACTTTGCACAGCCATCCCAAGGCCGTGGCAAGGACTCGGAATGTGGTGAAGACAGTGGAGATCCAGAGAAGCTCTTCTTTTCCAAGAGGCAGTGAATGTGAACAGACATGTTTAAGAACCTTTCCCCCGGGGGTTGCTTTTTCAGTGACTGCACCCTCAAATGCCACAGAGAAGAAACCGCAAAAGGCACAGGTGTCTTGGCAGAGTCAACAGCCTGCTCTGGGAACCCGGGGGTTTGCTCGAGGGAGGGCAGCCACAGGGGCCATCTGTTGTGAACGCTACTCACTTGAAACTGCTCTGAACTTGAACACAAAAGCTGAATACAACCAAAGCACCAACCGACAAGGCTGTTTAAAAAAAAAAAAGTTAAAAATGATCATTTGGAAGCCTGCTGGAGCCAAGAGGACAAAGAATGAGGTCAGATGCCAAGGTCAACAGAGCAGTGCCGCCATCATTCCGATACCCTGAGTCAGGCACAGCTGAAGCTTCTGCAGACGACACATGAAATCCTTGAGACTTTGTCAGTTTAACCCACATTCAAGGCCATGCCCAAGCGAAATCGTGAAGAGACAAAGTCGCCCTTGGTGGCTGCAGTGTCCACATCTGCCTGTCATACTCTGGTTCCCTGAAACCTTCCATCTTCTTTACCTTCTAAGTCTCAGGAAAACACGTGATACCAACAGTGGATGTAAATAGAGTTATGGCTTAGTTCAGGAGAATCTGGAGCTGGGAATTGGGAGTAAAACACGAAACCTTAGGCTTGGGAGCTCAGGGAAAGGTCTCACGATAAAGGACTTAGACTTGGCACCAGGTGGAGGAGGTGTCACGTGAGGCATGGGACAGAGACCTGGGCCCCTAAGGCTGCTCCCAGGGATTCTCCCTCTGTCTCCACTTGGGTCCTTCATCCTCCTTCCCAGCCAGTGCTGGCCTTGGGCCTCCCACCTCGGCGGTGCTTCTTGCTGCCTGCACTGGTAGGTGGGTGGAGAAGAGAATGAGAGCCCACACTCACCCAGATGTGCCAGTGCCATGTGTGCCTGATTAGGACAAATAACTGAAAATGGTTCGCCAACCTTGCAGCAGCTTGCGCTGGAAGAAGCAAAGCCCAGGACGGCGCCCTTGCTCTGCCCTGAGAGAATGTGCTTGGCCCACCACTCAGGAGCATGTGGACAAGGCTGTGTCCCCGGAGCGCAGACCGGGATTCACCCGCACTGCTCCAGCACCAGCAGCCAGAGACCACCAGCAAGTGCACACAGAGGGGTCTTCAGCCTGGGGGTGAATACACGCAACATGCATGGGTGAAGCATGGCTGACTCCAAACTCCAGAAGCTACCATCACACTTCTGTGTGCTGCACTGTAACTGTGTGCCTGTGTGTGTGCATGCGTGCACACGTGTGTACGTATAGTATAGCATGGTATAGTATTGTATATAGTCAGTTAACTCCTTGGTTGCAAATGACAGTTGATGTCCAAATGACTTAAGATAACACACAAAAAATTGACCAATAACACTACAGGGATGCAATTTAGCTTCAGACACAACTGGATCGGGGGGCTCTAATGATGTCCTCAGGACCTGGACCCTCTCCAGTGGTTAGTGCTCCCCTCATTGGGACTGGACACAGTTCCGGGCTGTCTCCACTGGGCGGATCCCAGCAACACCAGGCTGACACCTTCCCAGCCTCACATCTGGGGCAAATGCTCCCCTTCTCCAAGGTACCTGAAAAAACTCGGGAACTCAGGCAATATCCTAAACTAACAACCACATCTGGAATTGGTCACATAATGCACCTGACAGACGGGGATCAGAGGACACCAGCTCACCCAAAATGCATATGCTGGGGGTGTATGAGGAGAATAAAGAACTGTACCAGGAAGCTGCAGCTATGATGCCAGGAAGGCAGAAACACTGGAGGCCCGCCATGAAGGCCCAGCTCTACATGCTGCCAAGAGAGGTTCTGCTTTTAATATCTGCTTCCAGTTGAAGGCATCCCATCTCTCCTAGGACTGCTCCTTCCTGCTGGCTGACATGAGGATGCATGTGACACTGGCCATCTGGTGACCTCAGCAGGCTTGGGCCTCAGGGTGCGTCCAGGCTGCTGAGGATGGAGTTGGAGACAGAGCAAATCGAGGTCCCCGTGTCAGCCCTGGGGCTGGGTTATACTCACCTTGGAGCCTGCCCTACTTCTGGAGTCTTTCTTATGATTTAACTAGATTTATATCAAGTTGTCTGTGACTCACAACCAAGAGCATCCTAACTGATACATCTATCATCAGAAAGGCAAGGGAAAAAAACACGTTACTTTTTAAAACTGTATTTTTTTTTTTTTTTTTTTTTGAGATGGAATCTCACTCTATCACCCAGGCTGGAGTGCAGTGGCGCGATCTCGGCTCACTGCAAGCTCCGCCTCCCGGGTTCACGCCATTCTCCTGCCTCAGCCTCCCGAGTAGCTGGGACTACACGCGCCTGCCACCACACCTGGCTAATTTTTTGTATTTTTAGTAGAGACGGAGTTTCACTGTTAGCCAGGATGGTCTTGATCTCCTGACCTCGTGATCTGCCCACCTCGGCCTCCCAAAGTGTTGGGATTACAGGCATAAGCCACTGCACCTGGCCATCATTTTTAAATGATAAATTTTTCTGAGCCTGAATATCTAGCTGTGTCTCCAACATGACCATTTGTTTCAGGGTACTCTGCAAGTTGTCCTGATTTTTCTCAGCTCATTAATGTAAATATTTAGAGCAATCTTGAGCTCTGAAAATAAAATAACTCAGTCATAACTTAAAAGCCATGTGTTTACAATGGAGAGATCA
The DNA here is from genome assembly GCF_000001405.40 of Homo sapiens. Taxonomy (NCBI): domain Eukaryota; kingdom Metazoa; phylum Chordata; class Mammalia; order Primates; family Hominidae; genus Homo; species Homo sapiens. The sequence continues at coordinate 12,752,879 of NC_000018.10, forward strand.
GCTCCCGTGGCCCTACATGAGTGCTTTAACGTTGTCAATCTTGGACAACCAGGAATAATGTGCATTGAATAGAATGCCATGGGCAGTTGACAGCATCACTCCTGAAGACTGGCCATACGGGGTTAACCTGAGTCTAAGAAAGATTTTAGATCTAAATTCTAACATGTGGGAAACACAGGGGATGGAGGAGTTAACATCACAAGGAAACAATCAGATACATCTCAAAGGTGGAACATTTTATAGGACAATAAGTGTACTAAGCCAGCTCGGGCTGTTGTAGAAAGATGCCACAGACTGGGCGGCTCACACAGTCTCACAGCCCTGGAGCCTGGAAGCCTAAGACAGAGCTGCCATCAGGGCTGGTTTCTGATGAGGCCTCTGTTTCAGGCTTGCAGATGGCTGCCCTCTTGCTATGTCCTCAGTGTGTGCAAGTGGGAGAAGTTTGGGGACTAGGTCTGATGTCCCTTTTCTTCTTTTCTTTTCTTTTCTTTTTTTTTTTTAATTTGAATGAAATTTTTAGGGCCAGGCACAGTGGCTCGTACCTGTAATTCCAGCACTTTGGGAGGCTGAGGTGAGAGGATCACTTGAGCCGAGGAGTTTGAGACCAGCCTGGACAACATGGCGAGACCCCATCTCTACAAAAAGTTTAAAAATTAGTGGGGCATGGTGGCACACACAAGTGGTCCTAGGTACCCAGAAGGCTGAGGTGGGAGGATCGCCTGAGCTCAAGAGGTGGAGGGTGCAGTGAGCTGTTTGAACGGCTGCACTCCAGGCTGTGTGACAAAGTAAGACCCTGTGTCTAAAAAATAATAATTATATATATTACTATAAATATAACACTATATATATATATATATATTTTTTTTTTTTTTTTTTTTTTTTTTAGAGACAAGGTCTCACCCAGGCTGGAGTGCAGTGGCACAATCATAGCTGACTGTAACCTTGAAATCCTGGGCTCAAGCAATCCTCCTATCTGAGCCTCCCAAAGTGCTGGGATTACAGGCATGAGCCACCTCACCCAGCCTCTTTCTCTTCTTCTAAGATCACCAGATCCATGGGACCAGGGCCCACCCTTATGACCCCATTGAACCTTAACCTTAATTACCTCCTGTATTTGTCAGGGTTCTCTTAAAGGGACAGAACTAATAGAATATATATGAGTTTATTAAGTATTAACTTTATTAACTTACACGATCACAAAGTCCCACAATAGGCTGTCTGCTAGCTGAGGAGCAAGGAGAGCCAGTCCGAGTCCCAAACCTGAAGAACTTGGAGTCCGATGTTCAAGGGCAGGAAGCATCCAGCATGGGACAAAGACGTAGGCTGGGAGGCTAGGCCCATCTCTCTTTTTCATATTTTTCTGCCTGCTTTATATTCACTGGAAGCTGATTAGATTGTGCCCACCAAATTAAGGGTGGATCTGCCTTCCCCACCCACTGACTCAAATGTTAATCTCTTTTGGCAACACCCTCACAGACACACCCAGGATTAATACTTTGTATCCTTCAATCCAATCAGGTTGACAGTATTAACCATCACAAGTCTACCCCTTGTCAACTTGAACCCATACACAACTCCTGAGATCATACATAATCTTCAAATAAGGACAACAATAAGGTCATAATTACGCCTAACATAATACAACTATCCTTCGTACAACTGGAAATGCACCAATCCCCAACCCCAATACTATTACATAAAGTTAACAGTACTTAAATGCTAACATGAAGTCAATAAATCTTATGTCACATGATAAAGGAGAAAGGAAATAAAATGAAGTTATTTTCTTAGCACAAGTGTATGCATGCACAAACATGTTTTTAACGAAAGAAGGAGGAAATACTCATAACAATTACAGTCCTCGCTTCTGCAGCGGGTCACGTGGTCATGGCTGGTATTGATAACTACCTTCTTCTACTACCCGTTCTGTATTCCCTTTGCCTTCAGCAAGCACCTCAGCAGGTTGTGGCTATTTTCCTGGTGGAATGACCCAAACCTTCATTCCTGAAGGGTCTGGGTTATTTGTAATCCTGCCTGGATTGGGCTGTTGTAGTTTCCCATTGACCTTAATCACAGGGCATGGTAATACTAAGAGACGCCCTAATGGATCTCCTATATTCCATGCATACTCTTCCTTTCCTCTGTTGTGGAGTAGTGGACTGATTTCATCTTGATAGTTCGAGTCAATCACTGCAGCCAACTCTGTAACTCCCTTCTTAGCCTGTTGACTTAAAGGTAAGAGGAGCCCAAAATGTCCAGGTGGCAATTTTAACTTCCAGTTTAATGGACTCATTGTTGTGTCTCCTGTTGGCAGCTTTCCTCCCTCTGTAACTAAGACCGCTAGGCCAGCAGAAAGTAATGTCACAGGAAAAGGAAGCAAAACTTTTGCTAGTGGATCACCAGGGGTGATGGTGAGTGGTGCCACTTCCACTTCCACCCCTTGATTCCTGGACATATGAATCCTGTCTGTGGGAGAAACAGCACCATATATTGGACGCTGATTCAGAGCATACACGGCCTTCTGGAGAACTTTGCCCCAACCCTGGATGATGGGGAACATGGTAAGACCAGTGAATTCCGTGAGCATGAGCCCACTGTTGCAATTCTTTAGCCGTAAAGTGAGTGCCTTGGTCAGAGGCAATGCTGTGTGGAATACCATGTTGGTGTATAAGGCATTCTGTGAGCCCACGGATGGATGGTAGTCTTGGTAGAAGCACTGCGTGCAGGATAGGCAAATCCATATGCAGAGTAAGTATCTATTCCAATGAGGGCAAACCTCTGCCCTTTCCATGATGGAAGAGGTCCAATATAATCAACCTGCCACCAGGTAGCTGGCTGGTCACCCCCGAGGAACGGTGCCATGTCGAGGGCTTAGTATTGGTCTCTGCTGCTGGCAAATGGGGCCCTCAGCAGCGGCCGTAGCCAGGTCAGTCTTGGTGAGTGGAAGTCCATGTTGCTGAGCCCATGTGTAACCTCCATCCCTGCCACCATGGCCCCTTTGTTCATGGGCCCATTGGGCGATGACAGGGGTGGTTGGGGAAAGAGACTGAATGGTGTCCATAGAATGGGTCATCCTATCCACTTGATTATTATTGAGATGGAGTACTGCTCTTACCACCCAGGCTGGAGTGCAATGGCAACCTTGGCTCACTGCAACCTCCACCTCCCAGGTTCAAGCAATTCTCCTGCCTCAGCCTCCCAAGTAGCTGGGATTACAGGCATGCACCACCACACCCTGCTAATTTTTGTATTTTTACTAGAGTCAGGGTTTCACCATATTGGTCAGGCTGGTCTCAAACTCCTGACCTCAGATGACCCACTTGCCTTGGCCTCCCAAAGTGCTGGGATTACGCACCTAGCCCACTTGATTATTAAAATCCTCCTCTGCTGGCCGGGTGCGGTGGCTCACGCCTGTAATCCCAGCACTTTGGGAGGCCGAGGCGGGCGGATCACGTGGTCAGGGGATCGAGACCATCCTGGCTAACACGGTGAAACCCCGTCTCTACTAAAAAATAGAAAAAATTAGCCAGGCATGGTAGCAGGCGCCTTTAGTCCCAGCTACTCAGGAGGCTGAGGCAGGAGAATGGCGTGAACCCGGGAGGCGGAGCTTGCAGTGAGCCGAGATCGCGCCACTGCACTCCAGCCTGGGCGACAGAGCGAGACTCTGTCTAAAAAAAAAAAAAATCCTCCTCTGCTGAGGTCACCCATTGGTGAGCACTCACATGGGATACAAATATCGTCACAGTTTTTGACCACTCAGAGAGTTCTATCCGCGTACCTCTTCCCCAGACTTCTTTGTCACCAATTTTCCTATCATGCTCCTTCCAAGTCCCTGACCATCTGGCCAAACCATTGGCTACGGCCCATGAATCAGTATCTAATCGCACATCTGGCCATTTCTCCTTCCATGCAACGTGCACAGCCAGGTGCACGGCTCGAAGTTCTGCCCACTGGGAAGATTTCCCTTCACTGCTGTCCTTCAAGGATTTCCTAGAAAGAGGCTGTAGTGCTGAAGCTGTCCCATTTTCACATGGTGGCTGCATATCGTGCAGAACTATCTGTGAACCAGGACCTAGTCTTCTCTGCCTCTGTCACCTGATCATAGGGAACTCCCCATGAGGCCATCGGTGCAGGCTGTAGGAGAGAAGACAGGGTGGCAGGGGTGGAGATGATAGGCATTTGAGCCACTTCCTCATGTAACTTACTTGTGCCTTCCGGACCTGCTCGAGCCCGATCATGTATATACCACTTCCATTTGATGATGGAATGCTGCTGTGCATGACACGCTTTATGGCTAGATGGGTCAGAAAGCACCCAGTTCATGATAGGCAGTTCAGGTCGCATGGTGACTTGATGACCCATAGTCAAACATTAAGTTTCCACCAAAGCCTAGTAACAGGCCAAGAGCTGTCTCTCAAAAGGAGAGTAGTTACCTGCAGAAGATGGCAGGGCCTTGCTCCAAAATCCTAGAGGCCTTTGCTGTGATTCACCTATGGGGGCCTGCCAAAGGCTCCAAACAGCATCCCTATCTGCCAGTGACACCTCAAGCACCACTGGACCTGCTGGGTCATATGGCTCAAGTATCAGAGCAGCTTGCACAGCAGCCTGGACCTCTTGCAGAGCCTTCTCCTGTTCTGGACCCCACTCAGAATGGCAGCCTTTTGGGTCACTAGATAAATGGACTGAAGTAACACACCCAAATGAGGAATGCATGGACTCCAAAATCCAAATAGACCCGCTAGGCATTATGCCTCTTTCTTGGCTGTAGGAGGGGCCAAATGCAGCAACTTATCCTTCACCTTAGAAGGAATTATCTTGGCCGGGCGCGGTACCTCACGCCTGTAATCCCAGCACTTTGGGAAGCCGGGGCGGGCGGATCACAAGGTCAGGAGATCAAGACCATCCTGGCTAACACAGTGAAACCCCATCTCTACTAAAAATACAAAAAATTAGCCGGGCGTGGTGGCGGGCACCTGTAGTCCCAGCTACTCTGGAGACTGAGGCGGAAGAATGGTGTGAACCTGGGAGGCGGAGCTTGCAGTGAGCCGAGATCACGCCACTATACTCCAGCCTGGGAGACAAAGCGAGACTCCGTCTCAAAAAAAAAAAAAAAAAAAAAAAAAAAAAGAAGGACTATCTTGACAAGCCCCACACCACTAGACCCCTAGAAATTTTACTGAGACAGAAGGTCTCTGAATTTTAGTCAGATTTATTCCCCATCCTCTGGCATGCAAATGTCTCACCAATAAGCCCAGTGTGTTTGCTACTTCTTGCTCACTGGATCCAATCAGCATAATGTCATCAATGTAATGGACCAGTGTGATATCCTGCAGAAGCGAAAAGCGATCAAGTTCTCTCCAAATAAGATTATGACACAAAGCCACAGAGTTGATATACCCCTGAGGTAGGACAGTAAAGGTATATTGATGGCCTTGCCAGCTGAAAGAAAATTGCTTCTGGTGGGCCTTATGGACAGGAATGGAGACAAAGGCATTTGCCAAGTGAAGGGCTGTATACCAGGTACCAGGAGGTGTGTTAATTTGCTCAATCAGTTAAACCACATCTGGTACAGCAGCTGCAAGTGGAGTCACCACTTGGTTAAGCTTAAGATAATCCACTGTCATTCTCCAAGATCCATCTGTCTTCTGCATAGGTCAAATGGGAGAGTTGAATGGGGATGTGGGAATCACCACCCGTGTCCTTCAAGTCCTTGATGGTGGCACCAATCTCCGCAATCCCTCCAGGGATGTGATATTGTTTTTGATTTACTATTTTTCTAGGTAGAGGCAGCTCTAATGGCTTCCATTTGGCCTTTCCCACCATAGTAGCCCTCACCCTACCAGTCAGGGAGCCAATGTGGGATTCTGCCAGCTGCTGAGTATGTCTATTCCAATTATGCATTCTGGCACTGGGAAAAACCACAGGATGAGTCCAGGGACCCACTGCATCCACTGTAAGTTGGACCTGAGCTAAAACTCCATTAATTATCTGACCTCCATAAGCCCCTATTTTAACTGGAGGACCACAATGACGTTTTGGGTCCCCTGGAATCAATGTCAGCTCAGAGCCAGTGTCCAATAGTCCCTGAAATGTCTGATCATTTCCCTTTCCCCAATGCACAGTTACCCTGGTGAAGGCTGGAGGTCTCCTTGGGGAAGGATGGGAGAAAGATTCACTGTATAAACTGTAGGTAATATAGTGGGGTCCTTCCTCAAGGGGACCTGGCCTCCCCTTCATTCAAGGGGTTTTAGGTCTTTAAACTGGCTCAAGTCTGGAAATTGAGAGGCCGTGATTCTCTGTTTTTATAATTCAAATTAGTCCTTTGTCCATTCGACCTAGAAGGTTTCTGTTTGTATAAATTAAGTAGGAATGCAGTAGGCTTCCAATCAATTTCACTTCTAGGAACACCGTGATTAGCCAATGCCAGAGCTCTGTACAAGCCAGACTATTCTGATTGCCACTTTGCCTTTGCTGTCCATTATGGTAGCTATGCCCACCTTGCCTTTGATGGCTAAGTGCTGCCACTTGGCCCCTGCCACCTCAGGATTCAATTATTCCCATTGCATTTCAATTTTGTAGTTGAATGACCGCAGTTCCCACTGCTAGATCTGACATACAGAGAAGAGCAATTACAGGGCTCTTCAAAGATGCAGGTGCTGCCTTCACAAACCTATTTTGCAAGGCATATATCAAGGGTATTAAATATATTAGCTGGGCGTGATCAGGCATGATGGCACATACCTGTAGTCCCAGCTACTTGGGAGGCTGAGGCATGAGAATCGCTTGAACCCGGGAGACAGAGGCTGCAGTGAGCCAAGATTGCACCACTGCAATCCAGCCTGGGTGACAGAGTGACTCTGTCTCCAAAAAAATAAGTAAATAAATAAAAAGAAGTTCTTAAGAGAGAAGGAAAATGATATAGGTTTGAAACTCAGATCTACATGAACAATGGAAGAGCGTTACAGAGATAACAGGTGAAGGTAAAACAAAACCCAAAGGGTATAATGGGTTTCCCTTCCCTTCTCTCTTTCTACGAATGCAGTGAAAGGTGAGTTGTAATCATTTCTAATGATTTGTGCACATTCTTATAAATATTAACTTAATTCATACACATGGGTAAACATATATATATTCCTAGATTATTATTGTTTATATGACAATTTTTAATTCTAGTGAAATAAAGATGTTAATTTTAATCTATAAAACTACAAATTACCTAAAATTATTTTTGTCCCTTTTCTACATAAACTTGTTAGAAAAAAATTATGTGCTCTTCATTTAACAGAAATTTGAAATCAAGAGAACTGATAATGCTCTTATTTTCCGTAGAAGGTTTTGGATTGACCAGTTTGCGTCAGGGAAAATATTTTTGTGCTTTTCACCTTCCTCAAAGCTGACAGATAGTTAACTCTCTCCTTTCTTCCTTGGCATGCAGGTTTCCTCCATGTTTTAGGTGGGCCTAGAGATGTAAAGTCATGGCCTTTTTCAAAAGCTACAAGCTGAGCCAAGCATGGTGGCTCATGGCTGTAATCCCAGCACTTTTGGAGGCTGAGGTGAGTGGAACACCTGAGGTTGGGAGTTCCAGACCAGCCTAGGAAACATAGTGAAACCTTGTCTTTGCAATAAATTTTTTTAAAAATTAGCCAGGGATGGTGGTGCACACCTGTGGTCCCAGCTACTTGGGAGGCTGAGGTGAGAGGATTCTTTAAGCCCAGTAGGTTGAGGCTGCAGTGAACCAGGATCGCGCCACTGCACTCTCGCCTGGGTGATGGAGTAAGACCCTGTCTCAAAATGAATAAATGAAAGTAAATAAGTACATATATACATAAAAAGCCACAGGCTTGTCCGAGTGCAGTGGTGTTTACAATTAATTGATGACAATCAGTTACAGATTTTTTTGTTCCTTCTCCATTCCCACTGCTTCACTTGACTAGTTAAAACCATTTTTTTTAAAAAAGAGAAGCTACAGGCCGGGCGCGGTGGCTCACGCCTGTAATCCCAGCACTTTGGGAGGCCGAGGCGGGTGGATCACGAGGTCAGGAGATCAAGACCATCCTGGCTAACACGGTGAAACCCCGTCTCTACTAAAAATACAAAAAATTAGCCCGGTGTACTGGCGGGTGCCTGTAGTCCCAGCTACTCGGGAGGCTGAGGCAGGAGAATGGCGTGAACCTGGGAGGCAGAGCTTGCAGTGAGCCGAGATTGCGCCACTGCACTCCAGCCTGGGCGACAGAGCCAGACTCCGTCTCGGAAAAAAAAAAAAAAAAAAAAAAAAGAGAGAAGCTACAAAAAATTGTATGAAGGAAGAACAGAAGACACCAGATCAGCCACGCATTTTTCTTTCCAGTAACACAGCGCACTGAGCACGTACGTGCATGGGTGTGACCCGCACATCTCCCGGTGCGCCCTGTGAGGATGGGACTGGCTGTGGTGTGTGGCTGCTTCTCTGTGATCTAACGTCACCTCCCTAAGCAGATGCAGAGGAACAACGCCTTGGTCACAGCCCCAAGGTCACATCACCCAAATAATAGAATATTAGTGTAATATACTCAAGCTGAGCTTCAGAATGCCCAAATACAGATAGAGATGCTGAAGAATAATGAAAAAAATGAAATACCACCGATGTCAAGAAACAGCCTCAGTGTCAATTACAAGGCAAGGCATCAGAATACAGAATGTCTTTTCCTTTCAAACCTGCTGGACATTCTTTAAACATTTCATTAGTTTTCCTTTAAAATGCCTAGGTCTGTCTCCACAGCCAGTATCTGGCATAAAGTGATTTCTCTGAAATGATGAGTTTCTGTGAAATGATATTTTATCATTCTAAGAGTTACTGCCATTCTCCCTTTCTCCCATTAATAAGACTCCCTAGCTGAGTCTCATTAAATAATCTGCTCTAAACATCTACGGCTTAATTTTCTTGAAAGTGAAAAAGAACCCCATAAATTTTCTTAAAGGAGCAAATTCTAACTGTAGCTCCAGGAAGTGTCCCTCCGCAGCTTTGTTCCACATCTTGACCTCAGTGACACAAGATGTGTTCTTTTTTGCCCATGTTCAGGATTCTTTAATACACCCCCATGTATGGCTTCACTGTTGCAATTTCCTTGAATCTTGGATGACCTATGAAATTGAGCTTAAAATTATGAGTGAAATTTAGCGTGGCAGAAAAAGTTCGGAACCCAGAATCACTATGCTGGCAAAATATTTTTGCTAGGTAGAGTTTTTAATTATAAAAGTGTAAAACGAAAATAAATCTTGGGACCCCAAAGTCACTAAGCCAAAGGGTAAAGTCAAGCCAGGAACTGCTTAGGGCAAACCTATCTCCCATTCTATTCCTACACCAAGATAGCTACTAAGATAAAAAAAGCTGCATACCTCCCTCACAAGGAATTTCTTTGTGGACAAAGGACAGACAGAACTCGAAGTCACCCCTCTGCTCACTGAGATAAATGCATATCTGATTGTCTCCTTTGGAAAGGGCTAATCAGAAATTCAAAATAATGCAACTGTTTGTCTCTTATCTACCTGGAAGCCCCCTCCCAGTTTCGGGTTGTCCCACCTTTCTGGACCAAACCAATGTACTCTGTTGCCAGGCTGGAGTGCAGTGGTGATTTGGCTCACTGTAAGCTCCGCCTCCCGGGTTCACGCCATTCTCCTGCCTCAGCCTGCCAACCAGCTGGGACTGCAGGCTGGAGTGCAGTGGTGATCTTGGTTCACTGCAACCTCCGCCTCCCGGGTTCAAGCAATTCTCCTGCCTCAGCCTCCCGAGTAGCTGGGATTACAGGCACGTGACACCATGCCCGGCTAATTTTTGTATTTTTAGTAGAGACGGGGTTTCACCATGTTGGCCAGGATGGTCTCGATCTCCTGACCTCATGATCCACCCGCCTCAGTCTCCCAACCAACGTGCTTCTTACATATATTGATTGATGTCTCTTGTCTCCCTAACATGTATAAAACCAAGCTGTGCCCCAACTGCCTTGGGCACATGTCATCAGGACTCCTGAGGCTGTGTCACCCGCACACGTCCTTGACTGTGGCAAAATAAACTTCCTAAATTAACTGAGATCTGTCCTAGATATTTGGGGTTCACAAAAGTAACACATGCTAGTTGCAAAAATTTCAAACAGAAAACATGTGTAAAAACAAAAAGGATAAGGCCCTGAAAACCCCTACTAATTTTCATCCCAGTCCCCAGGGTAATGTTTTGGAGTGATTCTTTCCAGTTATTTGCATGTGTGCATGTGTGTGCATGTAATTTGTTAATCATACTACACTCACTGTTACTAAACTCTTTTTTTTTTTTTGAGATGGAGTCTTGCTCTGTCACCCAGGCTGGAGGGCAGCGGCGTGATCTCGACTCACTGCCACCTCCACCTCCCGGGTTCATGCGATTCTCTTGCCTCAGCCTCCCAAGTAGCTGGGACTACAGGTGTGTGCCACCATGCCCAGCTAATTTTTGTATTTTTAGTAGAGACACAGTTTCTCCATGTTAGCCAGGCTGGTCTCAAACTCCTGACGTCAAGAGTTCTGCCCGCCTCGGCCTCCCAAAGTGCTGAGATTATAGGTGTGAGCCACTATGCTTGGCCCAGTAAACTGTCATTTTAATTAACAATAGATCAAACACATCTTTCATGTAATTTATTTATTTATGTATTTTTTGAAAGAAGATCTTGCTCTGTCACCCAGGCTGGAGGACAATGGTATGGTCATAGCTCACTGCAACCTTGAACTCCTGGACTCAAGTAATCTTCATGCTTTGGCTTCCCGAAGTGCTGGGATTACAGACTTGAGGCACTGCCCCGGCTCATGTAGCTTTAAATACATCTTTTGAATAATTATTTAATTCTGCAGATTTTATTTTTAAATTAATACATGTTCATGGTAAAAAAAAAAAAAAAAAAAAAAAAAAAACAAATTGTGACCAGCACAAACAGCTGTACTCCAACCCCACTTCCCAGGCTGCCAGTTCCCCTGGCCAGAAGCAGCCGTGCTATTTGGGTTTTTTCTTTCTGGTGAATTTATCCAAAGATATGTTCTACTATTTCAATATTAATCGAAACTCCCCCAAATCCCTCTGCAGGTTACATGATGACCATATCTACCTCTTTGGCCAGACACATGCAGTGCTTCAGAACTGGGATTGTCCTGATAGGAACAGGACACAAAAGAGCCCATGTCTAGCACTGGATTTATAATCTAGGTTTCTTTAACCCATAGCATTGTCATAAAAGCAAAGATTTTTTGCTAGTAAGGTGACATGGCTTGGATTTGTGTCCCCACCCAAATCTCATGTCAAATTGGAGGAGGAGCCTGGTGGAAGGTGACTGGATCATGGGGGCAGATGTCTCCCTTGCTGTTCTCAGGATAGTGACTGGGTTCTCATGAGATCTGGTTGTTTTGAAAGTGTGCAGCCCCTCCCACTTCACTGTCTCTTCCTCCAGCTCCAGCCATGTAGGACGTGTCGGTTTCTCCTTCACCTTCCACCATGATTGTAAATTTCCTGAGGCATCCTAGCCATGCTTCCTGTACAGATGTGGAACTGAGTCAATTAAACCTCTTTTCTTTATAAGTTACCCAGCATCAGATAGTTCTTTACAGCAATGAGAGAACAGATGAATACATAAGGGTTTTTAAAAAAAATAACTATACAGGCCAGGCACGGTGGCTCATGCCTATAATCCCAAGACTTTGGGAGGCTGAGGTGGGTGGATCACCTGAGGCCGGGAGTTCGAGACCAGCCTGACCAACATGGAGAAACCCTGTCTCTACTAAAAATAAAATATTAGCCGGGCATGGTGGCACATGCCTATGATTCCAGCTACATGGAGGCTGAGGCAGGAGAATTGCTTGAACCCAGGAGGTGGAGGTTGCGGTGAGCCTAGATTGTGCCATTGCACTCCAGCCTGAGCAACAAAAGTGAAACTGCGTCTCAAAAAAACAAACAAACAAACAAAAAACTGTACATTATGGAATAGTAACATATAGGGATAGTGAAATGCAAAAATCTTCAATTTGTAGTTTGATTAATGTTTACATATGTGAACATTCATATAACCCCTACCCAGATTAAAGTATGAAACATTTCCAGACATCTGGAAAGAAGGTAAGCTTTTGAGAAAGAAACAAGGTTTTGAGTTCCAACAGGCTAAGATTCCAAAAGGATTAAAGCATAACATTTATACATTAAAATGTTTCTCAAAGAGACAAAATATTTTTCTGGGAGAAAAAAAGTTGTATCTCAGAAGACACGCTGCACCCTGCACCCGCTTCCAAGAAGGGGATGGGTAGGCACTGTGGAGGGTGTTGGCCCCCTGGCCCCAGGTGCCAGTGTGCGGAGGCGGAGCCTCTAGAGAGGAGATTAAGGTGAAATGAAAGCCTAAGGCCAGGGCCCTCACCTGATAGGGCTGGTGACCTCATCAGAAGAGGGAGGGACGGGGCGCTCTCTCTCCAGGTGCGCACAGAGTAGAGGCCATGTGAGGACACAGGGAGGAGACATTGTCCGTGAATCAGGAAACCACCCTCTCCAGATGCAGAGTTTAGCAGTGCCTTCATCTTGGACATCCAGCCTCCAGAACTGTGAGAAATAAACTTCTGTTATAAGCCAACCCATCTGTGGCATTTTATTATAGCAGCCTGAACAGACTAAAACCAGGGTCTCAGGGCAAGAGGCCCGTGCCTTCTTTCTAGACTATGGAGGGGGAGAGTTTAAGCCTCCCAGAGATGCCCCAGCACCACAGAGCAGGCAGGAGGAGGGCGGTGCAAGAAGCCCCCGGGGTTCCCACCCCACGCTGACATTTCCCAGGCTCCTAGAGGCTGAGGGAGAGCTGCAGGGCCTCAGAGGTGGGGTTTGATTCTATGGACCTCAGGCCAGACAAACTGGGCACCAGGCAGGACCACGGACTCCCATGGGAGACGCAGCAGAAGAGGGCCGCCTGGAGCTCGAGCCGCCCCACAGCACCTCCTGTGCTGAGACACAGGTGCAAATGCAGAGGCCGCTTTGGAGAGGAGGAGGTCCACATCCTCCTGCACTGCAGAGCCTTCACTTCCCAGCCTCAAATGCCCCCGACGAGCCACATTTCCCTGAAAAAGGCTATCTGGTATTTCCCACTTGTCAGGCAGGCTGAATGCTCAAGGCAAAATCTCACCACAATATTGGAAGACATATAACAGTTTTTTATGTATTTATTTATTGTAGATGGAGTTTCACTCTTGTTGCCCAGGCTGGAGTGCAATGACATGATCTTGGCTCACCACAACCTCCGCCTTCCGGGTTCAAGCGATTCTCCTGCCTCAGCCTCCTGAGCAGCTGGGATTACAGGCATGCGCCACCACACCTGGCTAATTTTTTGTATTTTTAGTAGAGATGGGGTTTCTCTATGTTGGTCGGGCTGGTATTGAACTCCCAAGCTCAGGTGATGATCCACCCGCCTCGGCCTCTCAAAGTGCTGGGATTACAGGCGTGAGCCACCGCGCCTGGCCCATGTAACAGTTTTCTATGCCCAAGCTGTGATCTGTGAAATCTGCAGTAACAATAAAACCACGGATGGGGCTCTGTGTGTGCGCACATGTGTGTGTACCCACACCTGTACATATCTCCCCCACTATCTGCAGTTTTTCTAGTTTACAAACCGTTTAGATTTGGATTCTGGAAAACCCAAGATAGATTATTTTCCTCTGAAAGGGGCCAGTGAGCAGACCATCAAAGCTGAAGCCCTTCCCTTCCCCTGTAGATCACAGGACCATCAGAACAAGGATGTTTTAGCAGGAGGCCACCCCGACACACCACGCAGCACCCGCAGTCCTGCCCCTTCCCGAGTCTGATGGGTTTCAGCGGAAGGGCAGTCCTGGAGTCTCACAGCGCCAGTCTGCACCACGTGTGAAGGGGCCTGACCAGCTACAGATATGCTCGCTTACAGGGACACCCCTGCAAGGAGGGACTCCGAGGAAATAAGTTCTTTCCACTCTCTCCAGACACTGGTCTATTTTCTTAGGGTTTTGTGGATCTGGCTCCCAACAGTCCTTTGTGATATCTAATCCTAGTATGTAAATAAAGGCATTGTGGTGGCTTTGGAGTACATGGTCTAGGCAAGGCTGAACGACATTTCCTGGCTTTGCTTTCTTGAATGTTTCTGTTAGGGTGGTCATAAGGGCAAACCTGTGGGAGATCTGAGGGCAGAAGTGAAGCAGGAGGTGTCACGTGTCGTACACATCGTCGCCTGCCAGTGGGCTCGCCTCGGGAGTATGGGAAGGCAGCGGCCGCAGGGCTCCACCTTCCCTGAGCCAAGCCCTGGGTCAGATGTAAAGGTCAGCTCAGTGACAAACAGCGCCAGCTCCTCCTGCAGGACACTCGGCCCAGTGCTGCCGCAAGAGCTGCCACCTTGGTCTATTCCTGCGGCCCTGCCCCCTCACCTTACATACCCCTCACCTCTGCCTGCCCTTGGAGACAGCCTTGGAGAGGTGGCTTACCCAGCTCCCACAGTTGCAGAAGGCCAAGTCCCCGTGACAAATAATGTCACATGCACCAATACATGCCCCTACCTCCAAGGGGCTCAGCTTCTCTGATTCATTCCTGACTGATAGCAGAATTTGGTACTGGAAGCAGGCTGGTCCTAGAGAATCTTAAAGATGAATTCTCTGAATTGATTCTGGGTTTTCAGGAATTGGTTGCCTGATCTGATTAGGCTTAAAATTTAATGATTCTGGCTGGCTGCCGTGGCTCATGCCTGTAATCTTAGCACTTGGGGAAGCTGAGCCAAGCGGATCGACTGAGCTCGGGAGTTCAAGACCAGCCTGGGCAACATGGCAAAACCCCGTCTATGCAAAAAGTTGAAAAATTAGCTGGAGGTGGTGGGCGCCTATAGTCCTAGCTACTCTGGAGGCTGAGGTGGGAGGATCACCTTAGCCTGGGAGGCCAAGGCTGCAGTGGGCCATGATCGTGCCACTGCACTCCAGCTTGGGTAACAGAGAGAGAGACCCTGTCTCAAAACAAAACAAAACAACACCCCTTATCTCCTGTAGCAAGAGAGACAAAATTTCTGAAAGCCACATCCAAAGTCCAACCCTGTGTGTGGCTGAATTACATCACAAATGGACCCTCTATCCTCTCAGGTCTCTTTTGCTAACATGAGGACACTGATCAGGAGGGAATGGGACCCAGGGCTGGAATAAGGACATAGGGGCAGGCTCCAGTGTTGCAGGGGACCTTAAACCCTGGCAAGTCCGCCAAGACTTCTTTGTCCATAGAAGCAGCCCTTCATTCCCTGCCGAAGTACATTCCTATCCCCCTGCCTGGGAAGACGCCACTTACTGTCCTCAGAACCAGCCTGACCACCACCCCTTGTTCTAGACCCAGAACCAGACTCAAGTTCCAGCAAGTCCCTGAGGTGAAAAACAAAAGAACTGCCTGATTTTGCCAATTTGTATTGACAGAAACCTGGGAAATAAGTGTGGAGATGGATCTTAAGGGTGTGAGATGGAGTTTGAATGAATGTAAAATGATATTAGGTCAAAGTTATCGTTAGGAGATCATCAAGCTGCCTCCAGATCCAACGTGTTAGTTTGAGGCTGGGGGCGTCTCAGTTTGCCCGAGACATTTTATGAAACATGGACCCAAGGGGCCCACAGCAAATGAAATGGAAGTGCTGGGGTGCTCCTGAGGAAGACAGCTCTGCAGGGGCTTTGGGAGATGGCAATATCAGAGTGCATTTATCGTGTGAGACCTGCTCACTCACCCCTCCCAGTGTCCCCTACGTGGGCCCAGAAAACATGCTCACCACCAGGGCTCTGAGAAACAGATTTGTGAGGGGAGCCCCAGCATCCCTGGGGAGCTCTGTGGTGGACAGGAATTACAGCGGAAGCAGATCCATTTGATGGGTACCACTAATTCCACGTGGATGATGTGTTCCAGGGTTGCAGAGATTAAGGGGTATTATTTAATCACCAAAGACAAACTGGGTGTGGTTACTATAACAGACACAGAAACAAAGCAGTCTGACTCACAGGGACCTGCAGTTGGTCAGGATGTCCACAGAACTGAAACAGTGGGGAGGCCCACTGATGTCCTATCTGAGCTGCATAATCAGAAAAGCTTTCCATCTAGTCAACAGAAATCTGACCTGAATTGCCCACAACAGAGTTAAGAGTCCTTGGTCACACCCCTGACATGATCCATCCCACACACCCAGAGCTCTTTATGTAAGGAGCCAGGTCTCCTGCTGGAAAGACCTCACTACACTGCCAAACATTTCTATTGTTGGTCTTCATCTCAGCCTTCCCTAAAGGGGACTGCACCCATTTTCTAGTGTGACTGTGCGCTGGAGAAGGTGAAAGAATCAGATGTTACAGGACTAGAAGCTGGCTCAGAATTGACACCAGTTCCTGGAGATGCAAAACACCACCGAGGTCCCCCAGTCAGAGTAGGAGCTTGTGGAGGACAGGTGACCAATGGCATTTTGGCTCATGTTCTTCTCACAGTGGTGTCCCCAGTTTTGGAATGCATAATATCTGGAACAGATATGTTCAGGAACTTGGAGAATCCATACATTAGTTCCCTGACCTGTGGTACAAGGGCAATTATGGCAGGAGAGGCCCAGAGGAAGCCACTGCCTGCCTCTACCTAAAAAAAACCTTAAACCCGAAAGCAGTATCACACTTCTGGAAGGACTGCAGAAATTAGTGCCACCATCAAAGTAGTCAAAGATGCAAGCGTGGTGATTCCTACCATATCCCCATCCAAGTCACTTATTTTGGCCTGCACATAGACTGATGTATCTTTGGGGATGACAATGGATTGTCCCTCAGTCAGGTGGTGACTCCACTTGCAGCTATTCCAGATGTAGTTTCATTACTGGAGCAATTAACCTATTCCTTGGCATCTATATGGAGCTATTGATTTGACAGATACCTCTTTAATCTATACCTTTAATAAATATCATCAGAAGCAGTTTGCTTTCACCTGGCAAGGCCAATAATACACCTTCACTGCCCCAAGTCTGGCTATATCAGCTTTCTACCCTGTGCCATAATTTACTCACCAGGAACGTTGATCACCTTTCCCTTTCACTAGTACATTGTATCAAGGAAAACATGCAGTTGGGACATTTGAGCAGGACATAACTACTTGATACGTGGAGTAGCAGCTACTTGTGCCAGAGGTTGAGAAATCAGCCCTCCAAAAATATTAAAGGGTCCAGTTGTCTGGGGCATGTCAAGATATCTCTTCCAAGTGAAGGACAAGTTTCTGCAACTGGTCCCTCCTACTGCTAAGGAAGAATAACAACACTGAGTGGGCCTCACTGGATCTTGGAGGCAATATGTGACTCATCTAGGCATGCTACTCCAGCCCACTGACCCAGTGGCCGTTCCAACCGCCAGTTTTGAGTAGGGCTCAGAGTAAGAGATGTCTCTGCAACAGGTCAGCTGTACCAGCTGCTTTGCATTTGGCCTGTGTGACCCTGCAGAACTGATGGGGCTTAAACTGTCAGTGATGGGTAAGGAAGCAGCATGGAGCCTTTGGCAGGCCTCCATGGGTGAAGACAGTGAAAACCCTCAGATTGTTAGATTATGCTATCCTCAGTGAATACTCTCCTTTCGAGAAACAGTTTTTGGCTTGCTACCGGGCTCTAGTAGAGATTGAATGACCATGGGCCACCACGTTCTCCTGTGGCCTGAGCTGCCCATCATGAATGGGTGCTGTCTGACTCACGAGCTATCCGCTGATGTGCATAGCCGCATTCCATCTTCAGTGGAATACACAGGATTGGGCTCGAGCAGGTCAAGAAGGAACAAGTTGCATGAGGAAGTAGCCCAGATGCTTGGGCCCTTTCTCCTACCACGTGGCCATCTTACTCTCCTCCCATGCCTGTAGCCTTGTGGGGATTCCCTATGACCTTGAATTTCATTCATATTTTAAACTCACTTTGGCTGGTGGTCACCTAATGTAATAGTAATTACTTTTCAGTCTTGTTTTCTAAAGTAGGGATCTGTTGACGCCTGCCCTGACATTAGTGTGTCCCACAGGATCTGTAGATCTCTCATCTGGGGCACTCTCAGGTGACTCTACTGCACTCCCGCGAGGAGCTCCAGGAGCGTATCTGTCTCCATCTGCAGCCTCCATCACGCCCCTCAGGCTAGCAATGAGTTCCTCTAAAACACCTAGCAACATGGTCCTGACTTAATCGTGCTTCCACTTGGATTTGGATTTCACATGGGGACTCCTAGATACTAATCCGCTTAACCTACAACAATGGTGAGAATTTTAGGCATAATAGGAGCAATAAGGAAATTAAATTCCAGTCATTTTTTTGGCCATGTCACAAATATCAACAGCAAGTCCAGCTCTGATTCAAATAATACAGACATTAGACATTAGTTAGGCAAACTCTGACTATAAACTAAGTAGCATTTGGAGACTGGGTGCTAGGGTTTGCTTCACTAAAACTGGGCTAGAAGATTCTTTTTATTTTTTGAGAGGGAGTCTCGCTCTGTTGCCCAGGCTGGAGTGCAGTGGTGCGATCTGGCTCACTGCAACCTCTGCCTCCTGGGTTCAAGCGATTCTCCTGCCTCAGCCTCCTGAGTAGCTGAGACTACAGGTGCCCGCCACCATGCCCGGCTTTTTGTATTTTTAGTAGAGATGTTAGTCAGGCTGGTCTCGAACTCCTGACCTTGTGATCTGCCCACCTTGGCCTCCCAAAGTGCTGGGATTACAGGCGTGAGCCACCTGCCCGGCCTAGAAGCTTCTAAGAAGCACACTGAGGTAGGGTTTCTGCAGGAGAAGGCTGGGCACAGAGTGCTGAGGGCTCCACAGCATGTCACTTAAGGGAGTCACCTTGGCTCTAGGTCTGTCCATGACTTTGCCATCCCAGAAATGTCCCTTTGTCTGTGGCTTGGGATTGATGTAACTCGGGGTTACTGACGTGATAACTAAACTCACAAAATGCCAAGCCATGTGGTCAACTGGGCCAATTTGCTTGTTGAAAAAAATGACTGTGCATTCTTCTTAACCTGGCCCGTGAATGTTTTATGCCAGGAGGCAGAAAGCTTATCTGGAAGTTGGTTAGTGAGCATGGAATCAAAGCAAGAGTGGCTGTCATCAGACTCAAATGTTTCATTGCATTGGGTCCTTGTGCTGGATGGATGGATGGATGGATGTCCAAGATAGGAATATTCTACCATGTAAAATAGAGACTTCCTTCGTGCTTGGCCTCCATGCTCCCTTCATTACTGAACTCCTTCTGATGGACACATTATATTTCTTTAGCATGTTACTACAGACAACTAGATTTTACTAGTGTTTCGTTTGGTTTGGGAGCCATTTTGTCTCTTTAAGCGACATTCAATAGGTCTGACCTCATCCTTATGTGACTATCAATTTTCAGAGAGGAGCAGTGTTTGGTGTTTTCCCCAAGCTCGTGGGAGGGGCCTCCTGTCACTGCCATACGTTATTGACATGACCTGTGCTGAACCTGGCCAGCACCACCCCCCGAGACTCTCTCCTCACCTTTCTAGTATTTGCTTTTGCCTGTCACAAAAGGATTGGTACACCTGTCACGTACCAAAAATGTATCATTTGAAAGAAACAAAAATAACAATTGTTACATGCATTTTAAGTACATAAAAATATATTAACTCCAAATAATATCTTAAAAAATAAAAAGTTGGCCGGGTGCAGTGGCTCACGCCTGTAATCCCAGCACTTTGGGAGGCCGAGGCAGGCGGATCACTTGAGGTTGGGAGTTTAAGACCAGCCTGACCAACATGGTGAAACCCCATCTCTACTAAAAATACAAAATTAGCCGGGTGTCGTGGCACATGCCTGTAATCCCAGCTACTCAGGAGGCTGAGGCAGGAGAATTGCTTGAACCCGGGAGGTGGAGGTTGCGGTGAGCTGAGATAGCACCATTGCACTCCAGCCTGGCGACAGAGCAAGACTCCATCTCAAAAATAAATAAATAAATAAATAAATAAATAAATAAATAAATAAATGGTTGCCATTGGTGCTTTCTAGGGCATTAACTAGTCTGAAAATTGATAAATAAAGGGAAAAAAATCAAGCATCATCTATCCTGTTTCGACAGTATAAACCATATTTCAGAACACCTTAGTAGTTGATGAAGGAAAGTACGTTTTGATTTTTAGAGATAGGGTCTCACTCTGTTGCCCAGGCTGGACTGCAGTGGCCTGATCATAGTTCACTGCAGTCTCAACTTCTCAGGCTCAAGCAATCCTCCTGCCTTAGCCTCCCAAGTAGCTGGGACCACAGTGCTCACCCCCACCATGCCTGGGTAATTTTTAATTTTTTGTAGAGACACAGTCTCTCTGTGTTGCCAAGGCTGGTCTCAAACTCCTGGCCTCAAGTGATTCTCTCACCTTTGGCCTCCCAAAGTGTTGGGATTACAGATGTGAGCTACCACGCCTGGCTCAAGACAAATTGTTTATAGAAAGAAAAATCATGGCTAGCAAATGCATGAGGAAATGGAATTGGAAAGTTCCTATGTTGCTTTCTCCAATGAAATATTTAGGCAATGGTCACCAATGGCTATTAAAGTCCATCAGGTGAGAGCGTGAAGTGACGCTTCATGAGGCTAGGTCAGACACCAACTGCATCCACCAATCAATCTTAGTTTTACTAAAAGTGGAACAACTAGACATGAAGTGCCTCCAGATGTGACACCAAAGTGCACAGCACCAATCATGGAGGGTTCCTGCCACAAACGTCACACTGAAATCTAATAGGCACCTGGACATAGTGATCAGTTTACAGGAAATAAATGAAAGAAGGACCGACAAATGTCACCACAAAGATATCGTCACCACATCCAAATTGTGGGAGATTTTATAGGACAAATGACCCATGTTTTTCCTCAGGAATAAATAGCATAGGGGCCAAAAGGGAAAGGGCATTGCTACAGAGGATCAGACACTCAGCTGCCATTTCCAGAAAATGCACTGGGTGGACTGCACTTGGATCCTGATCCAAGCAAATCAACAGCAAAGACACATTTTTGAGATAACCGGGGAAAACTGAAGACAGACCCGGCGTTAATAGATGTGAATGCATAAATATGGATCTTGCTGAATGGGATAATGATATTGCCATCAGGCCAAAGTAGTAAAGAGCCCTTATCGGACAGATGCATAGGACATTACATGACACCTGGGGCTAAGTTTGCAAGAAGAGCAGTGTTGAAAACTGTTGAGGCTGGGGTAACCCACGGGGTTCATAACACGATTCTCCATACTGTTCTGTATATTGGAAACATTCTGCAGTAAGTTTAACAAATTAAATTACATTTGAGGCCAGGCGCGGTGGCTAACACCTGTAATCCCAGCACTTTGGCAGGCCAAGGTAGGCGGATCACCTGAAATCAGGAGTTCAAGACCAGCCTGGCCAACATGGCAAAACCCCTTCTCTACTAAAAATACAGAAATTAGCTGGGTATGGTGCCGGGCACCTATAGCCCCAGCTACTTGGGAGGCTGAGGTAGGAGAATCACTTGAACCCGGGAGGCAAAGGTTGCCGTGAGCCGAGATCCCACCACTTCACTCCAGCCTAGGAGAGAGAGCAAGACTCCATCTCAAAATAAATAAATAAATAAATAAAAATAAATAAGTGAAAAAAAAAAAAAGGCTACTTTTGCCAGCACCAAGTGCCTGTGCGATGCCTGGGAGCCAGGCTCAGGGAGCAGCTTGGAAGGCGCCACTGCACTCCAGCCTGGGCAAGAGAGCGAGACCCCCCCCCCGTCTTAAAAAATATAAATGTATATATAGTTTCTCAGTATGTAGTTTCAAATTTTATTTCAGGAAACTTTTCTTGATTTACAAATTTCACTGTTCTATTCACTTTGGATTTCTTCTTCAGGGACTCCTATTATCTGTATGTCAGTTTCTTCCCCTGTCTTCAATATTATCACTTTCTCTTGAATCTTTTCAGTCCTCCTTTCCAATAATTGTTACATTTTAGATTCGTTGTAGATTTATAGAACAATTGCCAAGCTAACACAGAGTTCCTATATGCCCCACACCCGGTTTCTCCTCTTAACATCTTACATTAGAATGGCAAATTTGTCACAATTAATGAACTCATGCTGATCCACTGTTATAACTAAAGCCCACCATTTATTCAGCTTCCTTTAGTTTTTACCTGATGTCATTTTCTGGTCTGGGAGCCGGCCCAGGATGCCCCGTTGCCGGTGGTGGTTGTAGTTACTCTCCGCAGGCTCCTCCCAAGCTAAGAGTTCCTCACACTTTCCTTGTTGCTGATGAGCCCATCAGTTTTGAGGAGGCCTGGCCCGCTATCCTCTCAGCTGGCATGTGTCTGCTGTTTTTCTCGTGATTAGATGGGGTTTTGGGTCTGCTGAGAGCATAGCTTTTCACACCCATGCAAAAGCACACACCACCAGCATGGCTCATTGCGTAGGTGCTAACTTTGGCTGCCTCGCTGAGGGATGGCCTGATGTATTTTTTATTTTAATATAAATAGCACATTCTTCGGCTGCTAATCGTATTACTATTCTTCAGTATTTAAAAGGCGCTAGATGCTGTGATAAGCACTTTAAGATCCTATTTCTTTCTCTCAACAACACTGCAAACTACGAGTACAATCCTATTGTGCAGATAAACAGAACTCTCACACAAACACACACACACACAATTGTGGTAAAATATACATCAATTTCTATCAACCATTTTTACCCGCACAGCTCATTGGCTCCACCACATTCCCATCTGCGACCACCACCCTCCTTCTCCAGCGCCTTCTCATCTTCCCCACGTGTTCCACGTCTCACCTCTGGTCCCAGCGACACCAGGGCTTTCGGTCTTTGGGAGATTGAGGTGGTTTTGTGCCCGGGATTAGGTGGGTTCTTGGTCTCACTAACTTCAAGAATGAAGCCGTGGACCCTCACGGTGCCTGTTATGTTTCTTAAAGGCAGCGTGTCCCCAGTTTGTTCCTTCTGATGTCCGGCTGTGTTGGCAGTTTTTTCTTTCTGGCGGGTTCATGGTCTCGCTGGTTCAAAAGTGAAACTACAGACCTTCGCGGTGAGTGTTACAGCTCTTAAGTCTGCGCCTCCGGAGTTGTTCATTCCTCCTGGTGGGTTCGTGGTCTCCCTGGCCTCAGGAGTGAGACTGCAGGCTTCCACCGTGAGTGTTACAGCTCATAAAGGTAGCACAGACCCAAACACTGAGCAGCAGTAAGATTTACTGCAGAGTGAAAGAACAAAACCTCCACACTATGAAACGGAATCTGAGTGGGTTGCCACTGCGAGCTTGGGCAGCCTGCTTTTATTCACTTATCTGGCCCCACCCACATCCTGCTGATTGGTCCATTTTACAGAGAGCCGATTGGTCTGTTTTACAGAGAACTGATTGGCCCGTTTTGGCAGGGTGCTGATTGGTGTGTTTACAATCCCTGAGCTAAACACAAAAGTTCTCCACATCCCCACTGGATTAGCTAGATACAGAGTGCTGATTGGTGCATTTACAAACCTTGAGCTAGATACAGGGTGGCGATTGGTGTATTCGCAATCCCTTCGCTAGACATAAAGGTTCTCCAGGTCCCCACCAGATCAGCTAGACACAGAGCGCTGATTGGTGCACTTACAAACCTTGATCTAGACACAGAGTGCTGATTGGTGCATCCACAAACCTTGAGCTAGATACAGAGCGCCAATTGGTGTATTCGCAATCCCTTAGCTAGACAGATTCTCCAAGTCCCCACCAGATTAGCTAGACACAGAGCGCTGATTGGTGCATCCATAAACTCTGAACTAGACACAGGGTGCTGATTGGTGAGTTTACAAACCTTGAGCTAGATACAGAGTGCCGATTGGTGTATTTACAATCCCTTAGCTAGACATAAATGTTCTCCAAGTCCCCACTAGACTCAGGAGCCCAGCTGGCTTTACCCAGTGGATCCCGCATCAGGGCCGCTGGTGGAGCTGCCTGCCAGTCCCGCGCACTGCGCCCGCACTCCTCAGCCTTTGGGCGGTCGATGGGATCGGGCGCCGTGGAGCAGGGGGCGGCGCTCGTCTGGGAGGCTCGGGCTACGCAGGAGCCCATGGCGGCAGGGGGGTGGGGGGAGGCTCAGGCATAGCAGGCTGCAGGTCCTGAGCTCTGCCCGGCGGGGAGGCAGCTAAGGCCTGGAGAGAAATCGAGCGCAGCGCCGGTGGGCAGGCACTGCTGGGGGACCCGGCGCACCCTCCGCAGCTGCTGGCCCGGGTGCTAAGCCCCTCACTGCCCGGGGCCGGCGGCCCGGCCGGCCGCTCCGAGTGTGGGGCCCGCCAAGCCCATGCCCACCCGGAACTCTAGCTGGCCCGCAAGCGCCGCACGCAGCCCAGGTTCCCGCCCATGCCTCTCTCCACACCTCCTCGCAAGCTGAGGGAGCCGGCTCCGGCCTCGGCCGTCCCAGGAAGGGGCTCCCACAGTGCAGCAGCGGGCTGAAGGGCTTCTCGAGCGCCGCCAGAGTGGGTGCCCAGACAGAGGAGGCGCCGAGAGGGAGCGAGGGCTGCGAGGGCTGCCAGCAGGCTGTCACCTCTCAGTTTCAGGGCAACAGGCCCACCCCGAATAGTCCTGGAGCCAAAAGGGAACGAGCTTCTTCCTTCAGGTGGGGAATAGTTCACGGTGCTGCTTCCAACGTATCTTCTTCCTCGCCGTTTCCTGAGACTTCTCCAAAGCGGGGGCCGTGGCGCGGCGTGCTGTAGGCGCTGTGCTGGCGCCGTCCGGGCTCCCGAGCGGGCTGAGGGCCCTCCCCTGGGGCTGCGCCACCCCGCTCCGAGGCGGGGCCCTTCCTGGAACCGGCTTCCCTGCACCATTCCTGATCGGAGGCTGCGAACGGCACAAGCCCCTGCGGCGTTTTGAGTGGGGAAGTGAGCCGGGGCCTGTGCCTCCCGGGGAGCCGTGGGCAGGTGCGTGGCCACGGACTGGGCTCTCGGAGCTTCCCATAAAACCCCGGAGACCCACTCAGCACGGCTGCGGGCCCAGGCACGCTGGTGCTGGCGCCTCTCAGGCAGGACGACTCCACAGCCAGCGGGAGAACTTTCCAGATCGCCCTGCGCAGATGCTCCCCTCGCATGAAATCACTGCTCAGCGTTAGCCGCGGGCCAAGCCCCGGCCCAGCCCCAGGGAATACTTAGGGGACTGCAGGTGCAGGCCGTGGGGGCGGCCGGGCTCGGGCCGGCTCTGCAGACCCCGCTCCACGCAGAGGGCGATGCTGGGGACTCGCAGAGCTCGAGACCGCTGAGCTTCCCTCACTCATGTATGGCTTAAAGTTATTCATGCTGAACTCCAGCTTAGCACATTGTTGCACAAACACAGATATTCATTACCTGGCATTTTTATTCAAACTTCCTCAAAGCCAGTTAAGAATATCAGAAACACAAGTAAATTAATATTAATTATTCAGGTGCTTTAGTCACTTCATCCAAAGACGTTCCAGCGGCATGGTTTCTTTGGATTCATATAATTTTCTTCGTATTGCCTGGATTCCACAAGCATCCGTTCATGAGACACTGCACGTTGAGACGGTAACGCCCCTAGGCTGCAATATAATGCCCACCTTGCGCTTGCTCACCAGCATCCACCTCCAATCCTGGCTAGAAAAGTGCCATTCTTTTCACTGTTCGAGAAAGGGCAGGACAGTCATGGAACGCTCAGCGCAGAAATCTGAATCCTTAGATGGACAAACTGTGCTCCCTCCATTTTTCCGGTTTTGCAGTCTGTGATCATTGCTCGAGTTCCACAGGGTGAGATGTAAAAGACGCTTTTCCTTGTGCTTCTTGGTACACTGAACCGAAAACGATACTGACTCCCCCAACCTGTATGTATGTATGTATGTTTGCATGTATGTATTTTGAGACAGAGTCTTGCTCTGTCGCTGAGGCTGGAGTGCACTGGTGCGATCTCGGTTCACTACAACCTCCGCCTCCCAGGTTCAAGCAATTCTCCTGCCTCAGCCTCTCAAATAGCTGGGATTACAGGCGCGCGCCACCATGCCAGGCTAATTTTTGTACTTTTAGTAGAGACGCACTAACTACATTAGTAGTTTTGCTATATTGGCCAGGCTGGCCTCGAACTCCTGACCTCAAGTGATCCACCCTCCTCGGCCTCCCAAAGTGCTGGGATTACAGGCGTGAGCCACCACGCCAGGCCTCCCCACGCCGTATTTAAACACATTGACGAGGCGTCCAACTTCCTGCATGCATCTTAGCAGGAGTGCGCTGTGGGCTCATTTTTACGGTCTGCACTGGGTTGTGTGTGGCTGGCTCAACTCCATCTGAACAGCACAGCAATATGCCCACTGAAATGCTCAATTTTCTGGACTTCCTTGCCCCTAAGTGCATGTGGCCACATTCCAGCCAGTGAGGTGAGAATGGAAGTGGAATGCCACCTTCAGGGAAGCCTGATTTAGGAAGCTCACTCTGCACTCCTGGAATGTGAACATGATGACTGGGATCCCGCAGCCATCATGCGTCCTGAGGGGACAGTGAGACTAAGAACTGTGTCATGGTGGAATAGAAAAACAGATCACGGTTCAGCCCGGGAGTTGCGCTGTCCGACCCGAGCTACACGCAGCTCAATTTCTATCTTGTGTAGGCCATTCTTTTCTCCAACCTGTTAGTAGTAATCAGAACGGTTCCTAAACGATATATGATGTGATCTGCACCATTTCCACGTTTCAGACGAACTAATCTCATTAGCAGGGCAGTCCTCAACGCATTCCACTGTCGCCGCCCTCGCAAGGGCCGCCAGTTTCCAGGATGAGCAGGCTGAGCCGGCATCGCTGTCTGGGGACTCCCTATTCTGAGGAGCCAAACGTCCACACCTGCCTGCATTGCTCCTCACTTGGGAGCGGGGCGTGTGGGGTCCCCTTCCTTCCATGCTGTGCTGCGTGAGTTCCTGCTGTCTTGTCTAATCGTCTCCTTCAGTCCCGGCCTAAGCAGGTAGGAGCTCGGGGCTGTGTTCCCCGCGCCTCCTCCGCAGGAAGAGTCTCCTCGCCCCTGCTCCTGTCTCCCAAACTCTAGATGCCACGTGGGCGCTGTAGCCCCACTTCGCCAATGCCTTGGTTCGGGCGCTTCCTGAGACTCTCATTTTCCTAATTTCACTAACTTCACACCTTCTTGCTAATTCTGATTATTTTTCCTCTGCGATAGGGACTTCGCTCAATGGTGTTCATCAGCATTTTTTCCAATATTGGTAATGGTCTTCCACCGTGTAGCTCCACACTTACATGTCTTCAGATTTTTCTATCTCCCTATAGAAGAAAGTCCACCTCTGTGGGTTTGTTTTGTTTTTGCTTTTTTGAGAAGGAGTCTCACCCCATCGCCCAGGCTGGAGTGCAGTGGCCGGATCTCGGCTCACTGCAACCTCTGTCTCCAAGCTTTAAGCGATTCTCCTGCCTCAGCCTTCTGAGTAGCTGGAATTACAGGCATCAGCAGCCACACCCAGCTAATTTTCCCAACTAATTTTTATATTTTTAGTAGATATGGGGTTTCACCATGTTGGCCAGACTGGTGTTGAACTCCTTACCTCAAGTGATCCGCCCGCCTCAGCCTCCCAAAGTCCTGGGATTACAGGCGTAAACCACCCAGCCCAGCCAACCTCTATTTTTTTTTTTTTTTTTTTTTTTTTTTTTTTTTTTTGGAGACAGAGTCTCGAGTCTCACTCTTTTGCCCAAGCTGGAGTGCAGTGGCGAGATCTCGGCTCACTGCAACCTCTGCCTCCCAGGTTCAAGTGATTCTCCTGCCTCAGCCTCCAGAGTAGCTGGGATTACAGGCGCTCCCCACCCTCCCCACACACCACACCTGGTTAACTTTTGTATTTTTAGTAGAGACAGGGTTTCACCATGTTGGTCAGGCCAGGCTGGTCTCGAACTCCTGACGGCAAGTGATCTGCCCACCTCGGCCTCCCAAAGTGCTGGGATTATAGGCGTGAGCCACCATGCCTGGCCTATACTGTGTTTTTTATTTGTATTACTTTTTATTGTGGTATTATTTGTTTTGTTTTGATCTGTGGTGGGTTGAACCCACAAATGTCAAATGGGGAACCCACCAACATGGAGGACCGCCTGTATTTGGAAAGGAGTAAATGTCTCTGCCACTTGCTCCACACAAAGCTAGACTGAAGCAGATTTGTTAGCATTAAAATCGTCATCCTGGGGGCATTTGAATTAAGAATTTTATTTTATTTTTTTTAGATGGAGTCTCACTCTTTTTGCCCAGGCTGGAGTGCAATGGCGCAATCTCAGCTCACTGCAACCTCTGGCTCCCAGGTTCAAGTGATTCTCCTGCCTCAGCCTCCTGAGTATCTGGGATTACAGGCATGCACCACTATGCCCAGCTAATTTTTGTATTTTTTAGTAGGGATGGGGTTTCACCATGTTGGCCAGGCTGGTCTTGAACTCCTGACCTCAGGTAATCTGCCCACCTCGGCCTCCCAAAGTACTGGGATTACAGGCATGAGCCACTGTGTCTGGCCTGAATTAAGAATTCTTAGTTTTCTACTTAGAAGCCATCATTTTTCAAGCAGAATATTAGTTTTTATTATCTATCTTAATACCAATGTCTTCATTTGTATTTTTCTTGCTCATTTAGCACTCACAGTTTACAGAGCCCCAGACACAGCTCTTTCCAACCTTATCTGTAAGGGCAGCAAGGTTGTTTCACACATGCTAATATAACAACTATTAAAACGGATTCTGCTTTTCCCTCTTGCAGTCTACTTTTCTGCCCCCGACATGGGAGGTTATAGCATTTCTTGTCTCCACTCTCTCCCTTCCACACCTAACAGCAGTTATTCAACTTCTGCTTGGAATGCCACTGTATGCCAACAGGAGAGGGTGTCTGTCCTTGGGGACTCCCCTGTGCCACTGATGAACTTGTTTGGGGAATGTTAAGTGTCTCTACTGCCTTGATTAGGAGAAGCTGGGTGTGATGGTTGATTTGGAGTGTCAACTTGACGGGAGGAAGGGGTACCCCCATATCTGGTGAAGCACTCATTACTCTCAAGGCTTCAGGAGGCTCTGCACCTGTCCTCTTTTGCCTAAAGGGAAACCCATGTGGTCTGGCATTTGGTTAGATTGGGCTGCCTCAGGTGTGCCCATGAAGGTCTTTCTGGAGACTGGCATGTGAGTCGGTGGACTGAGTAGGGAAGACCCACCCTCAACATGGGCAGGCACCCATCCAATCAGCAGGAGCCTGGATGGAGTGAAAGGCGGAGAAAGGCAGAGAAGGGTGCATTCTCACTCCCTGCTGGGGCTGACGTGCTTTTCTGCCCTTGGACGACACTTGGTTCTCTGGCTTTTGGACTCTGGGACTCTCACCAGTGGACCTCCAGAGTTGTACTATTAGTTTCAGACTTGGACTGAAACACGCTGCCAGCTTCCCTGTTCTCAGCTTGCCGGAGGTGGGTTACAGAACTTCTCAGCCTCCATGATAGAGGTGGCCAATTCCCCATCCCCTGCTCACCTTCCTCTCTATCGTGTTGGCTGTCTCTCTGGAGAACCCTAAGTGAAACACCAGGGAATTGTGTGCTGGGCTACCTTGCCTTCGCCTCAGCCTCCTTACATTGTCCACAGGGCCAATTAGAAATGTGGGAACAGTGGGTGAATTCTGCTGTTCAGGATTGCTTTTAAAGGGCCCAGCCACCCAGATGTCACATGCCACATGCTGTCTGGTATCTGTCTGGCAAGGGTCAGCTCAGGGATCACTCCTTCAGTTTCCCGACACTCCTTCCAGTCCAAACATGGTGGTGGGTTTTCACACCAATCCCATTTTGACAGCTGCAGCATTTCACGTGGGCCAGGGACTGTTGGGAAGAATCTACCCAAACACACAAAGGGTTAAGTTTCTGATTCTATTGGTTAAGATACTGGTTTTTCATCAAAAATAAATGACCGCATAGGGCAGTGGCAGACACGGCTTACTTCAGAGATGCTTCTCGTGGTTTCCAGAGCTGTCTTGGCATACATGCCTGCCTGTCCTGCAGACCACAGGGTAGAGTCACATCTTATCTGGAAAGCTCGAGTCTTCCTTGCCACTGCCCTTTCCAAACTGGGGACTTACGTGGCCATCCCCCAAAAAATTCAGTGCCAACTACTCCTAGTACCTCTGCTTCAGATTTCGTAAGCTCATTTCTCCACATCTAAGTAGGTATCACATCTAAGTAGCTATCAATTCATTTCTGCCACAGCACTTATGACTGGTTTAATTACATATTTGCTTATTTACAGGCTTGTTGTTTTAACTCTCCCATAAGACCACAGGAAGTGGACTGCAGTCGTCTTCCCCCATCACTGAACATCCGCTGTCTACTATAGTGCCAAGCACATAGGTGTGTTCAATAAATATTCATCGAGCAAATGAGCAATATTCCACTCATTCCAAATCGTTTGGGATGGCTGCAGCTTAGGGTGCCTTATCATGGCAGGCGGGTGCTGAGACTTTTTGACTTAAAATGAAGACGAAATTGTCTAAGGCGCCATAAGCGAATTTTAAGGAGGGTAACAGTCAGATCTTAAATTAGTTGGGAGCTGTGCTGAGTGGGTAGGCACAAACAGGCATGTCTAGGCAGGAACCTGCTGCTGTGAGCTGCACAAGCAAGGAAGGTTTAAATCAGGGGTGTCCAATGTTTTGACTTCCCTGGGCCACGCTGGAAGAATTGTCTTGGGCCACATATAAAATGCACTAACAATAGCTGGTGAGCTAAAACAAAACAAAACAAAAAAC
The DNA here is from genome assembly GCF_000001405.40 of Homo sapiens. Lineage (NCBI taxonomy): Eukaryota > Metazoa > Chordata > Mammalia > Primates > Hominidae > Homo > Homo sapiens. Next base: position 12,783,601 of record NC_000018.10, read on the forward strand.
AAAAAATTGCAGAAAAAGCTCATCTTTTAAGGAAGTTTACAAATTAGTGTTGGGTCGCATTAAAGCAATCATGGGCGGCGTGCAGCCCGTGGGCCATGGGTTGGACAAGCATGGAACTTTAAACCAAGGCGGGGCAGTGGGAGCGAGAGTCACTGTGCAGAACTGACAGGACTTTGTAACCAAACTGGACGTGAAGTCTAAGTGGAGGAACTAAAGATGAATTTCAAGTTTCCAGGGGGTGCCACAAAATAAATGGAATACAGGAGGAAGAGGAGATGAAAAGAGGGAAATCACGTTATATTTTAGAGGGTAAGGAATTCATGCAATGACCACTTAGGGAACTGGATATATGGTTTATAGCTCTGAAGTGACATCTGGCCTGGAGTTGAAGAAGTTGTATGTAATCAGCTTACAGGTATTAAAGACTTGTGGAAAAATCAGATCACCCAAGGTTAAGTGTGTTAAAATCAAAGGCCCAAAGATGGAGTCCTTGGAAACCCCAATATTCCAGTCAGACAGAAGAACTGAGATGAAGAAAACCCAGAGACAAGTCTTTCGGAGTCTAAGGAGAAAGTTTCAAAGACAGAGTTCTTAATGATGCTGCCAAGAAGCCATAGAAGGGAAAACTAAAGAGCAGTAGCTTTATTAAGCTACAGTACAAGCTAAGATGACGTTTCTGGGTCATTTTGGGAGTGGGGGTAGGGTATGCAGGAAGAGAGCAGACAGAGGTAGCCGAGTATAGATGATTCTTTCCAGCAGCTTTGCGGACACCATGGAAAGATCATCTTCCCGTACTACTTTGTAGTATAATAAACTTTTCATGCATCCTTCAGGAAAGATTTAGCAGGAATAGTTTACATACTCCTAAAACAGACCTAGAAAACCTGGCATATAAGGCAAAAAGGAACCTAAGTCATTTAAATTTAAAGATATGAAATAGACGTTTTTATGAATATTATATAAATTTCAAAGTTGGCAAAACAAATTGTTACATATATTTTTTGAGACGGAGTCTGGCTCCATTGCCAGACTGGAATGCAGTGGCACAATCTCGGCTCATTGCAATCTCCACCTCCCGGGTTCAAGCGATTCCCCTGCCTCAACCTCCCGAGTAGCTGGGACTACAGGCTCCCACCACTATGCCTGGCTAATTTTTTTTATTTTGGTAGAGACACGGTTTCCCCATGTTGGCCAGGATGGTCTCGATCTCCTGACCTTGTGATCCACCCGCCTCGGCCTCCCAAAGTGCTGGGATTACAGGCGTGAGCCACCGCGCCTGGCCCTGGCTTTCTTGTAATGGGAATTGTTTGGGGAAACCACAACATCCAACACAGGAATGACGCTGTGATTTTTAAAACTGCCCTGAACTGCTGTGCTTGCTTGAAATTAATGTCGACCTTAAGGCAATACCATTACCCATATTAATATTCTCCCAAGTAATAAAGGAATATCATAACTCTTCTATTATTGCTTTCACCTAACCTGTACTATTAAGGATAGAAAGACTATTGAAGGGCAACTATAAAAACCTTTTTTTTTGAGACGGAGTTTTCACTCATTGCCCAGGCTGGAATGTAGTGGTGCGATTTTGGCTCACTGCAACCTCTGCCTCCCGGGTTCAAGTGATTCTCCTGCCTCAGCCTCCCAAGTAGCTGGGATTACAGGTGCCTACTACCAGGCCTGGCTAATTTTTTTGTATTTTTAGTAGAGATGGAGTTTCACCATGTTGGCCAGGCTGGTCTCGAACTCCTCATCTCAAGTGATCCACCCGCCTCGGCAGTATGTCAATTGCTTGTTACAGAAATTATAAACTCACAGGAAAATATTCATTATTTGAAGCAGAGCTGTCCTAAGATAATGCACACAAACCAACAAAAGACTATTTAACAAAAATATTTAATGCTGCCAAAAAGTATAAAAATACAGTAGGAATGGCAGTACAATACAAAGTAATCTCCCCTAATTTATTTCTTGTACATCTTTCTACATTTCATACACTCATTAAAAACACTTAACACATCCAATTAAAGGTTCTGCAAAGTCTTCTGCTGGTGGGTGCTCTTCATCCCCTGGATGTAAAGTTTACTTTGTAAACAAACAACTGTGAGGCAATCTAGAGGGTTAGCGAGCCTCACTTTAGTTTCCGGAGTGGGCTTCAGGTCTTGCTTTGCACATCAATGGTTCAAAATTTATAGCTGCAGAATATTCTCAAGTCATGAATATTAGGTGTCTGTCAATCTTGGCCTAAAACATAAAATAAGAAGTCATCTATTCAATTCATATTTACCAAACACACAGACGAACATAGATGCACACAAACATAAAAGGACTAACAATGAACTGAAAAGGTGACCAAAAATCATTCCCACATGACACATTCAACCACACTAAGTGCTGCACTGTTATCTTAGGGTAAAACGGCTGGGGTGCTGGATTTCCAAACGATGGTGGTGTGACGCGGCCTCATGTGGAAGCATCGTGACTTATATTCTTCTTCAAGAATTATGTGAATTCTTAAGGTCATCTTATTTTACTCAAGAAGTGACCTCTGTGTGATACCGACAGACAGACAGGTTTTAAAAATAATGTACCCACAAGAATTTAGCAAGACTTTATACTATGTGCTAGACTTACCAATACTTTGGAATTCAATGCAAAAGTCTAATCCAATTTGGACCTCCACTGTGTAATACTGCTAAAAATATTATCAACATAATGTTTGAACATAAAGTTGGCCTATATTTTTAAACCACAGGTTGTTAGCAGATGCTTTTTGTCCTGAAGGATAATACTAACAATTATATCTACCGAAATGAAGTGACCCAATCTTAAGCTACTACTAATATAAAATACATAATTGACAGATTTATTGTATTTTAATGCCATAAAGTAAAAATAAATGAGAATTCAAATAAGCAACAGATGGATGGAATGACTATTGTAAGGGCAGTTGAGTTTTTGATGTCACCTCCCAAACTTTGCAAGTAACAACTTTTTAGGAGGTCAATGGTATTTCCATTCTTCCCCCAACTCCCCTCAGTACCGCAAAACCTCCAAATCTAAGTACTTGTCAGTATTGTATCTTCACATATATATTAAGAAATAGGAAATACAAATCATATCCACACATTTAGTCAAAAACTCCCAAATGCTGAGAATTAGGCTACTCCCTTTAAAGACAGGGCACTTGGCATAATTGTACCAAGCACCTTGGTGTTCTGAACGTCCTTTTTTTCTCTGATTATCCAACAGTGACGGAGAAATGTCAAGTCATCAAGAAAACATTCTCATTAGATAATGTGAGCCCACAACTACTATGGGTGTTTATTACATGAATCTTCAGAATGTGAACCAAAGTGGCTGAAGGTACTTTGTATTGATTCTGAGTGCTGCAAAATATATATGTTTTCCATGCATCCAGAAGTCTTTTTAAAATAAGCAACTCAATTCAATCAAAGTGAATGAAGTAATGATCTGGTTTAGAGAATACTCTGATGTTCTAGTATTTCTCTGTTGCAGTGGTAGTTCAAACTGGTGCACAAAGTTTTTTAAATGTGCTCCATTTAAAAACTAGAGAATTACTTTGGATTTTAACAGGTAAGAGTGGTTGTCTATTACTTTCCCACTTAAATATCTCATTTAAATATTCCATTAAAAACAGAGTCCGTGTAACATAAAAGAAAAAGTATGAGGTTTGGAGTTACTGGAAGTCTACAGACTGCAGAGTGAATCTCAGTTCTGTCATGTACTAGCTGTGCAATCTTGGGCAAGTTACTTATTCTTTGACTCAGTTTTCTCATCTGAATATAGGGAGAATGCTGTTTACCTAGAAGAGGTGTTACGTGGGTTAAATTTAGATTATGTATTTAAGCTGGCTGGCAGAATTTTAAGTGTTCACCATACCTCATGTCCTTCCCCAGTATTTTGTTACAGATATACTTACCAAGAATGAACTATCATTTATAACAACTGAAGGACGGGGTTTTTAAAAATTCACGTTATTATTTCTTTGTAAATATTATTCAGGGTGGGGGGGTAAGAAAATACGGTTAAATCATTGGGAGGCTTAATTGTTTTAAAGACTTTACTTGCAAGACTGAAAAGACAAATGGGCTCCATTTTAGAAAATTCTAATAGATTCACTTGAATCAATTTTTGCTATTTTTATTTAAAAAGGCAAAGGCAGGAGAAACGGGTTCAAATAAGTCAAATGAAACAAACGTGGTGCTTTCTGTGGAGACAGTGGCTCTGACACACCACTTTATGCTAGAAAGGCGCAAGGGCCGGGTGGGTGTGGACAGAGGGTCCACTACCAAGTCAGCTCTATGCCTGAGGCCACGAAAAGCCAAATTGCACCAAGAATAGGTTTTGCCACCAGATATCCACACTAATATTCTACTAAACTGAATTGAGGCTAATCAGAAACTTCTCTTAAGGTGCAAAGATGCTCTACAGATGACTTACCTAGGTTCCCGCTCCTGAATTAACTAAACTCAAAATAACTGAAGTTTTTAACAGCAGAAATTTGATGTATCAAGAGCAACCTGTGTCTGAAAAATATGCCAAATTAGAGCCACAATAAAGAATAACTTGATGCGTCTTTAAAAAATGGTCTGTATAAAGAAAAAAATTCCTGTGCAATTCTTGGAGCTCCTCAAAACATACTGTATAACGTAAAACCAGAAAGTCGTGAAGCAGTTTCTGTAACATCTTCACCAAATTGCATAATTCCCACCTTCCATTCTAAATTTAAAAAAATAAAGTAGGAAGAGTTCAAAAGTTTGAACTTTTCAAATTCTCCCAATGGATCGCCCAGAGAGGGGGATCAGGGCTTTTTTTTTTTTTTTTTTTTAAATAGAGTGGGGTTTCACCGTGTTGCCCAGGCTGGTCTCGAACCCCTGGGCTCAAATGATTCTCCAGCCTCGGCCTCCCAAAGTACTGGGATTACAGGAGTGAGTTACCAAGCCAGGCCTGGTCAGGGCTCTTTGAAATGTTTTCCTTGTCAGACTGTTACCCTTTAGAGACAAGGCCTCACAAACCAAGTAAACACTTCTATCCATCACTCCTTACAGTCGGCGATGGCTTCATGCTGGGCTAAATAGTATACAACAGGAGAAAAGGCTCAGCAATGGCAGTGAGGAAAAATGCTCCCTTCCCTGAAGGACAATGAGTCTTTCCAGAACCCAGTAGACAGGGGAGACAGCCTTAGGAGAAAGCACATGTACAGCATTGCTCAATGCTGTTCTTGGAGCAATCTGAATGTGCTAAATATTCAGAAAATTCCTGCTGCCGAGGGAAAAATAACCAAACTCATACTATTTTCCTAGAAGTTCTTACTTAAATAATACTACCCAAAGAGGAGTGAAAAGCTTAAATTCTCAAATCTGGATGAACAACATAATGGCTGTATTGGGAGCAGGCACACAGAACATAGCCACTGAGTGTACAGTTTTGGAACTGGAGAGCTCTTGGTAGAGCAGGGATTGAGGAGTCCACACAATCTGAGCTGCTTTCCACCAAGGCATGTCACCCCTTATACATATTCACTGGAACAAAGACAGCTGTATTTTCTAGTATATCTGCACTTCTAGGGGCAGGTGGGATTACAGGAGTGAGTTACCAAGCCAGGCCCAGTCAGGGCTCTTGGCAATGCTGTCCCATAGACACTGCTTTGAAGATAGCTATAAGGGAAAGTGGAATTGAAACGAAACAAATGAACTGGGGAGAAGGATGAGTGGAACAGGTCAACTCCAGAGTAAACCATACAGGTGGTTTTTAAATCGTGAAAAAATACATTTCTATTCTTCAAAATTTTATTTATAAAATTCTAGGCCTCTACCATGTAAATATGCCAAAGCCAAATAAGGGTTTCTTAAAAGTAAAAGAGACTTCATTAGCTGTTGGTGTATCAATGGGAACGCAGAACAGGCATTTCTGCTGTGCAGTTAGTTCTGCTATGCACTGTGCGTCCAGCACAGCCAGGCGAGGGAGGACCTCAGACATCTCCCCTGCAGGGTGCAACAGACTGAGAGCAATCTATGCCCCGGCTACACATCACTGAGAACCCATGTGTGCACCTGCTAGAAAAACAGATAAACCAATGTTTATAGAACTGGAACTCCTGCCTGAACACAGAAAGAAATGGACTACATGCCTAATGACATTTGGCTTATAATAGACTACATTTTTAAAAAACATATATTTATAAATAATCTTTAAAATATCTTTATTTTTATATCTATTTTATATATCTCTCTGTATGTGTGTGTGTGTGTGTGTATATATATATGTATGTATATATGTATTATGAGAGACAGAGAGAGAGAGGGAGAGAGAGACAAATATACAGAGAGAGACAAGTCTCCTCTACTGCCCAGGCTGGAGTGCAATGGCTCCATCATAGTTCACTGCAGCCTCAAACTTCTGTGCTTATGTGATCCTCCTGCCTCAGCCTCTTGAGTAGCTGGGACTACAGGCACGTGCCAACATACCCAGCTAAATTTTTCTTTTTTTTTTAAGTAGAGACCCAGGCTGATCTTGAACAAACTCCTGGGCTCAAGCAATCCTCCCACCTTGGCCTCCCAAAGTTCTGGGAATACAGGTGTGAGCTACTGTGACCAGCAAAGATCTCTTTAAACATGTGTATCTGAAAAGTAAAAATCAAGGCAGGCTAGATTTTTAAGTCTGTACAACAACCAGGCAGGCAATTTGGGAATGTAGGTACTCATTATGGTATACAATAGTCAACCAAAACACTTTTAATACCACCAGGTTCTGGTCTGGAACTAGATATGTAATCTAGTCAGGGATATTTTTTCTCAGAGGGAAGTGAGTTGCAGTTGCAGTCTTCCTTTGATAATTATCTACTTCTAGGACATGTTACACATCTGAGACTTTTCAAAGACAGCACCATAAAAGGATGGAGAAATGCCAGTTTCAGGCTAACAATAACTACTTCATAAAATTGTGTTGAGGATTAAGTAGGGTAATACGTAAAGAAAAAATACAGTGTCTGGCATACAGTAAACCATCAATAAATGGTGCTTTGAACTGACTGTTGAAAGCAAAGGAGTTGATATAAAAACTGGAAGACTGTTTCATATCATAAACTGCTTTTTAAACCAATACACATTTTTCGATTCATACCACCAACTTTAGTTTAAGACAAAGAGGACAGGCACAAGTGCACATTAGCTTACAGTCAGAACCCCTTCTGCTGACATACCATTAAAAGAAAATGATTAACACATTTTTTTTCTTCCTTTCTCTTTTCTTGGTCATTCCTTGGTAGAAATATTAAAACAATAATGAAATGGACTAAGAACATAAAAGGACCAAAAGACAGAAAACCTCACAAATGTATAAAGTCTCCTCTAACACAAGAAATGGTCTAAAGTCCTCCATGTGCTTATTACATGTTACTTTTCTTAACCCTTTAAGAATGCAGAAAATGGGTATTTTCATTTTTATATGGATACATTAAACATGGAGAATTATATTTTTACATTCTATATATGTGCAAGCATAGATAAAACTCAGTCATAGGCTAACATAAAATAAATACTTGGTTAATATTGGAAAGGAATATATAACTTGTTGGTGTAGCTAGAGAACACAGCATTAAACCAAAGGTTGCTGTCAATCTATTAGCAGAAATAGATATGAGTGGAAATGAACTAGATATGAATTAAAAACTCCTGAAAATAAAAGAAACATTTTTTTTATAATTTTTTCTTCCTTAAGCAACACTACATCATTCAAGTCAAAGTATATATCTGACTCTTAAAATCTGTTAAAATTAGAAAATATTTAATATTATGAGGACCTAAGGATACAACAAGTTTTTTAAAGCTGTAGAACCCATCTAGAATTGCTAACTTTTTCCTCTGGCTGTTACCAGAGAAGGCAGCCACGTCTGTCTCTTTGACCAGCACACCTCATTCAATAAAAAGTCAGGACTTTTTATCATGGGCACAACACGATGTCATGTGTTTTCATGACATCCACCAAAAAATATTATTACTGGTAAAAACTGAACACTATTTAAAGCATCCACTGTCAATGCCCTTCTCAAGGATCTGCTCAGAGAAGGAAAGATGACTAACCTTAGAAGTGTACCAACAAGTGTTCATCACACTGAATGTGGTTTTAAAAATATATGCGACACCACCCAGAAGGACAGAAAGCATACAGAAAGCAAAGCGTAAGCCAATGAAGCGCATTCAGCCAGCTGAGGGGTGAGGCACGTCCTCTCTGGCACTGGCTTCCTCAAGTCTTCACCTGTGTACCGAAAGCAAGCCTAGTTTCAACTGGAAATGTCATAAGGTCTACCTGTATGTGACTTGCAGAGTAACATAAACATACTGCATTTAGCAAAGACAAACCAATGCAAACTGGAAAGAGGTTTTAAACCAATAACAACCTGAAATGTAAGGGTCTTGGATGCCTCAACACAGGTTTAATGCAGACAGACATAAAAAAATGTCCCTCTTACCTCCTCTCCATTTCAAGGTTACAGGACACAGTAATACTGAATCAGGACACAGGCACATGTTATATAAATCTTATTTAATATGTAGTACCACCTACATCCTGCTTTCATACTTTCAACATAATTTAACACATTCAAGGAGACTATGCAAATCAATTCAAAATATCTATCTATACCAATGGTTTTCAAACTTTTTTTTTTTTTTTTTTTGAGACGAAGTCTTGCTCTGTTGCCAGGCTGGAGTGCAGTGGTGCAATCTCGGCTCACTGCAACCTCTGCCTCCCGGGTTCAAGTGATTCTCCTGCCTTAGCCTCCCAAGGAGCTGGGACTACAGGCATGCACCACCACGCCCAGATAATTTTTGTATTTTTAGTAAAGAAGGGATTTCACCATGTTGGCCAGGACAGTCTCCATCTCTTGACCTCGTGATCCGCCCGCCTTGGCCTTCCGAAGTGCTGGGATTACAAGCGTGAGCCACCACACCCGGCCCAAACTGTTTTTTTTGTTTGTTTCTTTTGAGATGGAGTCTCGCTCTGTCGCCCTGGCTGGAGTGCAGTGACGTGATCTCAGCTCACTGCAACCTCCATCTCCTGGGTTCAAGCAATTCTCCTACCTCAGCCTCCTGAGTAGCTGAGATTACAGGTGCCCTCCACCATGCCCAGCTAATTTTTGCATTTTTAGTAGAGATGGTGTTTCACCACGTTGGCCAGGCTGGTCTTGAACTCCTGACCTCAGGTGATCTGCCCACTTCAGCCTCCCAAAGTGCTGGGATTACAGGCATGAGCCACCGCGCCCGACCAAACTGTTTTTAAATGATAACTGCCCCCTTTAAAATACTTAAGCCTTATGCAGAAATCTTATGTGGCATATAAAGAGACAAGGCAGAGATGCTGTGGTTGAAAGTAACCTCTTGACCCACCTGGACATCCAATGAGCATAGTTTGAAAACCACTGAAATAAGGTATGCTATCCATAATAATGTATGCTATCCATGCCTCCTAGCAATTAAATTTGTAACAACAATTTCAAGTTTAAGTAAGACAAATTAAACACTGAATGGAATGTTGAAATCTGAGGAAAGCTAGCATTCAAATGAGCAGTTAAATTCATTAAACAGTTTGCTTTAAAAAATATTCATTAAGTTAAAATGACAATGTAAGGTTTGCATATAATCATACTATTTATTGAAGTAGAAAGAAACTGAAAAGTGTTTACTTCAAAACTTCAGTCTAGTAAACTGAAATTATGAATCATAAAATGCTGCTTCTTACTTTTGCTTCCTAAATCATAATCTACCCCAACTACATTGAAATTTTCATGAAAAATAAACATATCAATAATGGGATTTACAGAAACCAATTTCTTTACAAAGTCTTGACCAACTGTTTACCTGACTATCCCAGTAAGGAGAATTTTCCTTCAAAGATATTTTTAGGAAAAACTTTTGTTTCTTTGTTTGCTTTTCTTTTTAAAATGGGGAAAACTGTAAAACATAAAAGAAATGCAATATATAGTAGAAATTGCTTATTCCAACTTCTAACTGCTCATATCAAACTTCTCTTTAGAAAAATGGAAAATGTATCCAGTACAATTCAATCGACATACAATTTATTTTTTTAGTAACAGATTTTTCAAATTGAGCTCTTAAAAAGTACAGTTAACTACAAAAGATTAAATAGATACTTATAAAATATATTTACCCTGAAATGCTTAAGAATAAAAGTGTTGATGCCCATGTCAATAGTACATTATACATTACACACATTATTTAAATGTCATTTTCTTTCCAATAACGTAGATAAAACCACAATATTTATTGCTTATATCAAGTGCAGGTTAAAATCCAGATAGCCTCCAAAAACAAATCCTGTGATAAAGGATATCTCAATGTTGGTCAGGTGAAATACTGTGTTTGACATGTATGAATACAGTTGCAAAATTTACCAGTTTTTAACAAACATGAATGTCTTTATTTTAGACAGCCATTTACAGTTTGGGGTTCAGAGGAACCTGCAGTCAAGAGTCCTGAGATGTTGGGCTTGTGACTGTAAATATCACTTATCTGGTTGATGTCTATTCTACTGCACCGTTTTTGGGATATGAGGCGTTTGCTGCAGACAAACCCCTATGATTAATGTAGCACTGTCAGTTACTAGTGCAGAAGCTTGCTGGGCAAAATTAATTGTTTATAGGGCATTTTGCTGAAAAAACAGTGTCCAGCCAACAAAAGCGCCAACCAAAATGACTGACATAAACCCCATCTTAGTGAGAATAGGTTGCCAATATAACCACCTTTTTCTTTTTCGTTCATTCTCATTTAGCCTCTGTTTCATCTGCTGCACCTTCTGAGCTGTGGTGGCCTTTCTGTCCTCTCGAATACGTTTCCGTAGAGCACTATGAGGAAATAAAAACAAGTGAAAGGAAGTGCACACAGAGCAGGACTTGAGTACTCTAACACAGAGGACCTAGGCGCAAATAAAACCATCCACATAGTTTTCACCCTATTTGAACACTGGAATAATGAGGGGAAAAGCCTCAATATTCTTTTGAGACAGCGTCTTGCTCTGTCACCCAGCCTGGAGTGCAGTGGTACAATCTTGGTTCACTGCAACCTCTGCCTCCCACGCTCAAGTGATTCTCGTGCCTCAGCCTCCCAAGTAACTGAGACTGCAGGCGTGCACCACTATGCCCAGCTAATTTTTTGTATTTTTAGTAGAGACAGGGTTTTGCCATGTTGGCCAGGCTGGTCTTGAACTCCTGACCTCAAGCAATTCACCCGCCTTGGCCTCCCAAAGTCCTGAGATTACAGGTGTGAGCCACGGCGCCCGGCCAAGAAAAGCCTCAATATTCTTTAATGATTCAGAGATGTACCTTGACAACCATTCCTGGTACAGTTTTATATTGATAACTGCTTTTAGTGGGACCTGAAAATAAGCAAGGTACTTTCTTGACACGTGAATTGATGACTGTTAGTTTTCTTTCCTTCCTTGTTAACTAGTCAGCAGGAGCAGGAGTGGGAAGACAAGGGGGTACCACTTGCATCTGATCCCATTTCCTGGTCACGTTTGATGGTTAAGGCTCTTATAAAAGCTAGCTATTTAATATTTCCATGAATATTCTGTTGTGGGAGCACTTATTCTTTTATTTGACCATACACATTTCTACCTCCCATTTTCATAGTCAATACAGAAATTTTTTTGGGGTGGTGGGGGAGGCGGGGTGGATGGAGTCTTGTTCTGTTGCCCAGGCGGGAGTGCAGTGGCACGATCTTGGCTCACTGCAACCCCCGCCTTCCGGGTTCAAGCAATTCTTCTGCCTCAGCCTCCCAAGTAGCTGGGATTACAGACGTGCACCACCACGCCTGGCTAATTTTTTTGTATTTTTAGTGAGATGATGTTTCACCATGTTAGCCAGGCTGGTCTTGAACTCCTGATCTCAAGTGATCCGCCCACCTCAGCCTCCCAAAGTGCTGGGATTACAGGCATGAGCCACTGTGTCCGGTCTCAGAAATTTTGTTTCAGTGGAAGGTCTCTGACTCTCAAGATACTTAGTTCTGGTTCTATATAAATAATAATGCCATCCAGCTACTCAGGAGGACGGCTTAAGCCCAGGAATTCAAGTCCAGCTTGTGCAATATAGCAAGTCTTGCCTCTCTATAAAAGCACACCCACAAAAACAAAAAAACGGCCAATGGCAACATATAGGTTACTATTTCTTCCATTCCCTCTTTTCACTTTTCTGTATTACAGCAAAGGCCTAACCAGCTTCCCTGCCCTCAAATTAAATATTATTGCCATGGTAATTTTTCTAGAGCATACCCCTGGACACGTAGCTTGATTTAAAATCTTTTTTTTTTTTTTTCGTTACCGGGCCTAGTGCACGATGGTGCTTAAAAATCTCAAATGCCTCTTCAATGTCTCCTACATTGAGACTACCTTTTTCCTGGCCAAGACGTTTAACCTGAATTTAACTATGATAAATAATGATTAAAGAAATGCATTGTATGGGGCATTCTAAAAGATATCTGGCCTAGAAGCTTCAAAAATACAAATGTCAAGCAAGGAAGAAAAAGGCAGGGAACAGTTCCAGATTAAAGGAGACCAAAGAATCACATCAACTAAATATAGTATCAATCTTTGATTAATCTTGAAATATTTTTTAAACAGCTACAGAAGTTGGGATCAGGAAAATGTTCTAAAATTAGATCGTGGTGCCAGCTACACAATTTGGTAAATATATTAAAAGTCACTGAATTGTATACTTTAAATGAGTAAACTTTATGCTATATAAATTATATTTCCATAAAACTTTATTAAAAAAGCTATATGGTGAATCTTTCAGACAAGAGAAATCTGAATTGAACTATGTATTAGAATATTTTAATCAATGTTACACTTCTTTGGTGTACTGGAACCTTCTCTCCCCAAGAGATTGTTAGTGGGAATGTAAAATGGTTCAGCTGCCACAGAAAACAGTTTGACAGCTCCTCAAAAAGTTAAACATAGAGTTACCATATGACCTAGCAATTCCACTCCTAGATATGTACCCAAGAGAACTGAGAACACATGTCCATGCAAACGCTTGCCAATATTCTCCTGCTATGCAGAACTTTGTTCTTGCCGTTTTTTTGCTGTTCTCCAAATTTGTTCCCCACTAAAATAGAAACCTTCCCTTCTCTCCTGTCCTCTCATTTCAGTTCTACTCTTCAATTATCTTGCTCCACCCCCTCTAGCCCTTCTATTCTTACGGCATTTAATTTGAAGTAATTTATAATTTACTAATAATGTGCTAACTTGGGTACTTGTTTTATCTTCATCACATATTCTGCAACTTGAGGACAGACTGGGTTTTGCTATCTTTGTTCATCTTATGGTGCTTTCTCATGTCTTTTTCACTTTTTGTTATCATATATACAGGTATCCCTGGCTGTCTGAACTCCATCTGAATATCTGCTATAATGACTTGCAAAAATTCTTACTCAGAATTCACTCTCTGAATTGAAAATTCACTATCACAAATATGCATGTACCTGTTAGTGAAAACATTTGTGTTCAAGTGTAGGCAAAATATGTATAAAAACAGAGAGGGGGTTAGCCTCCCATGGGCCCTTTATTAGCTTTTGCCAGGAGCCTGGGGGTATCGTTAACAAGGTTCCAATTTAGATATAATCTTTAACGTATTATTTCATTTTTTATTTTCATTGCGGTATAGAAGGCAATTATAATTTGTATCTAGTATTTTGTCATTTACCATACAAGCCCAATAATGAGTCCCTTAAGTGTTATATGATTACATAATTAGTGCTTTAAATGCTACATAGGAGTTTAAAAGGTTTTGTACTATATTTGGGGGAACTGGTTATGCTTTCTGGTTGGGCTGACAACACACTATTTTTCTCATTTAAAAGAATGGAACAGAGGTTTTTGCTTTCCAAAAGTGCACTATATAATTCAGGAATGGACTAGAGACAAATACCAAGGCATGCCTGTATCTAATTTAAGAACACAATTCCAGAGAATGACAAGACTACTCTCGATTTGTGATAAAATCTTTTCTTCCTTAGTGGGGCCTAAAGAAATTATGTCTGTGTAATGACTTGCCAAATGGGACCTGCCCAGGTTTTCCCGTATATTTATGCAATTTAGGATATTAACCAATGGGAATGCCTCCTGTGGACCCTTGCCCAGGGAAGATCATGTGGCGTGATCATAGCTCCCTGTAGCCTCAACCTCTTGGGCTCAAGCAATCCTCCCACCTCAGCCTCCCTTAAGACTACAGGCAGGTCCCACCACATTTGGCGGATTTTTGTATTTTTTGTAGAGACAGGGTTTGCCATGTTGCGCAGGCTGGTCTTGAACTGCTAGGCTCAAGTGATCCACCCGCCTCAGCCTCCCCGAGTGTTGGGATTACAGGCATGAGCCACTCTGCCTGCTCCAGACTTTTCGTATGTCCAAGTTGTTTCTCACTCTCAGTGATCTGGGTTTCTGGGTTGAACTGTAATTGAGAATACTGCCTTTCAAATTCAGACTGCAACCTACAGTAAGAAATAGCATCACAACAGAGTAACCTCACACACACACTTACATAGGTACACAATGTATATGTAAATATATGGAATTTATACATCACACATACATATATAAAAACAGGTTAAAATTCAAGTTCAGGGGTACGTCCATGTGCAGGCTTGTTACATAAGCTTGAAACTTGTGTCATCTCCGTGACATGTACAACAAGTTTTGTTGTACAGATTATTTCATCACCCAGGTATTAAGCCTAGTACCCATTAGTTATTTTTCCTGATTGTCCCCCTCCTCCCACCCTCCATCCTCCGACAGGCCCCCAGTGTTGTTCCCCTCTATGTGTCCATGTGTTCTCATCATTTAGCTCTCAATTGTTAGTAAGAACATGGGGTATTTGGTTTTCTGTTCCTCCATTAGTTTTGCTAAGGATAATGGCCTCCAGCTCCATCCAAGCCCCTACAAAGGACATGATCTCATTCTTTATTATGGATGCATAGTATTCCATGCTGTATATGTACATTTTCTTTATGCAGTCTATCATTGATAGGCATTTAGATTGATTCCATGTCTTTTCTATGGTGAATAGTGCTGCAATCAACATACGCGTGTGTTTACATCTTTACAGTACAATGATTTATATTCTTTTGGGTGTATACCCAGTAATGGGATTGCTGGGTTGAATGGTATTTCTGTTTTTAGGTCTTTGAGGAATCACCACACTGTCTTCCACAATAGTTGAACTAATTTATACTCCCACCAACAGTGTTTAAGCATTCCTTTTTCTCCACAACCTCGCCAGCATCTGTTAAATTCATGTTATTATTTGTGATATGCTGATAATTTCTATTTTATTCTATTTTCTTCTTTAAAAAATGTTTATAATCCAATAAACTTCACGACTATGTGATTTGACCTTCAATTTGAAAAACACTGCTTTGGAGGATGAATATCCTCCAAATGAATACAATGAAAATGAATACAAGAAAGTACTGTGTTCTATTTCTTTTGAAAGTTGAAATTCTGGCCAGGTGTGGTGGCTCATGTCTGTAATCCCAGCACTTTGGGAGGCTGAGGCGGGAGGATCACAAGGTCAGGAGTTCGAGACCAGCCTGGCCAACATGGTGAAACCCTGCCTCTACTAAAAATACAAAAATTAGCTGGGTGTAGTGGCGGGGGCCTGTAATCCCAGCTACTTGGGAGGCTAAGGCAGGAGAATTGCTTGAACCCGGGAGGTGGAGGTTGCAGTGAGCCAAGACTGCGCCACTGCACTTCAGCCTGGGTGACAGAGCAAGACTCCGTCTCAGGAAAAAAAAAAAGAAAAAAAAGAAACTTGAAATTCTTTTGATAAGACTTTTATGAGGATCTTTAATGCAAAGCTATCTATAGGTATTAAAAATTACTGGGACTGATTAAAAAATAAAACTGTTCAGAGTAACCTTTACTTCACACCCTGATCCTATGCTCTTCTTTTACATTTTTTTTTTTTTGAGATAAGAGTCTTGCTCTGTTGCCCAGTCTGGAGTGCAGTGTTATGATCTCGGCTCACTGCAACCTCCTGGGTTCAAGCAATTCTCCCACCTCAGCCTCCCAAGAAGCTGGGACAACAGGCGTTAATGCCTCTTTAATTTTTGTATTTTAAAATTCGTATGTCCAAGTTGTTTCTCACTCTCAGTGCCTGGTTAATTTTTGTATTTTCAGCAGAGACGGGGTTTCACCATGTTGGCCAGGCTGGTCTCAAACTCCTGACCTCAAGTGATCCACCTGCCTTGACCTCCCACAGCACTGAGATTACAAGCGTGAGCCACCACGCCCGGCCTCCTCTTTTTCATTTCTGTAACCTTGTTTTTGTAATCAGACTTCTCCGCTTAGAATTCTGACTTTTCTGTTGGGACTCTCTGCTTTCAAACATGCACCAGTCTCATTTATCAGACAGGGAAGGAAAAAAGGGAAAGAAGAAAACACCGCCACCACATGCGAAAACATGTACAGGCACATAAACACACACACAGACCCCATAAAACAGTCTTCTGCAATCACTCTATAACTCCTTAGAGTTATAGACTCTAGAGTGGTTTTAGTAGTCTCCTCTGTATTTGCAAGCTTGTATGAGTGATTTAACTCACTAGGATTAACATGGTTGTTCTGAATCTTTGTAGATTAAAACTCAACACTTCTGAAATACTAAGAATGCCATTTCAGTCATCAAGCCTGTTTTTCATTTAATTCTGCAGATAGTACTAGATAAAAGGGGGGAAAAAGCAGTAACACTAGGAATCTGAAAGCCTTATTATTGAAAAAGCTAAGGTAACTTAAAACTATTATTTCCTGATTTAAAGATATTCTATTTAAGATGAAAAAAGGAACCAAAAAAATTATGCTTTCTCTTGCAGTCTAAAACTACTGAAGTCAAAAATTGGGAATAACATTACTAAATCATAATAAACTCTTCCACTATAATATATAATAATACATGTATTATATATTGGAATATGTTAGCATTTATAAAATTTCAGGTATTTAATTTTTATATTAGGAAAATACAGCAGTAAAGCTATAATGTATGGCAGACTTCGACTATTTTCATTCCAATCTAACAAATATAACCACAAGATAAAATTCCCCATGATAAGAAGTATATTTGGCAAAAAGAGAAGAAGAAAAGTTATTCAGAGATGCAGGAGAGAGGAAAGAAAAACCTCATTCACTTTGCTATGTGACTTATACCAGGTTATCAGCTTCCTAATCTGTGAGAGACAGTCTTAGAAATGTAATTGTAATTTAAAATTCTGAATAGATGCCACATTCATATGGATTTTTAAAAAACGCCTTTTTCTTTCTCCAGTAATGCAATTAAGCTTACATGTTTAAATGTTTTATTAAAGGCATATTATCAGTTACATTATAATTATAGTACAAATGGCAGGTATTCATACTACTTATTTTCTGTACCATACCATATATTTTAGCACCCAATTATATTAACTTTTACACTCAATCATTATTGTTTTAAAGGATTTTTGAACTGGTTTCTAAGTATTGGCTGAAAGCTCCTTAAGAACACCTTTGTCATCATATACTAAATACCCTCAGGTAAGAAATAAAGGTTATATTAATTTGGCTGGGCACGGTGGCTCACGCCTGTAATCCCAGCACTTTGGGAGGCTGAGGCGGGTGGATGACCTGAGGTCAGGAGTTCAAGACCAGCCTTGTTAACATGGTGAAACCCTCTCTCTACTAAAAATACAAAAATTAGCTGGACATGGTGGTGGGCGCCTGTAATCCCAGCTACATGGGAGGGCTGAGGCAGGAGAATTGCTTGAACCCAGGAGGTGGAGCAGCTAAGGTTGTGCCACCGCACTCTAGCCTGGGTGACAGAGAAAAAAAAAGGTTATATTAATTCAATAAAAAAAAGGGCCTATATTATTTCATATATCATATCCACATAATTATTTATTTATTATTATTATTTATGAGACAGGGTCTTGCTTTGTCACCCAGGTGGGAGTGCAGTGGTGGTATGTCAGCTCACTGCAACCTCGACCTCCCCAGCTCAAGTGATCCTCCCACTTCAGTCTCCCGAGTGGCTGGGACCACAGGCTCGCATCACCACACCTGGCTAATTTTGTTTATTTTCTGTAGAGATAAGGTCTCACTATGTTGCCCAGGCTGGTTTCAAACTCCTAGACTCAAGTGATCTTCCCTCCTTGGCCTCCCAAAGTGTTGAGATTACAGGCGTGATTGTATTTTCCTAATATAAAAATTACATACCTGAAATCCTATGGCACCTGGTCCCATAAAATTTATTTTTAAAATAAAAAAGCCTCATCTTTCAGCCTGTAGTTATAGAAAGCTTACCTCTCACTGTTCTCCTCCATTGTATCTTGCATTTTAGAGGAAAGTCCTGTACATCGGTCACCTGTCAGTTTTTCTTCTTCTAGACCTATTCTGTTCCCATTGTATTTTTCAGTCATTATTTTGTTTGGTGAATGATCAAAGGCAGGAGATAAGTCTTCCTTAGAAAGTTCTTTCCATCGTTTCTAGGTAGGGAAGAGAAATGAAAAACAAATGCAAACATTAAAAATTTATTTTCCTTAAATAAAAAAATTTATGAATTAAAATCCTATATTCAAGTTAAGAAAACCCAATGATGCTAAAAGATGAGTGAAAAAGAAAAAGGCATTTTGCCATACTGTAGCTTGTAACAACTATGCTTATTTTAATTTCAAAATTTTATAATAAAGCATTTAGTATTTATGTACATGAGTATATAGTTGAATATAATAATCTTAATAAAATCTTGTGGACTTTTACCTATTTGAGACAAACTATACTGGGACCACACTCAACTATTAGTCACAGTAATATAATTTTAATATTGGTAGCCAGATCCATGAAACTCGACAGCACACTGAACACATTCAATGCAAAGAGGTCCTCTCTCCAAGGTACATTATAATAAAGCCATCAAAAGTCAGACATAGAGAATTCTAAAAGCAGCAAGAGAAAAGGATCAAGTCACATGTAAGGGAACCTGGCAGGTTGCTATTAACAGATTTCTCAGAAAACCTGTACACGCCAAGAAAGAACAGACTGTAGAGAATGGGATAATATATTCAAAGTGCTGAAAGATAACAACTACTAGCAAAGCTATCTTTCAGAAATGAAAGAAAAATGGAGTCTTTCCCAGACAAGCAAAAGCTGCAAGAATTTATTACCACTAGACTAGCCTTACAAGAAATGCTTAAGGGAGCTGCTTTGACTGGAAGCAAAAGTATAATTACTATCATGAAAATATATGAAAATATAATCTCACTGACAGAGGTAAATTAATTACCAAATTCAGAAAACTCCATTGCTGTAACTGTGGAATATAATCTTTCAAATCTCCATTATGAAGGTTAAAAGTAAAAAATGGTTAATGGTAACTACAGCTACAAGTTGTTAAGGACCACACAATATAAAAAGATGTAAATTAAGCAACAAAATTATAAGTTGTGGGGGGAGGGTAAAAGCCAAAAATATTTTATGAGACCAAGGTTAAGTTATTATCAGCTTAAAACACTCTAAGATGTTTAATGTAAGCCCCAGAGTAACCACAAAGAAAAAAAGTAACTACAGCAGACACACAAATGAGAAAGAGAAATAAATCAAAGCTTATCACTATAGAAAATCACCAAACCACAAAGGTAAACAATAAGAGAGAAAGAAAGGAATAAAGAATATGAAAAGCAAACAGAAAACAATTAACAAAATGGCAGGTGTAAGTCCTTATCTATCAATAATACCCTTGAATGTAAATAGATTAAATACTTCAATGAAAAGATACAGTGGCTGAATGGATGAAAAAACAAAAAACAAAATCCAACTCTATGTTGCCTACAAGACACTCACTTCACCTGTAAGGACACACTAAGACTGAAAGTGAAGGGATGAGAAATGATACTCCATGCAAATTAAAACCAAAAAGAGAAGAGGAGTAGCTATATTTTGATAAAATAGACTTTAGGTCAAAAATTGTAAAAAGAAACAAAGGTCAAAGGGGTCAGTTCAGCAGGAGGATGTAATGATTTTAAATATCTATGCACACAACACTGGTGCACACAAATATATAAAGCAAGTATTATTACATCTAAAGGGAGACATAGACTGCAATACAATAATAGCAGGAGAACGCTACATCCCACTTTCAGCAATGGACAGATCATCCAGACATAAAATCAACAAAAAAACATTGGATTTAAACTGCACTCTAGGCCAAATGGACCTAACACACATTTACAGAACATTCCCTCCAACAGCCACAGAATACACATTTTTCTCATCAGCACATGGAACATTCTCCATGATGGACCATATGTTAGGCCACAAAAACAAGTCTCAACAAATTAAAAAAAGAAAAAAATCACAATCAGGCCAGGTGGGTGGCTCACACCCAAGAACTTTGGGAGGTAGAGGCTGGAGGATCACCTGAGGTGAGGAGTTTGAGACCAGCCTGGCCAACATGGTGAAATGCCATCTCTACCATAAATTAGCCAGGAGTGGTGGTGGGCACCTGTAATTCCAAGTATTTGGGAAGCTGAGGCATAAGAATCACTTGAACCCGGGAGGCGGAGGTTGCACTGAGCCAAAATCATGCCACTGCACTCCAGTCTAGGGGTCAGAGTGAAACTGTCTCAAAAAAAAAAAAAAAAAAAAGAAAAAGAAAGTTCTCAAATAAACAACCTGATGTACCTCAAGGAACTAGAAAATAATAAACTAAACCCAAAATTAGCAGAACAAAGAAAATAATAAAGACCAGAAGAATGGAAATAAAGTGACCAAAAAAAAGAAACGAAAGATCAACAAAACCAAGGATCATTTTTTTGAAAAGGCAAACAAAATCAACAAACCTATAGCAGACTAAGAAAAAAAAAAGACTCAAATCAGAGATGAAAAAGGAGATATTACAACTAATACCATAAACAAAGTATTGTAAGAGACTATTATAAACAACTGTATGCCAACAAATTGAAAAGCCTAGAGGAAATGGCTAAATTCTTAGACACACACGAACTATCAAAACGGAACCATGAAGACATAGAAAACCTGAACTGACCAATAAAGAGTGAGATTAAATCAGTAATAAAAAGTCTCCCATCAAAGAAAAGCCCGGACTTGATGGCTTCATGGCTGAATTCTAACAAACATTTAAATAATACTAATTCCTTTCACACTATTCAAAAAACTGAAGAGGGAAATCTTCCAAAATCATTCTGTAAGGCCAGCATTACCCTGATACCAAAACCAGACAAGGACACAACAAAAAAGAAAACTACAGGCCAATATCCTTGATGAATATGGATGCAAAAATCCTGAATGAAATAATAGCAAATTGAATTCAACAGTATATTAAAAACATCATTTACCATGACCAAGTGGGATTCATCCAAGGGATGAAAGGATGGTTCAACATATGTAAATCAATAAACATGATCTCTCAAAAATCAACAGAATCAAGGACAAGAACCATATGATCATTTCAACAGATGCAGAAAAACCATTTGATAAAATTCAACATAGCGGCTGGGCGTGGTGGTTCATGCCTGTAATCCCAGCACTTTGGGAGGCTGAGGTGGGTGAATCACTTGAGGTCAGGCGTTTGGGACTGGTCTGGCCAACATGGTGAAACCCCATCTCTACTATAAATACAAAAAATAGCTGGGTGTGGTGGTGCATGCCTGTAATCCCAGCCACTCAGGTGGCTGAGGCATGAGAATCGCTTGAACCCAGAAGGCGGAGGTAGCAGTGAGCCGAGATTGCACCACTGCACTCCAGCCTGGGCAACAGAGCAAGACTCTGTCTCAAAAAAAAAAAAAAATTCAACATACCTTCATGATAAAAACTCTCAACAAATTAAGTATGGAGGAAATTGTGCCTCAACACAAAGCCACGTTATGACAAACCCATAGTTAATATCATACTGAACATGAAAAAGTTGAAAGCTTTTCCTCTTAAGATCTGGAACAAGACAAAGATGCCTCCTTTCTTTTTTTTTTTTTTTTTTGAGATGGAGTCTTGCTCTGTCACCAGGCTGGAGTGCAGTGGCATGATCTGCAACCTCTGCCTCCCAGGTTCAAGCGATTCTCCTGCCTCAGCCTCCCGAGTAGCTGGGACTACAGGCGCGTGCCAGCATACCCAGCTAATTTTTGTATTTTTAGTAGAGGCAGAGTTTCACCATGTTGGCCAGGGTGGTCTCAATCTCTTGACCTCATGATCTGCCCATCTCAGCCCCCCAAAGTGCTGGGATTACAGGCATGAGCCACCGCACCGGGCTAGGATGCCCACTTTCAACACTTTTATTCAGCATAATACTGTAAGTCCTAGCCAGAGCAATTAGCTAAGAGAAAGGGTATTCAAATTGGAAAGGAGGAAGTCAAATTGTCTCTGTTTGCAGAAGACATAATCTTATGTATAGAAAACCCTATAGACTCTACCAAAAAACTGTTATAACTAATAAAAAAAATCAGTAAAGTTGCAGGATACAAAATCAACAAATAAAAATCAGTAGAATTTTATACATCACTAACAAACTATCTGAAAAAAGAAATCAAGAAAGCAATTCCATTTTCAAAAAAATTACCTAGGAATAAATTTAACCAAGGAGGTGAAAGATCTCTATAATGAAAATTATAAAACATTAATGGAAAAAGTTGAAGAGGACACAAATGGAAAGATAGCCTATGTTCATGGATTAAAATTAATACTGTTAAAATGTCCATACTACATAAAGTGATCTACAGATTCAATGCAATTCAATGAAAATACCAATGATATTCTTCACAGAAACAGAATAAATAATCCTAAAATTTGTATGAAATCATAAAAGACCCCAAAAGCCAAAGCAATTTTGAGCAAAAAGCTGGGGGCATCACACTACCTGACCTCAAAATATACTACAAAGCTATAGTAACCAAAATAGCATGCTACTATCATAAGAACAGGTATAAAGACCAATAAAACAGAAGACAGAGCATGGAAATAAATCTACGTATTTACAGCCAATTTATTTTTGACAAAGATGCCAAGAATATACACTGGTGAAGGACAGTCTCTTTGATAAATGGTGTTGGGAACACTGGATATCTAGATGCCCAAGAATGAAACTAGACCCCTATCTCTCACCATATTAAAAAATCAACTCAAAATGGACTAAAGACTTAAATATGAGACCCCAAACAAATATACATACTAGAAGAAAAGATAGGGAAACACTTCAGGACATTGGTCTGGGCAAGGGAAGGGTCTTTTGTATAAGACCTCAAAAGCAAAAACAGACAAATGGGATTACATCAAACTAAAAAGCTTCTGTATAGCAAAGGAAGCAATCGATAGACTGAAGAGACAATCTACAGAATGGAAGAAAATATCTGCAAACTATACATTTGACAGGGATTAATATCCAGAATATATAAGAAACTCAAACAAAATTCAATAGCAGAAAACACAAGTAATCCAATTAAAAATAGGTAAAAGACCTGAATAGCCATTTCTTAAAAGACATACAAAGAGCCAACAGATACATGAGAAAATGGTCAATATCACTAATCATCAGAATAATGCAAATCAATACCACACTGAGATATCACCACACCCCAATTAGAATGACTATTATCAAAAAGACAAAAAATAAATGCTGGCATGAATGTGGAGAAAGGGGAACTCTTGTACACGGCTGGTGGAATGTAAATTAGTACAGCCATCTTGGAAAACAGCATAAAGGTTCCTTAAAAGATTAAAAATAGAACTATCATATGATCCAGCAATCCCACTACTGGGTATTTATCCAAAGGAAATGAAATTAGGATTTCAAAGGCATATCGGCACTCCTGTGCTTATTGCAGCACTATTCACAGTAGTCAAGATACGGAATCAACCTAAATGTCCATCAATGAATGGAGGGAGAAAGAAAATGTGGAAAAAAAAAAAAAAAAAAATATATATATATATATATAATATAATACTATTTGGCCATTAAAAAAAAAAGAAATCCTGTCTTTTGTGGCAAAATGGATGAAACTGGAGGACATTAAGCCAAGTACACAAAGACAAATACTGTATGTTCTCACTCATATGTGGAATCTAAAAATGTTAATCTCATAGAAGCAGAGAGTAGAATAGTACCTACTGGAGGCTTCGCAGAGTAGGGAAGAGGGGGCATAGTGAGAAACTGAACAACAGTTCAACAGGGGGATGAGTTCTGGTGTTTTACTGCACAGAATGACTATGGTTAATAATATTTAATATTTCAGACAGGGTGTGGTGGCTCATGCCTGCAATTCTAGCAGTTTGGGAGGCTAGGGCGGGCAGATCGCTTGAGCCCAGGAGTTTGAGATCAGCCTGGGCAACATGGTGAGACCCAGTCTCTACAAAAATTTAAAAATTAGCCATATGTGGTGGCACGCGCCTGCAGTCCCAATTACTTAAGAGACTAGGGCAGGAGGATCACTTGAGCCCAGGAGGCGGAGGCTACAGTGAGCGAGCCATGATCGTGCCACTGTACACCAGCATGAACAAGAGAATGAGACCCTATCTCGAAAAAAATTTATATACATACACATTTTATATACACATAAAATCCTCTCTTCTGGCTATTTCGAAATACTTATATATACTTATATATATTTCAAGTACTATGAAATATATTAGCACATAATAATATATAATTAAATAGAGATTTCAAAATAGCTGGAAGAGAGGATTTTGAACGTTTTCACCACAAAGAAAAGATAAATGTATGAGGTGATAGACGTGCTAGTCTAATTTGGTCATTACATAAATGTATCAAAATATCACACTGAACCCCATAAATATGTACAATTACTAAGTGTCAATTAAAAACAAAGGCCGGGGCATGCGGTGGCTCACGCCTGTAATCCCAACACTTTGGGAGGCTGAGGCAGGTGGATCAAGAGGTCAGGAGATCGAGACCATCCTAGCTAACATGGTGAAACCCCATCTCTACTAAAAATACAAAATAATTAGCTGGGTGTGGTGGCACACGCCTATAGTCCCAGCTACTCGGGAGGCTGAGGTAGGAGAATCACTTGACCCCAGGAGGCGGAGGTTGCAGTGAGCTGAGATCACACCACTGCACTCCTGGGCGACAGAGCGAGACTCCGTCTCAAAAGAACCAACCAACCAACAGACAAAAAAACAAAATAAAAAATAAAGTAGCACTGCACAAAAAACACAAAAATTTTTAAAAAGATTTCAGCCAAGGTAGATTTTGCTTGAATCTTAATCCACTTCTAATCCAGAGGTATGTAACACTGGAGTAGTCACCACAGTGGTGCTTGAATGTGATCTGGAACCTTCTTGCTCCTTGCCACTGTTCAGTCTAGGGGAGAACTAACGGTGAGATCTCCAAGCTGGTCCTTGTGATGCTAAAGGACTTTAATTTGGTTGTGTCTATCAGGTACGCTAGCAGCTCCAGGCAGCTGGCTAGCCCACCACTGGGCTAGAGAAACACCCTCCAGCATGCCTCTAGCATGGCCTTCAGGAGTAGATGGCAACACAAACCAGGATTCGGACCAAGATGAAGACAAATTTCAGTTTCTTCTATGAAAGAGGATGTCATCATCTACCCTGGGAGACAGTTGTGATTAATGAGATGGCATGTGAAGCGCCCAGCATCATGTCTAGAAAATATGTTTCCTGTGCTCTCACTTGTCACCATTCCTAGGGACAAAGGTAGAGGAAGAAGAGTGTATCTGGGCCCCTGCAGATGAAAGCAGTGACAATTGTACATGCCAGAGAAGAAAAACGCATATATAACCTATGCACTGGGACTATAGTCTCTCAAGTCCTTGAAAGGATGAAACATGATCCCCATCTATGTATCTGCCAGTGGCAAGTGGTAGAGGCAGAAGCAGTGGGAGCCAATGGTTTTGATTACCTATGACTGACACTGGCCCAAATGACTTGGTATGGACAGGGATGGCCTTCTTTGAAGATCCTATCAAGGACGCAAGGAGTCTTGGATCTAATAAATAAGGAATACTCTACTTATTGCCCGAGGAGTCTAATGATTTTGGACAGAGATGTAACATTGCAACTTAAAGTTTTTTAGAACTTATGGAATATTCATTCCCTGGAGTTACTCTTGTGCAATATGGTACTGTTAAAAGCAATGCTTGTATTCAGATCTTTAAAAAATCTCTGGGAAATCCATTCATACAATGGATAAACTAGTTTCTAATTTGTCTCATTGTCATCATGTACCAGAGGTATTAAAAAGAAAAAGGCACGCCTGGCACAGTGGCTCATGCCTGTAATCTCAGCACTTTGGGAGGCTGAGGTGGGCAGATCACTTGAGGTCAGGAGTTTGAGACCAGCCTGGGCAACATGGTGAAACCCCATCTCTACCAAAAATACAAAAATTAGCTGGGTGTGGTGGCACATGCCTGTAATCCCAGTTACTTGGGAGGCTGAGGTAGAAGAATTGCTTGAACCCGGGAGGCCGAGGTTGTAGTGAGCTGAGATTGTGCCACTGTACTCTAGCCTGGGTGAAAGATGAGACTCGGTGTCATGGAGAAACCCTGTCTCTACTAAAAATACAAAATTAGCCAGGCATGGTGGTGCAAGCCTGTAATCCCAGCTACTTGGGAGGCTGAGGCAGGAGAATTGCATGAATCTGGGAGGCGGAGGTTGCAGTGAGCCGAGATCACGCCACTGCAATCCAGCCTGGGCAACAACAGTGAAACTCTGTTTCAAAAAAAAAAGCATTTTCCACACTTCACCGTTCCCAGATATGGCTATTTTACTTAGCTGCATAATCAATGTACCTCTTTTTATGTTTTTAATTTTTTTAGAGATGGGGTCTTACTCTGTTGCCCAGGCCAGAATGCAATGGTGTGATCACAGCTCACTGTAGCCTCAAACTCCTGGGCTCAAGCAGTCCTCCTGTCTCAGATTCCTGAGTAGCTGGGACTATAGGAGAGAACTACCACGGCTGGCTTTTTTGTTTTATAATAGTTGATTTACAGAAGATTTAGAAAATGTGAAATTCTACAGTTTGTTGTGTTTGGAGAACAGTTAGTAGTACAGTTTGGTACAATTTGTCTAGAGGATGGAAAACACGCAAAGCTTGAGTAGGAGAGATGAGGCTGGAAAGGAAATAGACCTCCGGGAAAGAGGTCTCTGGACTTCATGAGTAGTGGGGTAGAACTGAAAATCCTGAGCCCTAAGAGGGCGCAAACCATGTCCCCGAAAGAATACTGTGCCAACAATCAAGAAACTACAATATAATGGAACACAGGAGTAATTAAGGATGTCTTCACTTAGATGACTGTCTATTTTCTTTGTTCCCTTGTTTGTTTTGTTACTCAATCCAAATCTTTTATAGTGAAGACATGGAGTACTTGCTACTCTCCATGCCATATTCTAACACTTCAAATGTGCTAGCTCTTAATCCTCACAATAACCTTAGGAGATAAGCACTAATACTAATATTACCATTATTACACCCTTTTTACGGAAGATGTGGGGAGAATAATTAGGTAACTCGCCCAAGGATATGCACCTAACAAATAGTAGAGACAGAATTTTAACCTAGGCAAGTCTGGGTTGACTATGCTGTGACCCCTTATAAAGATGTGTGTTCAACAAAGTACCCCACAAAAATGTTAAATTGTCTCCAGAATTTACACTGGTCAATTTTTGAAGTTTCCACTCTTGACTGAGACCTAGTTATGTAACTTGGCCTTATAGCTGGACAACACTCAACAATGTCAACAAATAAGATGACACCAAAAATCAAGTCTCACTGGACCACTTCCCAGAATATGCAACAAATTCAGAATACGTCAACAAGGAAAGCACTCGGCAGAGAGAGAAATAAAAGAGATATTTAATGCTAGTGAATTAAAAAAACCCCACAAACCCAACAATGTCATTTTGCCATGGCTATGTTCAGCAAACTCACTCATGG
Organism: Homo sapiens; assembly: GCF_000001405.40. Taxonomy (NCBI): domain Eukaryota; kingdom Metazoa; phylum Chordata; class Mammalia; order Primates; family Hominidae; genus Homo; species Homo sapiens. The sequence goes on from NC_000018.10 coordinate 12,811,583, forward strand.
CTATGTTCGACAGACTCATTCATGGCTATGATCAGCAGACTCACTCGTGCCTATGTTCAGCAAACTCACTCATGCCTATATAGGTTCAGCAAACTCACTCGTCTCTGTCCTCCCTGTGACACACAAGGGAGCCAGCACTCCTGAGTCACCTGCCTCAGGTCATTAATGCTGACTGGTGAAGCCAAGGAATTACATTTCACTAAACTATAACCTCAAAGGAGCTCTCATTTTGAGGCCTGGTACTGTTTCATCTTTCTTTCTAATTCTGTGCTCACGTTGCACCAACCCATGAGTCACTGCCACTAGGAGCCATGCCCCCCACACAATGCCTAGAACCCTAGCTCTACCCATTTCTCTCACTGAAGAAAGCTTTAAGCAATGCAATTAAACTTCAAATCCTCTGTAATTTGTTAAAAGTTTATCATTTACATTTAATACTTTATTAGTAATATCAAATTACCAGCTAGAGATCTTACAACATTAGTTCTGAATTGCCAAACTAGATATTTACTCTGGGGGGTTAACTGTCATCATCAATACTGGGAATATGCTAATAAATATGTGGTAATACCAGCAACCAGCTTAAGTATTTATGCCTGACCTTGTGCTGAAAGGCAATTGCAAATAGCCTATATGTCTATAGGAATGTCAAAGTCATTGGAAGTTTTCTGTAAATGAATACATGCTTTAAGATTATAATTACACATATTTACAGACTTAAGATACAATCACTTTGGGCTGGGTGCGGTGGCTCACGCCTGTAATCTCAGCACTTTGGGACGCCGAGGTGGGCGATCACTTGAGGTCAGGAGTTCGAGACCAGCCTGGTCAACACTGTGAAACCCCATCTCTACTAAAAATGCAAAATTAGCCAGGAGTGGTGGCAGGCACCTGTAATCCCAACTACTCGGAAGGCTGAGTGGGGAGAACCACTTGAACCTGGGAGGCAGAGGCTGCAGTGAACCGAGATTGTGCCATTGCACTCCAGTCTGGGCAACAAGAGCAAAACTGCGTCTCAAAAAAAGAAAAAAAAACCAGTAGCATGTGTGGTATGTATTTATTAATCCAACTTTATCAGTAATCACTTCATATGCCGATGGTCTAAATGCACCAATTAAAAAAGATTCTCAGAATGCCAAGACCATTTCTGCAGAAATTAACCCCTTGGAATGGGCAGCATGCTTTTCTGATCCTGAGTACCTGAAGGATAAAGATGTTTCCAATATCCTATCTGGAATAGGGGCAGAAAATGCCTTAGAATTGAGAGCCTGAGGACAATATCACACCAGATAAATTAACAGAAAAAAAATCCTTCCTAGCCACAAACTGCACTGTCAAAGACTCCACAAAAAAGTGTGTCCAGAAAAACTCATCTCTGTGATAAAAAAAGATCCACCCTCAGATAAAGTATGTATTCTAAAACTAAAGACACAAAACTTAAAAAAAAAAAAAGCAGTGGTAGGAAAGACACAATCCAAAGGACAATACATTTCCCTCCCAGTTACCCGTCTCATCACAGCCAGGAAGCAGGCAGGGAAGGCGGCATGCAGGCTGTGAAGGCATGGGGAAATCTGATTGAACTACTTTTCTTTTTGAACTCCAGATTTAAGTTGGTGAAAGCTCACTGTGATTAGAAAGGGAAATTTTCCTAATCTTAAACATCTGAAATAACTTTTACTTCACCTAAATCACTGATCACTGCCAAAGTGACCCTGGCAAATCCAGTGTTCCCAAAGTCTGGCGTCTGAAGCAGGACATGTTCTAATGGGCTGAGTTTCCCAAACATTGCGTATTTTGGCTCTGAGTGCCCTAATGTTTCTGTGCATTAAGAATATTTTAATGCTATTTAAAGATTTGGAAAAAATCTTTTTAAATAAACCTTTATTCTGACACCAATGGTCCGATCTAATTTACATTCTTATATTGGCTAGTAATCAGAGAAATGAAAGTGCTAGTAAATATGTTCACACATGAGAAACATAATGAAAAGACAGTCGATCTTCTTATATTATGCATCAACTTACAGTATCTGCTTATGTCCAATACTATGTGATTAAACCAGACAAAAAATGGAGTCTGTGGTTGTTTCTATTTTACATTTTAACTTAGTACATAACACAAGTTTCTGATCAGTCTTTGAACTTAGGTTCTACAAATATGCAGTAAAAATAGCTTAATGAGAATAAAGCCACCAACCAGAAGAATATAACATTTTGCTGGAATTTCATTATATCTGCCATAAATATTCAAGTTGCTTGTTGTTATAAAGTCAAATATCACATAAACCAAGTATCAGTGTTTAATGAAGGCAAAAGTATCTCAAGTTTCCAGTTACTTTAATAATTAAAAGATTAACCACCCCCAAAATGAAAAATTCAGTTTCTTTAATGAAATCTTGTTTCTACAAGGGCTTTTAAGTAACACACAGGATTTAACCTGAGGCTGAGTATATATGAGGAAGCTAGCTAAAATTTTACAATTTTAAGACAGCCAGCTGGATTTACCACAAAAATTCAAATACACTCTTTGAAACAAAGACAAGGGCTCAAGTGGAGTGCAGTTATTTGATGCTATGTGTATTTAACAAATAGATATGATTTAAAACCTGTATGAAGTTTACCTGTATACTAGAATCTCCCTTTATACATTTTGCTCCTTCTATTATAGCCATGTATGAGAATCTCAGTTGATCTGGGGTCTGAATAAGACCCATTCGGTATTTTCTCATGTTCAGTAACACTTGTTTTATGTTAATATCATCTCCTTTTTCCATCTGCAAGAAAGGCAAAAAATGAGACAAGTCTTGTTATTGGAACCCAGGAAACAGAATCAATGCAAGATCATTGCTAAGATTTTTGCTATGCATTTTCTCCTCTGAAAGAACAACGATAATTTAACCCTCCAGCTATAACTGTTATGTACACAACAACTATCCCAGCCTACTCATCCCTCCCCACATCTCAACCCCTCAAGTAGTTGGAGGACTTTGATTCTTTAGCTGATTCACAACTGATTCCAAACCAATCATAGTAATCTCATTCCTTCTGGCCAGTCATTGGTTAAAGGAAGGATTTATAACCAGTTCTGGCTAGTATAAGGACTATTTTTTTTTTTAAAAGTCATGGCAGGAGTCAACCTTTCTGCTCATTCCCCTTCCGCCTCCTTCATGTCTGCACTACAGACACGATGTCTGGATATACAGCACCCATCTAACAATGGTGGAAAAGAGGCCAGGCATGATGGCTCATGCCTGTAATCCCAACACTTTGGGAGGCCAAATCACTTGAGGCCAGGAGCTAGAGACCAGCCTGGCCAACATCGCGAAATGCCATCTCTACTAAAAATACAAAAATTAGCTGGGTGTGGCGGCGCATGTCTGTAATCCCAGCTACATTGGAGGCTGAGGCTGGAGAATCGCCTGAACCCAGGAGGCGGCGGTTGCAGTGAGGTCAGATAGTGCCACTATACTCCAGCCTGGGCGACAGAGCGAGACTCCATCTCAAAAATAAATAAATAAATAAATAAATAAATAAATAAATAAATAAATAAATAAAAATGTGGTGGGTCACACCTGTAATCCCAGCACTTTGGGAGGCCAAGGTGGGCAGATTATGAGGTCAAGAGATTGAGACCTTCCTGGACAACATGGTAAAACCCCGTCTCTACTAAAAATACAAAAATTAGCTGGGCATGGTGGTACGCACTTGTAGTCCCAGCTACTCGGGAGGCTGAGGCAGGAGAATCTCTTGAACCCGGGAGGCGGAGGTTGCAGTGAGCTGAGATTGCACCACTGCACTCCACCCTGGCAACAGAGCGAAACTTCGTCTCAAATAAATAAATAAATAAATAAATAGAATAATAAAATAAAATGAAGAAAGACGGTGGAAAAGACAGCAAAAGCCCAGATCCACGATAACACTGCTGAGCTACAGCACTGCTCTGGACTACTGACCTAGTGTTAGAATCCCCACACCCAGGCTCACCAAAAATAAAAGAAAAAAAATTGTTGAAGTTATAGTTGGCAGGGAACAGGTGTCATTAACAAAATAATCACCAGAGTTTTAAAACTTTGATGTAACAATCTAATTTTGATTGAAGTATACTATATATACGCAGAGTGGTAAAGTAATACAGATGTTTAGTTAAGACTCAACCGTTCCCAATTCCTAGCTTTCATTAGAGATGCAACGTCTGAAATGTTCTTCCAAGAGTATCACTCCTTCCAAGAGTATCACTCCATTGATCAAGCTCCTTGTGTGTGTGTTTACAATGAAAAGCATCATCATATTAATTCACCTGGGAATCTACTTTGTGCTGGCAGTCATGGTGGAAAGCATAAGAATGCTGACATAACTGCAATGAAGCATAGCTACGTTTTACAGAAACATCGAAGAGACTAATACAGGGCCTTAAAGTCAAGGTTAAGAACACCAGTCTTGTGTCAAGCGTGGTGGCTCAAACCTGTAATCCCAGCATTTTGGCAGGCTGAGGCAAGAAGATCACTTGAGCCCAGGAATTTGAGACTAGCCTGGCCAAGATAGTGAGGCCTTGTCTCTACTAAAAATAAAAAAGCAAAAACTAGTTGGGTGTGGTGGTGCAGGCAGCTACTTGGGAGGCTGAGGTGGGAGGATCACTTGAGTCCAGGAGGTTGAGGCTGCAGTGAGCAGTGATTGCACCATTGTACTCCAGCCTGGGTGACAGGGCAAGACTCTGTCTAAACAAAGACAAAAACAAAATCCCCACCAGACTGAATACCAGGACAAGCTAAACTGCTTAGGTTATTGATAATCTTAGAACACGCTCAGAAAGCAGAAACTAAGCTGCAGGGACTACTGAAGGAGTAGATGGCATGGAAATCAAAGCAGACAGTATTATTGTTGGGTTTGATCCTATAATAAGAGGAAGAAGTAAAGACAGAAGTTAGGAGAAGTATAAGGGCAAACAGAAGTTTCATGTATCCCAAGTAACGAAAAAATAAAGGTCCTAAAAAGAGAAGAAAAGATCTAGGCTGTATACAGGCTGGGACTGGGAATGACTGGTGGAGAAAGAATTAGCCGTTGGGGGCACAGACAGGAACCTCAGGGGAGTAACAGTAATACTGACATTTATGGAATGCTCAGAAAACATCAGGGACTCTTCTAAGTCTCCTTAATGTATTAATTCATTGAATTCTCACAGGAACCCTGTGAAGTATGTCTATCATTATCCCTAGTTTTTAAATTTAAAAAATGAGATAAAGTATCTGTCTGAGGAGGAAGGAATTCAATATTACATATGAATTTATATTTGAAAAAATGTGGGGGAGAGACCTATTATTTCTGTAATATAAAGCTACCAGGAAGAAAAACACCTTCTTAGGGATCTCTAAAATCATCATGGATACATTCCTACCAGTCATGAATAAGAGGCAGTTGCAACGGTGGAAATGAGATTTTTAGGTTTTTCCAAAAGTAGAAGTTTAAGTTGAAAAACCTCAGTTCTGGGATACAGCATCAGAGTTTATTCACTGCCAGTGGAAGCAATTTAAAAAAAAAAATCAATGAGATTAAAATGAGATCGTAAGAAGCACTTACCAAAACAAGACAAGTGTCTACCAGAGAGAAGGTGCCAGAGCGCCCAATGCCTGCACTACAGTGGATCACCGCAGGCCCATGGTCAGGGTTCAAGGAGCCAGATTCTCTCACTTTAAACAAGAAATTGAGAAATGAAGCTGGTGATTCAGGGACTCCAAAATCTGGCCAGGTAGTATAATGAAAGTGAGATATTGTTCTGGTTTCACCACTCTAAAAAGTGAAAATCAAGGGAGAAGTTAGTTCTAACTTTTTTCTTTTAAAAAACTACTTCAGAAAGATCATGTGTTTTATATAATTCTTTAAAGCCATATAGGCTGTTTATACTATGATTTTTCCATTTGTTTTCTGACAATCCCATATACAAACTAGGGAAGATTTTCTTTAGTGGAAATTTGTGATGTATTAATAATAGCTAACGCATACAACACTTACTATTTTGGAGGCCTGTTCTAAGCACTTTACTTATTAACTCAATCCACACAATAATCCTATTAAAGCCCATTTTCCTGATGAGGAAACTGAAACAAAGGGTAAGATAGTTTGCCCAAGGTCACACAGCTGGAACATGGCAGAACCAGGATTTGAAGCAACCTGGGGCAGCCTTTGGGTTCTCAGCTACTAATCTGTTACCATACATGTTACCAATATTTTCTTTAATTCATGTATCATGAATGGGCTATTTTTTTCTATTTTAAAAAATTTCTGCCGGGTGCAATGGCTCATGCCTGTAATCCCAGCACTTTGGGAGGCCGAGGTGGGCAGATCACTTGAGGTCAGGAGTTCGAGACCAGCCTGGCCAACATGGTGAAACCCCGTTTCTACTAAAAATACAAAAAATTAGCCAGGCGTGGTGGCGCGTGCCTGTAATCTCAGCTACTTGGGAGGCTGAGGCAGGAGAATTGCTTGAACCTGGGAGGTGGAGGTTGCAGTGAGCAGAGATCGTGCCATTGCACGCCAGCTTGGGCAACAAGAGTGAAACTCCATCTTCAAAAAAAAAAATTTTTTTTCTACCAGTATAATTTTACATTCTTTAACATTTTCCTTTTTATGAATTTCAAAGTTTATTTTTTAAATATAATCTCCCGTTCACATGATTATCTTTTAGATTCTGCTACACAGGCATAGGGGAGCAACTCAAGAATTAATCTAAAGAAACGATCTTTATATTTTTAATTGGAATTGCTCCTCTAAATTGTTGCCTTTCCCCATGGCAATAATTTCCAATCCTAAAGCTGTTTATATGCTTTTGCTGATGTGCTAAAGTGGTTTACCAACATGCTAAATGTTTCCTGTCTCTTAAGCCTGCCTGGTATTCACTATCGCTTCCTGGATATTCCTGATGATCTGTATTTCTAACTCATTATGAAAATGTTCCTTAGCTTTTTGCCAATTGCCTTTTGCCCCAAGGAGCACTTCTCTGCTTTATACTCTTCATTTGTGTAAACGAAGCAGTGGTCTTCCACTAATATGTCTTTGTGCAATTTTTCAGTTTTATTGTAGGAGGTTTTTTTTTTTTGAGGGAGGAGGCATAGAAACAATGTAAAAAACCTTGATGTTTAATGGTTTAACAACTAAAGATTATTATTATAATATCCTGCTCCCAATAAAAATTTTCAAAATTAGAAGTTAGCTTTCGCTTTAAAAATATAAATTTTCGGCCGGGCGCAGTGGCTCACACCTATAATCCCAGCACTTTGGGAGGCTGAGGCGGGTGGATCACCTGAGGTCAGGAGTTCGAGACCAACCTGACCAACATAGAGAAACCCCGTCTCTACTAAAAATACAAACCTTATCTGGGCATAGAGGTGCATGCCTGTAATCCCAGCTACTTGGGAGGCTGAGGTGGGAGAATCGCTTGAACCCGGGAGGCGGAGGTTGTGGTGAGCCGAGATCGTGCCATTGTACTCCAGCCTGGACAACGAGAGCGAAACTCCATCTCAAAAAAAAAAAAAAAAATCCATTTTGCAGTAGAAATTAAGACTTCTATGTCCCAGACTCAGTATATAAGGTATAATACTAATAAAATACAGTGAAATAAATTTTCTAAAAAGTACATACTTTTAGTGACCTTTTAACATCCAGCATTAATAATTTCAAATACAGTGTGATCCACAAGTTCTCAATATACTAAAAGCAATAAAAAATTTCTCCATTACAAATTAAAATGATCATGGTTTCTACGCTTTAAGACATTTATTTTTAAATTAATTATGGTAAGTGAACAAAGCCAGACTAAAGGCTATATACTATACTATTCCATTTTTATGACATTCTGGAAAAGGCAGAAAAACAGAAACAGAAACCAGATTACTGGTTTCTGGCTGGGGGTAGAGGACAGGACTGACTGTACACAAGCAACACAAGAACATCTGGGGCAGGGGAGAGGTGACAGAACCGATCTATGTTTCTGTTATGGGCAGTGGTTACATGACTGAATGCACTGTCAAAAGTCACAACACGACTGTACACCAAAAGGAATCAATCTTATTGTAGGTTAAAAAAAAAAGGTAAATTAAATTTATTGCATTAAAAAAGAGAATTCAAAACATTCTAAAATAAGAAGGGTAAACTCTAGTCTCCTTTTACAAAGCAGCAGGTGGGCAGTTAATACGGCAACACTGACACAGGAATGAGCTAGAGAGGTGGGTTCTTGACAGCGGGGGGTGGGGGGGATACAGTTAACTCAAAGTCAAGTTTTCCTTTAAATGAGGTTAAGATTCCAGTGGATGTTAATAACCCACTTTGTTTCTTACTTGCTGCGGCCACCAGCAGGACCAGACTCAGTCTGTGTGGGCCTTCATGTGGTCTGCTTTGAGCAGGGGCCTGCAGTGCTCTGTGGGCTACGGCCCAGTACCCCTACGGGGTCCTGCGCACAATTACTTCATCAAGTCCTGGCTCAAACATATGGTTACCCCACAATCTTGGGCAACAGCTTGCTTTCTCTTTGCTTGTATGATTTTGGCTCAAAACTAGTGGTCTCAACTTTTTTCACATTCAGGTCACGCTGTCTGGGATATTGGAAGCCAGTTCCCAGAAATGCTCATGACTATTTGTATAATATAGTCTTCCCCACTAATAGATTTTTGAAAATCAGTTGTTGTTTTTTTTCCCCCCTACAGAACCAGGACTTTTTTGAGAGGTTAACTTTGATTAATTTATCCTTACAGAAACAAGATTAAAAAAACACAGCTTTCCAAAATCATAATTCACAGTTACAAAGGACCACACGAAGGCATAAGATGCATATATTTACTACTCTGGTATAGAAACATTCATATGCATGACTGGATGGACCCCTTTCCCTCTTTTTCACGCAGGAAAAAAAATGAGAGGGGAAAAAAAGGGTTGCCAAAGGATACAGAGCTAAAACGAAATTCATCTTTATTCCAAACAAGGTCTGCATTTAGACTTTACAATTTTTGGCAAACTCCTTATTTTCAAAACTGTGGAAGCACCCTTTTCTTCTCCTTGGTCACCGAGTCACACTACTTCTCCTCTGGTCCCCAGCTGCTGCCCTCCACCCTTCTCGCTGCTTCACCCCCCTCCCTACACACACGCGGGTTGCACCCACAATTATAGGCTGTCCCTGTCTGCAGCCGTTCCACACATGCCTGCCAAGTTTTCTGTGTAAAACTCTGCATTATGTATACTACATTCTGCACAAAATGTCAGTGGCTTGCTGTTCTAAGGCAAAATCCCATTTACATTTTTAAAAGAGAATTCTAAATTTAAAGTCTTTGAACAGCAATGTCAAACTTGCATATATGAAGCCAGGAAAATAACCTGTGAGTTGAGCAAGTGTAACAACAGGAATTGTTAGGCCACAGCAATTTAAGCATATGCCCTGTTCACAGCCTTCAAATGCAAGTTAATAATCATCATAAATATATAATAAGATTATACATTTTCCAATTATCATAAAAAATCTATACAGCTCTATGACCCCAGGCCCAATTACTTTCACACTTTAGGTATATATGGAAGGTACCAAGATTTTGTTTCTAAAAGACTTTCACTAAGCCCCAGTTCTGTCATCTGTAAATAGGGTTAATAATACTACTTACCTTACAAAACTGTTGTTAAGGAATAAATAAAACAATTAATGTGAAGTGCCTGCCATATCCCTGCACATGGTAAATGCTTAACAGATACTGGATATTTTTAAAACAACTATACTCACCAATTGCCTTTATTGTGGCCCCTAGAAAGCTCCAGTCAATTGTAAAACTCAACACATTTTCAACCTCTTCATTGGGTATTTCCTCTACACCTAAAGAGTGACAAAGTTTGTCAACCCTATGTCCTAACCAGATGTCAAATCTGTACCTTCACTATCACTGCCTTAGTTGAGTCTCTCATCAATTTTTGCCAGGGTCAGCATGTCAGTGATAAATATTTACTGACTGGGATTCATTGTGAAAGGCAGATCAAACTCACCAGATCAGGAGGAGTGGCAGAAACGGCTAGGGACAGGCTTGCATTCTCAGCAGAGAGAAAGCAATATGCAAAGGCATGCCACCCACCCCCACCAAGGAATTCACCTATTAGAGAAGTCTGTCTGTTAGCACGAACAAATCCTGGATACCCGAAGGAGAGGGAGTTAGACAAGGAGGCAAGGACCAGGCTGAGCTGGGTCATGGTCTTGTGCACTGGACACAGACTTTTTTTGGTAACCAATGGAAGCCACAGAAGAATTCTTAGAGGATGGTGGAAAGATTGCATCTGTGTTTTACAACAATCACTCAGGTGTAATGTGCTTAAAATGTACTCTTGTGTAATGGCGGGGGGGTACCAAGGCAGCAGATAACTTCCAACCCCTTCGAAGTTAAAAACCTCATTATGGAGTCAAGATTTACATAGAGAGATGTATTGAACAAGCAGTAGAATGATAAAATTTAAATTACTGAAAAAGTATAAGAAGAATCATAGCTGTTAGGGATCAATGTGTCATAGATACATGTTAGGAGAGACCTAAGTAAGAAGTGGGCCACAGGGGTTACTAAGGACGTGCAGAGAAGAGAGAGGACATTCTAGGTAGAATAAACTGTTTAAACTATTTTGAACCAAATCCCAGCTAAGCATCATAATAATTAGAGACTCTCATCTTGCTAAATCTTTAGGGACAGGGAAATAGAAGACAGTCAGCATTATAACAGTATTCCTGGAACTCACTAAACGTAAAGCGGGCCAACATTACAGAAATAGTGAAGGGCAACTAAAAAGAAAAAACTGAAAGACAAGTACTCTAGATGACCTTATATTTTTAAAATCCCTCAAAATTATCTCCATAGCTTAAGCCACAGGCCACACTGAAAGCCGAGATGCAATCTCTTCTTCAGGGGCAAGAGTTCAAACTTTTAGCTTTAAGTAAGTCACTAAAGGGCTCCTGGTATGTCATTTTGCTGTTCCATTAGACTGGAGGAGGCGCAGGGCTTGCTTAGACAACAGCTTTACCTTTGGACTTGTTAATAGATACGTGTCAGACTCCCTTAGATGCAAACTGGATCTCTGCACCCCAGCGACTCCAATAAAGACAGAGATCTGCGTGTTGAGATTGGCTATCAGCCCCCTACTCCATCATCACTTTTTCTCACTCCCATTGGTTCTTTCTTTCTTGCTAGTATCCTTTTCAACTACTCCCGGTTCCTGTTGTCCCTTCCAATTCATTACTGTTACAAAAAGGAAACTGATCAACTAAAAAGGTAATTGTGGCTCCCGCACCATCATGATATTAACTCACTTGATCCTTAGAGCAATCCTATGAAGTAGGTACGTTATCACCCTCATTTTATAGATGATAAAACAGGTACTGTTTATCATCTATAGTAAAGTAATGTGACCCAAGTCACTCAGCAAGAATGGCAGAGTCAGGATTTAAACTTGGGCTATCTGATTCTAGAGGTTATCTACTTAGGCAAATGTAATTCTGCCTCTCATACTGAAATGCTACTTTATCCTTCTAAAGAATAAAGAATCCCTAGTTCTAATTAAAAATTATAAAGTAGAACACAAACAAATTCTTGCTATTATATTGTGGTATGTTCTAAACCCAGGCCAATAAAAAATCCAGTGATCATGTCATTATACCACACAGTTGCTAGCAACTAAAACAGAGTGGCTGGCCAACTCACATGATGGCCTCAACTCCAGAAAGATGCTTCAGAATCAATAATCTCTCTTTACAACAATTAGCATCTTTTCAAAAGGACTTATCCCCATGTCAAAAGTTAGGAGATGGCCGGGCGTGTTGGCTCACACCTGTAATCCCAGCACTTTGGGAGGCTGAGGCGGGCAGATCACCTGAAGTCAGGAGTTCAAGATCAGTCTGGCCAACACAGCGAAACCCCATCTCTACTAAAAATACAAAAAATTAGCCAGGCGTGGTGGTGCACACCTGTATTCCCAGCTACTCGGGAGGCTAGGACAGGAGAATCACTTGAATCCAGGAGGTGGAGGCTGCAATGAGCCAAGATCATGCCACTGCACTCCAGCCTGGGCAACAGAATGAGACTTTGTCTTAAAAAATAGGGGACCAGGAGAACTAATGAGATCAGTCTGTCACTTATTAGCTAAGTAATCGATGGAAAAATTCCTATAACCTAATGGATTTTAACTATTATTTTTTATAATATAAAATACGGGGATAATAAGAATATTTACACTATCTACACTAACTGAAGACTACTGGTCAGATGATATATATGTGAAAGCATTTTGGAATCTGATAAACAAAACACAAAAATCATTCTATTTTATTGTTACTTAAGGTATAATCAATTCTCAATAAGGACTGTTTCAGAAACAGGGAAACACATCTATGCCCTTCATCTAAATCAATTTTAATGCCATAAGCAAATGAGTAATTACCTGGGATAAATACCAAGAGAAGATGATTCAGAGAACTTTCAGAACCTTGTGGAAATACAGTTCTGTTTCTGGGAATGAACAATGTACAGCTCAGTCCAGTATCAAAGAGTTATTGATGTATCTCAATGCAGTTTAAGACACATGTAAATGGAAAGAGTTGGGACAAAATAAATATAGTAATGGGAATGTATAAATAAATCTAAGCATTATCATTCGTAATTTTGAGCCTTTTTAGGTGACTCAAGAGACTGTATAATAAGCTTAGTACGGATGTCACGGGAAGCTGGACAGAAGGAAAACCAGAACCTAGGCCTCACGCACAGAGCATGCACCTGTGCTTACTCAATGCAGCAAAAAACACAAGTGTTTCAAGGGATCCACCATAAAAGGGACTGCCACACATCTAAAAAGCATGTATATATCTCCCTTCTCTTTAAGGTTTTTTTGTATTGTTAGTGATCACTTAATTTACTTAATGGTTAACTAAAACAGTATTTCACTTATAGACTACATACATTCCTAAAGTCATATGAGGCTAAACATTCTCCTATTTTCAAGCTATCACAGTTTCTATTAGCATCTCAGAATTACTCTCATTTCATTATTTTCTAGTTTATTCTATTACAACACAAAGAGGGCAAAAGAGGTAAATGGCGAAAGGGGGAGAAATGCCTCAATCATCACCCTGGCAACAGCAGGTTCATAACCCACTATGTGTATGTACCTCAACCAAGGCCCAAGGAACAGTTCATATGTTTCTGGGGAAGAAAAATGCAAGTAAGGCCTGGCATGGTGGCTCATGACTGTAACCTCAACACTTTGGGAGGCCAAGGTGGGAGGATCGCTTGAGCTCAGGAGTTTGAGACCAGCCTGGATAACAAGGCAAGACCCCATCTCTATTAAAAAAAAATAAGAAAATTAGGTATGGTGGCTCATGCCTGTAATCCCAGATACTCAGGAGGCTGAAGTGGGAGGATTTCTTGAGGCCAGGAGTTGGAGGCCTCATTGAGAGCTGTGATTATGCCACTGTACTCCAGCCTGGGTGGCAAAGCAAGACTGTCTCAAAAAACCAATCAACCAACCAACCAACCAACCAAACAAACACCCAAGTAAATGTTCTTGAGACCACATGCCACATTTATACATGTGTGTGTATGTATGTATGTATGTGTGCGTGTTACATATATATATAAAACACCATTTTTTTTCCAACTCAATAGGGACAAATTTTTGTGTTGTGAATCACTTAACAATAGCTTTGTAAGTTATTTTCTTGACTATTTTGCTATTCTTGGCAGTCACAGGTCCTGGGAGCTATTGCTTGCTGGGCATTTACTAAGGTCAGGTGCTCTGCATACACATCCTCATTTGACCTTCAGGACAGCCCCGGAGGGAAGGCGTGGTAACCTCCATTTTACAGATGAGGAAGGGATCAGTGAGGGTGGGGAACAAGTCTAAAGTACAGCTCTACTAAGCAGCAGAGCTGGATCTGAATCCAGGTTTGCCTGATTCTAAAGCCCTCTCTATTAATCCTCATGTATTTCTATTAATTAATTTTTAATCCCCAAATATCAAACTGAACTTTGAAATTCTTAGTTTCTACTGTTTCTTCAGAGTCCTCAGAAAGCTACTAGATGCAGACACACAATCTAAAAACACGTGATTATGGCTAGATACTATAGGAATTATCCAAATGCATGTGCTTATCAAACTTCAAATCTAATAATAAAGAATAATTCTTTAAACCATCATATAAAGTCCACAATTTCGGGCAAGAAAGGTCTTACATTGATATTTTCTAATTGTAGTAGATGTACTGTATAATACGACTTCACATCTTCTGACAAGAGCTTCACACTGAATCCTGTTTCTTTAAACAGCATCTCTTGGTCATCTGTTGGCCAGTACTGTGCACATTTAACCTAAATTTAGAAATATGTATATGATTTTTTTTTAGTTTATAGACATCATGAAACCATAAAGTTAAAAAATGAAAACAAACCAGATATATACATGCTATATTTTTTCAAGTACCCAAAACTAAGAAGTCACTACTATATTCTACGCTTAATGTATTTTAGTAAGATTGAAATTTTATAGCCGGGCGCGGTGACTCACGCCTGTAATCCCAACAATTTGGGAGGCTGAGGCGGGAGGATCACCTGAGATCAGGAGTTCGAGACCAACCTGGCTAATATGGTGAAACCCTGTCTCTACTAAAAATACAAAAACTAGCTAGGCGCGATGGCGGGCGCCTGTAATCCCAGCTACTTGTGAGAGTGAGGCAGGAGAATCGCTTGAACCCAGGAGGTGGAGGTTGCAGTGAGCCAAGATCATTCCACTGCACTCCAGTCTGGGTGACAGAGCAAGACTCCATCTCGGGGAGCAGGGCGGGTAGAGATTGAAATTTTATAAAGCATTTTTTATGTGTGTGCAGTCATCACTGTAAGCCAGTTTTAGAACATTTCTCTCAGACTCAGAAATCCCCTTGTGTCCTATTCCCACTCCAAGCCACAGGCAAGCACTGATCCATTTTCTGTCTCCATAGGCTTTTCTTTTCTTTTGAGCTGGAGTCTTGCTCTGTCGCCCAGGCTGGAATGCAGTGGCGTGATGTTGGCTCACTGCAACCTCTGCCTCCTGGGTTCAAGCAATTCTCCTGCCTCAGCCTTCTGAGCAGCTGGGATTACAGGCGTCTGCCACCACACCCAGCTAATTTTTGTATTTTTAGTAGAGACAGGGTTTTGCCATGTTGGCCAGGCTGGTCTTGAACTCCTGACCTCAAGTGAACCACCAACCTCAGCCTCCCAAAGTGCTGGGATTACAGGCGTGAGCCACCATGTCCGGTCTTATAAGGTATTTTTTAAGTGTTCCTGTAACTTATAAACTAAAAAAGCCATAGGTATCATATTCATAAAATAAAAATAAATTTATCATTCTTAAAGCATGATTACCTATATTTTAACGTCATGGGACATTCACTTTATGTTTCTAAAATTATCAAACTCTTGCAATAATTTTATCTTCAAAATAAATGTTGCTGGCCAAGCGCGGTGGCTCACGCCTGTAATCCCAGCACTTTGGGAGGCTGAGGCAGGCGGATCATGAGGTCAGGAGATCGAGACCATCCTGGCTAACACAGTGAAACCCCGTCTCTACTAAAAATACAACAAATTAGCCGGGTGTGGTGGTGGACGCCTGTAGCCTCAGCTATTTGGGAGGCTGAGGCAGAAGAATGGCGTGAACCTGGGAGGCGGAGCTTGCAGTGAGTCGAGATAGCAGCACTGCACTCCAGCCTGGGCGACAGAGCGAGACTCCGTCTCAAAAAAAAAAAAAAATAATAATAATAATAATGCCTTAAGAGGAAAATAAATAATTTTTTTTTTTTTTAAGAGACAGTGTCTTGCTCTGTAGTAGCCCAGGCTGGAGTGCACTGGGGTGAACTTGGCTCACTTCAGCCTCAATCTTCTGGGCTCAAGCAATCCCCCAACCCCAGCTGGGACTCCAGGTGCGTGCCACCACACCTGGCTACTTTTTGTATTTTTTGTAGAGGCAGGGTCTCACTTTGTTGTCGAGGCTGGTTTTGAATTCCTGGGCTCAAGTGACCCTCCTGCCTCAGCCTCCCAAAGTGCTGGGATTATAGGTGTAAGCCCTCCAACCTGGCCAGAAAAAAAAAAATTTTTTTTAAGTAAAATAGAAATAAAGAGATAAACAGGATTAAAGAGAACGTGACAAATAAAAAAGGTAGGCAAAGAAAATCCAACATACGTATAATAGGAAGACCCAAAGAAGAACATTAAAGCAAGCAAGGGAGCAGAACAAATACTAAGGACTGTAATTCAACAAATATTTCTTTAACAAAAAGTATTTAAAAAATTTTAAAAAGTACTTGAAGTCAAACTCTCAAGAACACATCATGTACCTGTAAAAACTGACCCAGAATGGCCAATTACTAAGACATATTTTTGGTAAAACTAATAATATCTGAAGAAAAAGAAAAAAAGAATTCTTTGGGTAGTGCAGATAAAAAGAACAAGAGACTTATAAAGGAAATAAGATGTCCATTAGACTTTGGTGGAATACCAGAAGGAAATGGAAAAAAAAAGTTGTTCAAAGAATAGCACATGAGCCAAGGATTTTATATCCCGCCAAACTGACTTTCAGATATTAAGACAGCAGATGAACCATCACTGACATGTAAAAAAATCAGACTATAATGCTCACAAGTCCCTCCTTAGGAGCCACTAGAGAATGAGCTTTAGTCAGAATGACTGGAGAGACATCAGCAAAGACTGTTGATGAATATTAAATAATGCTTGCTTGTAGAACTAAGAGTCTACAAGAGATGTAAGGGAGAGACTACAGTTTGTAAAGTACAACTCAGAAACACCAGGAAGAGAATGAAAAAAATATTAAAAATTGTAAACCATTTTCAGTAATTATTTTGGTAGCAGATGATATCATGATTATGGTTATATATTGTATATGATATGGGAAGAAGGAAATGAGTCATTACAAGATAGTTTACATCTCTCATATCTTTGAGAACCAGGATTCTTGGTATGAAAAAGGAAATAGCAGATGTAAGATGGAAGGGGCTAAGCAACACTTATAGTTCCAAATTTGAACTGGGAATATCATTATGAACTCTTGAAGTATGTTATCTTAACATATGCATATTGTTCCTTAGCTTTTGTCCACTGAAAAGCCCTAAAAACAATGACCAGTCCAGTTGCAATATATATCCTTATTTTTGCTGTGATCTTGAAATACTGCTGCCCATTAAAAGAAACCAAAACTCCTTAGAGAAATGGCTGGTTCCAGGTCTGGGCAGCAAGAGTTTGAGATGAGCCTGAGATGCAGTCATTACAGACAGCAAAAAAAATTTTTTTTTTTTGAGACAGGGTCTCGCTCTGTCCCCAGGCTGGAGTGCAGTGGCACGACCATAGCTAACTGTAGCCTTGACTTCCTGGCCTCAAGTGATCCTCCTGCCTCAGTACCCCAGGTAGCTGGGACTACAGGCATGCGCCACCACACCCAGCTAATTTTTGTATTTTTTGTAGAGACAGAGTTTCACCATGTTGCCCAGGCTGGTCTCAAACTCCTGGGCTCAAGCGATCCACCCAACTCAGCTCCCCAAAGTGCTGAGATTACAGGTGTGAGCCACTGCACCCAGCCAAGGAAACTATTAAAGGTTTGTTAAAAAGGACTCAGAGCTGGGTGAGGTGGCTCACGCCTGTAATCCCAGCACTTTGGGAGGCCGAGGTGGGCGTATCACTTGAGGTCAGGAACTTGAGACCAGCCTGGCCAACATGGTAAAACCATCTCTACAAAAACTAGCTGGGCATGGTGGTGGGTGCTTGTAATCCCAGTTGCTCGGGAGGCTGAGACGGGAGAATCTCTTGAACCCGGGAAGTGGAGGCTGCAGTGAGCTGAAATCATGCCACTGCACTCCAGCCTGGGCAACAGGCGAGACTCTGTCTCCAAAAAAAAAAAAAAAAAAAGAGGACTCAGGACCCAACCTAAAGACATTGCTGCTAGCCAATGACAGGGTAATTTGATCAAAAATAAGGAAAATAACTGCAAAGGAGTAAAATTAATCCAGTATGTCCAAACCCATAATAATTCAACCTCTCCTGCCACTCTCCACCAGAAAAACTCCTAATTGGTCATCTGTTGAGAACAGATGACCTCAATAGGGAATCAACTTTTTTTTGGAAAACTGCTTTTAAGAGAAGTAATGACAGAATTGGATTATCATCATTTGTAACCCATAATGAATTAAGAAGCTGAACACTGACCAATAATGGCTATTAATGAAATAAAAAGAACAATAATCAGACATTATGGGTCTCTTGATGAATAACACATTACCCACCACCTCTGAAGTAATCTTCCCCAAAATAATTAAACCTGACTCTTGTTAACCATCTAGGTTCAACCACCATAAACATGATTTCTAAATTCTGGTGGCAGTGTTATCTTATTAATACAGTAATTATACTCCAAAATGAGAGAAATAAAATTTGCAAATCATGTAGTCTACAATGGTGCTCAAACTGACAATGTCATAATCCTTGATTTTTTTTTTTTTCTTTTTTGAGATGGAGTCTCACTCTACCGCCCAGGCTGCAGTGCAGTGGGTTTTGAGATGGAGTCTCATTCTATCATCCAGGTTGAGGTGCAGTGGCACAATCTCGGCTCACTGCAACCTCCACCTCCTAGGTTCAAGCGGTTCTCCTGCCTCAGCCTCCCAAGTAGCTAGCATTACACCTGGCTAATTTTGTATTTTTAGTAGAGACGGGGTTTCACCATGTTGGCCAGGCTGGTCTCAAACTCCTGACCTCAAGTGATCTGCCTGCCTCGGCCTCCCAAAGTGCTGGGATTACAGGTTTGAGGCACCGTGCCTGGCCTAATCCTTAATTTTTAAATGATATTGAAGATCAGGAAAAACCCCTGTAAATGACTATGCTGATACTGCTGGAAATTCTGGCATGTCATTGCCACATCTAATTAGAAGTGGATTAGGAAATTTTCATCATCATTAAAAACCAGCAATTATGAAATGTAGAATAAAGTAAGAAATCTGAAGTAGAACAGTACAAGATCTTAAAGCTGGAAGAGGACTTATTGACAATAGGTCAATAAGGATTCCTAGGGATTCCAAAGATCTATATGTCACTGCTAGTCCATATTTATTCCATTGTATTTCTATCTTGGAGATGAAAGGTCTGCAATTGTTATAAAAATACTTAAGAAAGGAAAAGGATACATGAGTTTTTCCGGACAGAAACACTTTGACCGCTAGCCTTTAGCAATTAAAGGCCAAAACTAAGGAATGAATATTGGCCCCAAAATGAAAATCTTTATATGCTAATGATCACATACAGTATACTAAGTTGTAAATATTAAATATTACTCACCGATTCTTTCTCCACAATGCGGTTCAGCATGACAACTGCTTTGGTCTTCTGCTGCCAAACCATAAGCCAGAAATGGCAGCATGTGTTAGGAAGTGGACCCTGTGAAGAGAGAGGAGAGAGAGCAGATGAGGGAAGCAGACAGAAAGAGCAAGGCTCCAGGAAGGCCTTGTTAAGTCTGCTCCTGGGATGTTACAAGACAGACAGCGGACGGGCTTATAAGAAGTAAACCAAGACTTCCAATCTACCTGATTTCAAAAACAGGTCTGTGTTAGTTAGGATTTTTGGTTGTAAATGATCAAAACTGACTTTTATTTTCTCAGGCAAAAAAGGAATTGTGTAAGATATCAAGTGGCTTTCAGAGTTGAGGACTAGAGAGACAAACTTGGGTAGGAACCAAGGGTTAAGACACAAGCAAGGTCCTGCCCCAAAGAAAGTCAACCTGGGATGCTGCTCTTGATACCGTCACTACTATCTCCTTGCTTTTGCTGGCACTGCCATATGAAGGTGGCTATAGTATTCATGTACAATCTATAGGCAAATCAGAGACAAAATCACGAGTAGGAGTATCTGACTGATCATGTTCTAGCTGCAAAGAAGGTAGACCAAGGAAATTTCTGTCCTCTTCATCTTCTACAGCCAAGAGGATGTGCCTCCCACACATCATAGAAAATCCATGAGAAAAAAGTCTGTACCATCACTGGCCAGCCAACCAACTCAAGTCAACTACAAAAAGATTTCTAGAAAAAGTAGGAATCATTAAAGTACCTGAACCACAATGAAACTGTTAATCTACAAATGCACAGTATGTACGGCCTCAATGGAAGAGTATTGGGCAGAGTTAAAAAGGGGCAACAGTCCATGTTACAACAATGCCATGGGGATAAAAGCAAAATATTTCATGTATTTCCAATTGCTTTCACATTTTAATGATAGCATAGGGCAAAAGGAAGATCTAATAAGAGATGAAAAGCCTATGTACAAATTTTAACGAGTTTTAAATGAGAAGGTTAAAATGAGATGTAGTTTTGCTACACCTAAAATAACTATGAACATGCATTCAACTCACATGGAATGTAGCAGAGTGGTATGAGTTAGGGGCAGAGTCAGGAGTGGGGGCTAGGGCTGCCCAGAGCTTCAGACCCACATACAACAAGGGGGTTAAAGTGGTTCTAGACTAAAAGCATTTTTTATTTTTTGAGATGGTGTCTCTGTCACCCGGGCTAGAGTGCAGTGTCACGATCTCAGCTCACTGCAACCTCCACTTCCCAGGTTCAAGAGATTCTCCTGCCTAAGCCTCCCACGGAGCTGGAATTATAGGCACCCGCCACCACACCTGGCTAAATTTTGGATTTTTAGTAGAGACAGGGTTTCACCATGTTGGCCAGGTTGGTCTCGAACTCCTGACCTCAAGTGATCCACCTGCCTCAGCCTCCCAAAGTGCTGGGATTACAGGTATCAGCCATGGTGCCCAGCTGACTAAAAGCATCTTTAGGCCTGGTGTACTCCTTGGTATGTAGCAGATACTCAATAAATATTACTTAAATGAATAAACCAAGGTTAAGTTGTAAAAATGCTAGAAGTCTACTGAGGATCCTGACAAACTACAACCTAATATTTGAGAGTGGCGTTTTCCTCACTCAACTTATTTTTCTATTACTTGATCTACTTCTAAAACAAAACACAGTCTAAAGGTAAAAACAGCAATGAGGAAATCCCCAGTAAAATGAATACCTTTTTCTTTAATTAGGAAAAAAAAAATGGATGTAGCAATTTGCCAGTGAGGTTACTCCTTAGTGTATACACACAATCACAACCCATGCCATTCCACTGGTGATTCTAAAGACTAAATAATAAACAGGAACACAGCTGGAGTCTTGCTCTGTTGCCCAGGCTGGAGTGCAATGGCACGACCTCGGCTCACTGCAACCTCTGCCTCCTGGATTCAAGCAATTCTCCCTCCCTCAGCCTCCTGAGTAGTTGGGATTACAGGCGTGCACCACCATGCCAGGCTGATTTTTGTATTTTTAGTAGAGACGGGGTTTTACCATGTTGGCCAGGCTGGTCTCAAACTCCTGACCTCAGGTGATCTGCCTGCCTCAGCCTCCCCAAGTGCTGGGATTACAGGCGTTGAGCCACTACGCCCAGCCATAGGTTTTTAAATCAGAGGAACAGAGATTCACATCTCAGCTCTTCCATTTACCAGCAATGCTACCAATGTTCTTCATCTGCAAAACAGACATAATACACCAAGGAGGTGACTTTTAAAAAAATACTAATTCATAAAACTCAGAAGAAAAAGATGACTGAAGTAACAATCTACAAAGGACAATCAGAAGAGCTGGGTTACTGCATCTCTAGTTTTCTGTATCCTCCATTCCAAACAACCTGCTAGATGCAAGGCCAAGAGCTAGACTGAGATGCAGTCTTGGCTCTTTAAGAGCTTGCAAAGGTAGAAGGAGAAGTACTTGTATGACTAATGGACACAGTTAAGTAGTACAAGAGTATGGGCAAATTAAACCATCAGGTCTTAGGGAGCAGGAAAGGCTGGGAAGGAAACTACAGAAGAGCCTCGAAAAAGGTCCTAATACAGAGAGGGAATGCAGAAGAATGGGAGGGAGTTAGGGTCCACTCCAGGCCCTCCAAGCATAAGGCAAAGTGCATGAAAGTTTAGGGCATATTTGGGAAAAGACAAATAGATCAGTGAGGTAGAAGTGGAGGGATGTAGTTGGTGACTACACCACTAGAGTGACAGGGATGGTGCCAAGGGGAGACCTTAAAAAGCTGCTGCAACAGGACAGGTGTAATTGAAGAGAGCTCTGAAAAAAGCGAGGGGCAATAGAAGATCAGAAAGAACTTGGCAGACAATGAGGACAGTCTCAATCCCAATGAGAAAAATAGGAAGGCAGCTACCTTGGTAAAAAAGACAGAGAACATGCAGACTTTGAAATCCAGTAAAAATATCCAATAGAGACCTGAAAAACATAGAGAGGAATTCAGGAGAGAAGAAAAAGCCAGACACAGGCTTCTGAGTTCTCGCATTAAATGGGCAGGGCTCCTTCAGGACACACACAGCGACAAGAAGTTCAAAAACAATTACTAGGAGGCTGGGCACGGTGGCTCACCCCTGTAATCCCAGCACTTTGGGAGGCCAAGACAGGTGGATCATCTGAGGCCAGGAGTTTGAGACCAGCCTGAGCAACATGGTGAAACCTTGTCTCTACTAAAAATACAGAAATTAGCTGGGAGTGGTGGTGAGCACCTGTAATCCCAGCTACTTGGGAGGCTGAAGCACGAGAATCACTTGAACCCGGGAGGAGGAGGTTGTAGTGAGCTGAGATTGCATCACTGCACTCCAGGCTGGGCAACAGAGTGAGACTCCATCTCAAAAAAAAAAAAAAAGAAAGTTATTTAATGTCTCTGGATCTCCTTAGATTCCTCGTGTATAAAATAAAGGTAATACTATTTACCACAGAGGGTTGTCCTAAGGTTTAAATTATACAAAGCATGTAAAAACACCATTACAAAATTTTTAACTGTTATTATTTCCTATTATAATGTAAAATTCATAAAATTCATAATAGGGTTTTTATGAAAGTCTGTTTTATTTAAACAATGCCTGCCACAGAGTAGGTCTCAGTAAGTCTTTGCTGGGTGAGTGAATACCCAGTGAAATGCTGGCACCAAGATTCCAGCACAGGTACCATGACAGTAGTCTACCCTATCTTAGGTTACAAAGGTTGAAAACCATGGTCTTAAAGGGCTGTAGTGCAGACTGGAGGAGAAAAAAAAAAGCTAATTTAGAATCTTAAGACCTATGTTTTTAAGAACTAAGAAGAGAACAAAAAACCAGTAAGTGATAATGGAGAAGAACAGTACAGAGGGAGAAAGGGTTGTGATAAGGGATCTAGGGTGGTAATTCTTCTCTATTTTTTAATGTAATTAGTTGTCCCTCAATATACACAAGGGACTGGCTCCAGGACCCAACCTGCCCCCCACCCACTGCAGTATACCAAAATCCACACATGTCCAAGCCCCACTGGTGGCCCTGTAGAACCTGCAGATACAAAGAGTCAGCCCTCTGTATGCATGGATTTCACATCCCATGAATACCGTATTTCCGACCCGTTTTTGGTTGAAAAAAATTTGCCTGTAAGTGGACTAGTACAGTTCAACCCTGGATGGTTCAAGGGTCAACTATAGGTATTTCAAACAGAAAATAAAATTTTTAACTCTAAATAGTAGTTTAAAATACAAATGCACATAAAAAAAACTTCCAATATTACAGAAAGGAATAAAATGGAAAATTAAAGT
This sequence comes from Homo sapiens, assembly GCF_000001405.40. NCBI lineage: Eukaryota > Metazoa > Chordata > Mammalia > Primates > Hominidae > Homo > Homo sapiens. Next base: position 12,835,254 of record NC_000018.10, read on the forward strand.
CTCTATTCCCAAGCTCCACAAATTATTACTAATGGTATATGTATGATTAACTTATTTAACCAGTCCCTTACAGATTGCTTGAGTCTGATGCGTTAAAATAAGACTGCAATGAACATGATCACATATGTCTTTTTTTTTTTTTTGGACAGTTTTGCTCTTTCGCTCAGGCTGGAGTGCAGTGGCACTATCTTGCCTCACTGCCACCTCCACCTCCCGGGTTCAAGCGATTCTCCTGCCTCAGACTCCTGGGTAGCTGGGATTATAGGTACCCGCCACCATGCCCAGCTAATTTTTGTATTTTTAGTAGAGATGGGGTTTCACCGTGTTGGCCAGGCTGGTCTCAAACTCCTGATCTCAGGTGATCCATCTGCCTCAGCCTCCCAAAGTGCTGGGATTACAGGTGTGAGCCTCCGCGCCTGGCCGATCACATATATCTTTATGTCTGACTGTATTTCTCTAAGTAGACTTTCTTGGTCGGTCAGAGTATTTGAACACTGAGTATTATACACTTTGAAATCTCTCCTTTTCTGACAGGTGAAAGGCCCATTCCCTGGTTACTGAATGGAGCATTTCTTCATGTGCAAAGTGTCCACCTTTGATTCTTTGAACTAGGAGTTTATGTCCTTTGCCAGTTTTTTCCATGGGCTGTTTTTTTTCTTTTTGACTTGCAGGAGCTGTACTACCTCAAGTAAAAAATGCATTTTAGTTTCCTGTGAATTGACGTAGTATAATAGCTCATAGTTACATTAATCTGCATATCTTTTTACTTATCAAATATTTTTCTCTTTCAAATAAGTCATTCTGATTTAAGTTATGTTTTCAAAAATCTCAAATATTATGGTATATCTTTTGAATATTTAAAAATCTTTAGGGGGAAAGACAGCCCTGTTGATAATCAAGTCTTTATTACTTGATGAATAAAGAGTAGCTGTGGATACACAAAAATCTCTCCTACTATCTCAGAATGGAAGGAAGAATCATGCTTGCACACAGGTGTGGCTGATGCGCTCAGAGGCAACTGGGCAGAAGGCCACAGGGAGCACAAGGCCTTGTGGCTGGGCCTCTGGAGCACCTGGTCTCAGCACCCGCTCAGGTCCTTGAAGACGACCAGACACCATCCAGGGCTTGGTGTACTCTCTGAAGATATATGCGAGGCAGGGGGAGCTACAGAAGAGCTGTCCAGGGCCTCTGGTTTTGCCACAGGGTATGGGAAGAGAAAAGAAGACACTAAGAAGCATAAGCAGCACTCTGTGTCAGATATAATGTAAGGAACACAATCTGCCAAAGAACTGGCCTAAGCCATTTCCTAAGAATTTTCCTTCACAGAACGTGTAATATCAAAAATAACTTGCCTTTTATCTTAAATACTCAAAGCTTCAAAACCTTATAATGTCCATAATTCATTACATCGTCAGAAAAAAACTGAAATACCATTTCATTTCCAAAAGAAGTCAAGATATACTTTTACCTATGATTTAAAGCAGAACAAGCACAAACACATCATTTTCAGACATTTGCGTGGTATCGTATTACTTGCCTGTGTTAAGATGTAACTCCTTTGTGCCTCTTCTATGTCAACTAAACTGGCATTAATATAATCATTCTCAGCATTTTGCAGTTTAACACGACTGTGATCATCTGAAAATAGAGAATGATAAACCACAACTGTCATTTCAAAATTACTGTTTTTATCTTCATATTAATATTCTAGGTATTTATAAAAAGACAGAAGAAATAAGAAAAATGAATTAGCATCATAATAGAGTTGAGACAAATCCTAAACTATTCTCTACTTTTTTTGTAAGGAGTATAAAATGCAATCTTGTTTATTACTATAGTGCTGGAAAGGAAGCACTTCTGTTTGTAGCACATTAGCCATTGTGACTTGAAAAATCGACCAGGAGTAAACATAGTTAAATGAATAAAGTACTTACCTTCCTAAAAGTAAAAGGATCATTCAGATTCTTGGTACCTAAGAATTGATTGGTCTACCTACAAAACGATAACTGGTCTCAAATAGATGAGACTAGATTTCCGAGGTTACTATATTTCAACCTCTTCATTTCTCAACAGATAAGAATTCCACTATATTTAAATAAATTTTAGCACTGAACTGTGTTTAGGTTAAATGCTGAAAATATTTAAAGACAGTTGGAATATTCCAACTGTATTCTTTAAAAGACCACTGAAGATACTTCACTACTTAGACTCTGTTAACAGTTTAGAGATATTTCTAGTTTTTAAAAGTAAAAATCTCATAGATTGAGAATTTATGCTAATTTAAATATGTGAAATACAAAATGTGACCTTATACATTTAGATGGGAAAGCAAGAGAAGCATGACACCAGGAGAAAAAGCCCATGAATTAACTCAGAATCCTCAACACACAACTGCCGGATGCATATCACTGAATTATAAAACTAAAAACATGGTGTTTGATGTTTAACTCTAGAGAATGCATACTATTACAAGTTGTCCCTCTCAAAGAAATCCATACTAAATAGCCAGTCTCTCCTTACTTTTAAATGAAAAAACTGTTTATATTATCTCCATATGAAAGAAAATGTAAAATGGCTTTAGTTTCACACATCAATTTATCTGAGATGTTTCTGCTGGACTGAACCCAAGACCTCTGTAAATATTACATGTCATTTGCCAACAGGAAAAACTAAGATCTTGTTATAGTAAATCACATATACTAGTGTTCTCAGAAAGATGATGTCAACAAGCACTTTTTTTTAAAAATCACTTTTTTAAAAAACAGTTTAATCACCCTTTAACTGTTATATTATGTAAAATAGTAAAAAGGTCAGCAACTTAATTAAAATAAAGACCACATATCTCCTAGACAACATACCAAAAAAAGAAAGCCTGGTTTTAGAAAACTACATGATTTTAAAATTAAAGTTCCACTAAAATATCACACCAAAGGAATGTATTTCCTCATGTTGTAATCACAGAAAGAACACTAACCAAAGGCTACTCATATCTATTGCACAACTGAAAACAGCCATTTAGCTAACATGCGGTAGGAATCCATAAAACCCGGGAAGGTCCACCTCACAGGGTGCTGGGAATCTGGTTACCCCACATGGCACCACCCCACACCCTTGCCCAGCTATGCAGGAAGTAAACCTAGAGAAAGACCTTCAGCCAGAGTATTTGATACCTCACCCTCAGGACTCTGAACTAAAATTCACTGCTATTTTCCTTCTATCTGTAAAATATGCACGAGGTGTTACCTCAATGCTCTATAAGCACAGTAACCACACACCAGAAAAGCCCAGATCCAGTCCTGGGAGGCAGTAGGGAGGAGGGCACTACCTGCAGGGCACTGGGTCTGCAGGGCTCAGCCCCTGGCAGTGGCCTCGCTTCCTGTTTAACATTAATATACAGAGTCAACAAAAGCAAAGGAACGGTGAATTTTCTCAGGAAAATTTTTTTTTATTTTGTTATCAGATAATACTAAAAAAGAAAGGTAATCCTTGGGAAAACTCTATAGCTATTTAGAACTGACTACAAATGTTATTTGAGCCTGTATTTTCTTCTCAAGGCTGATTAAAAACAAAACTGAAATACCTACATCACTAGATATTATTTTAATTCTTCTGTTCTTTTAAGAAAAACACATACAAAGGAAAAATGAAAAACAATTTAAAAAGGAAGAAATATTAAAGCAAAAAGGAGAAATAAAACTTTAAAATAAATTTAAAATACATTAAAATTATAAAAACAAAAATTGAAAAAGATTAATATAAAATAAAAAGTATATATAACTTTTTGATTTCGAAGAGGCAGTAGAGAAAAAAATAAAACACATCACCTTAAAATAACTATTGCAAAAGATTGTGAATATACACATTTCAGGAAGTGAAACTATCAAAGCCTCTTTATGAGAAACTGTGACTTTATAATTTATACTCTTTAGTGATGATAACAAAGAAGGGCACTACCTCTTCTCCAATTAAGGATCACAACACACGGTTTCGAGTTTGTGAGAGCATATACACAGGTTCCCTTAACAACCTGAGTCACAGGTCTCTTTTCCCTGCCCAGATACTATCAGTCAGCCCCAAATCTGTAAACTAATCATTAAAAAACAAACTTTTGACTTCTGAATGAGAACACACAGAAAGGTACATCCTTTCTCCTCTTCCATAGGAACCTCTGACATGAGATTATCATAACAGCAGCATCCCATAACCTTTGGGCTGTATAAGTAAGCCCCAAAGCCCACTATACTTTACCATCCTTGTAAGTCTGGTTATCTCACCCTTTCCTCTTTTAAAGGATCCAGTAAAGGGAGAAAAATGAAGATAGTTCAAACTCTTTTGCATGGGATACCACAAAAGCAACCAAACCACACTTCACAGGAAATCTTATTTCTCAACCTCTACTAGCACTAGTAGCAGAACTATCAAGAACATACACTTTTTTTTCTACAGGCATCATCTGCCTTAATTCTTGTCACTGAGTAAATGAAGAAATGCAATACCCAAACAGAACTGTGGTTTATAACTTGGATTAAAATTAAGCCAATTTCTGACAAGGAGTCCCTTCACCTCCTACCCTCAAACAGCATGTTTTCTGAGAAACAGCTCCACCTCTCAAGAAATGACTAGTGCTAGCTGTGGCTGTGCTGACAATACAGATTAGTTTCCTCTTTCAATACTGTCATCATAAGCTTTAAAAAAAAAAAAACAACCCACAGCTTTCACCAAATATATCATTATTGTAAAGACATCTCCTTTTGGAAAGTTTTCCAGGTCAAACAGAAAGGAGAATTTGTATTCATTGTAACTGGTTACAATTCATCCTGAACAGGTTAAATCACAGCAAAGATCAAGCATCCTTAACTTACAAGTCAGGCAAGAAGATGACCAATTCTAATAGTACAGCGTGAACCAGTGACTTTTCCCCTTTAGATTTTCCCATTCTCAACTAAGGGTAATCAGTACGTTTTCAAACAGTGATGTCCAAGAACTCAAAGCATTTTCTAGATTTGTCAACTCTCTTCAATCCTGCAAGTAAAATAGTCGAACAACAAATATTATGCATTCTCTCTCATAAATCGAGCAATGAACCAAAAACAAAGCTGGCACTAAACACCAGGTCACCATATACTCCCCCATATTAATGGAGAATACAAACTTTAGTACACATAGAATATTAACATTTCAATTGTTTGCTCTGCAAAGAAAATTCTACTTGATGAAAGGTTTCCAATTGACCACAAAACCAACCAGAACCACTGTCTAGAACCATTTGGTGCCTACGACATGTCAGGTTTGTGTGACACTCGTCACTGGGTCACCTCTCTCAGTCCTCACAGCCCTATGAAGTGCATATGAATATGGATCACACCCATCGCACTGTCACTCAGGGAAGTCAAGTCATCACAAGTGTAACACACTAGAGCACAAAAATGAAACCTAGATTTGTGCAATTTAAGAGATTACCTATTTCCTGCATTCTGCATTCCATGTCTCCCTGATCCATCCAGTTGGTGCCTTTACCATCCTTTCCATACATCCTAAATTCTTGCTGACATCACCTTTTCACGTTGCTCTCCACTCAGGTGTGACTTCCAACTCCTCTCTCACATAAACCCCACTTCTGTGCCGATGCAGTCCATGACATATCTTCTCTAACTAGACGCTCTGATGGAATGCCTCCATGATGAACTGGTCTGTTCCCTGCATTGAATACTTTCAGCAATCATACACAATTTTTAGTCAACAAACATATTTTAACCTATAGGGATCTAAAGGTAAGACATTATTTGTTTGAAGCTTTTAAAAAGGAAAAAAGAAATTATATTAAGCCGTGACTCTGAGTACTGATACTTTATTGCATAAAATATTGTGGGAAGGAGCTTGAGTAGTTGCTACCTGAATAGGCCTAGTGAGATCAGCAGGAAGGGGAAATTCCAGCAGAGGGCACATCATAAAGAGGAATGAAAGGGAATGGTGTAGCGGCAGGACTGGCAGATTCAGAAAGGCTGGCGAGCTGGCTAGAGAGGGCTCCCCAGACACATTAAGGGCGGACCCTGAAGGGCACGTGGGCCGTGCTACAGGCACAGGCTCTGGACAGGGCCCCAGTGAAGTTCTTTAAAGGACTGGTATAAACACATTTGATTTTCATGAAAATAACTCTCAGCAGCATAGAAGATGGACTGAACCAAGAAGAAGGCAACTTCATACACCAATACACTGAAAGCGTAATCAAAAGGTGATGAGGCCTGAATCAAGTAGTGGCGGTGGGAATGTAAAGAGTATTTCCAAGGTAGCACCATCACAGCTTTGCTAATAAAGTATACATTGTTTAGGAAACATTTGGTAAGTTCAACCTTTTCCAAACAATAGTTTACTGTCCTTGAAATCATCAGCGTCTTTCAACCCATCATGATTTCAAGATCCTAAACTTGACAGGACAATGTCACTAATTAAATTCTGATTCCACAAATCTCCTAATTGAAAAAGTCCTCTTTAATCTGTCCCCAAGAGTCTGCAATGAAAAGAATACCTGAGAAATGTCTTTACAAAATAGGTAAAATTCATTAGTTTGGAAAACAGACATTTTTCCTCTTTGGTAGCTTGTATAAAATAAGACATACTAATCTTCACTTTAAAATAATCAGTAAGTATCTCACCATTTTTTTTTTTTTTTGAGATGGAGTTTCGCTCTTGTTGCCCAGGCTGGAGTGCAATGGTGCGATCTCAGTTCACCACAACCTCCACCTCCTGGGTTCAAGCAATTCTCCTGCCTCAGCCTCCTGAGTAGCTGGGATTACAGGCATGTGCCACCACGCCCAGCTAATTTTGTATTTTTAGCAGAGACGGGGTTTCTCCATGTTGGTCAGGCTGGTCTTGAACTCTCGACCTCAGGTGATCCACCTGCCTCGGCCTCCCAAAGTGTTGGGATTACAGGAGTGAGCCACGGCGCTCAGCAGTATTGCACCATTTTCTTTGAAACTCAGACTCTCCGCTTCTAGGAGAGTTAGAGCCTAAACAAATTGAAGGTGGAGGGACTTAGGGGAAAAGATTTAACTTTCATCACATCCAAAGGCCCATGAGACACCATGCAAACAATGCGGACCAAATATCTATATTGGTGATATAGCAATAAGCATAACTAAGTAAAGTATATGAGTAATAAATGCTAAGAAAAAAGAGTAACGGGACTCACAGCGCTGGGGAGAGGGGCAGGTTGCAATTCTAAACAGGGTGGTCAGGATGGGCCTTGTGGCTGACCACCCAGGTGGGTCACATGTAAGCACAGATGTGGAAGGGGTCAGTCTCACGGATATTTTAGTTAACAGTGTTCCAAGCACAGAGAACGGCGAATGACTTAAGGTGGTACATACCTAACATGTCTGAGGGACATGAAGAATGTGGCTGGAGCCACGGGGACAAAGCGGAGAGGAGCAGTCTGCAGTTTAGGTTCGGAGAGTCAAGAAATCCTGTACTGATTCATTTCTCCTAAATTTGACTGTCAGGGAAAAAGGACTGCTACTTCCATTTTCTCAGCGGGCCTACCTAGTAGAGTGTCATAACAATTTAAGTCAGCAAGTATTCAAACATTGTTTATATGATGAATTCCAGAAGATTTTCACATATTCAAATTCCTACACCTGCTAGAATTTTGTTAGAATGACAAATCACTATCAACCCATTCTGAACCATAAGCAGGAAATGAAATGACGTTAACTGACTTTCTTAAGCGTAAACTAATTCGGCAGAAAGGAAAAGCGCAGAAACCTTCAGGACTTCTTAGTACAGGTACCTGGAATTTTGCGACGCAGATGAAAAACATGGGTGAGGGGAGTTTGAGGGATCTAAAGATGTGGATTCTGATCTCTCTTTTGGCTCTACCAACCTACATGATTCCAGACGTAGTCATGATTTCCCAGAAAAGGGTGACTACTACTTGAGAAACACTATCAGCATCCCAGTCGCCGACAGTCCTATGATAAGGGGCACTCAGGGGTCTGTTTTCTTGTCTGTCAAAATCAGTGGCTCGAATGGACCAGTCCTTCTTGATTATTTTCACTGACAAACCCTCCTTAATACCCTAAGAGGGTATTAAAGTACAAAATTCCTTGGTAATTCCTATTTTACCTTAAACATTTAAAGGAATTTCAGAATTCTACTTGATCATGTATCTGTATTTTAATCTAGAAACAACCACACCCTCACCCCAATCCCGAGTACAGCTGACTGTCCTGGACTCCAGCACTCCCCCACTGCACGCTTCCACAGCTCCCTCCACCCAGCGTAAGTGCTCTAGGGCAGACCAGCCCACCCAAGGTGCTGTGGCTTTTAAGAGGGGCCTCTTAGGGCAAGATTCTGATCAGCTCCGCTGGTGGAGGGCAGCAGGAGCACCCAGGCACCCAGTAGCAGCCTTCTTGCCACAGTTAAGCTCTTTGCAGCCAGGGACGCTGTCAGACTCACCACAGAGCCCCACTCCTAGCAATGCGCTGTCCAGGGCCTAGTTCCAGAAGGCCATCAAACTCAGAAGCATGAAAAGACACTGCTACAATCCACAGACCTTATTTTGATTTCTCCAGTTCTACAGGCACTCATTTGTGTGTGCTCAGTTCTATGCCATTTTACCACAAACAAATTCACATGACCAAAACAACACATACCTATTCCATCAGCACAAAGGTTCTGTGTGCCCCTTGGCAGGCACACTCTTCCCCATTCCACCCCTAACCACCGATCTGCTCTCCCTCTCGAGAATTCTCATCATTTCAAGAATGTTATATAAATGGAATCATGTACTATGTCATCATTGGAAACTGGATTGTTTTCACCCAGCGTAAGTCCTCTGAGAGCTACCCATGTTGTTACGTCAAGTTTCTTCCTTTTTATTGCTGAGTAGTATTCTGTGTTATGAATATACCATAGTTAACCACTTACCCACTGAAGGACATGTGGGTTGTTTCGAATCTGGGGCTACTACAGATAAAGCTGCTGTGAATATTCATGCACACACTTTTGTGTGGACATTATGACTGCATTTCTCTGGGATAAATGCCCAGGAGTGCAAGTGCTGGGTCATATAAGCTAAGTATACGTTCAGCTTTTTAAGAAACTGCCAAACTATTTTCCAGAGTGGCTATACCAGTTTACATTCCCACCACCCATATATGAGATCCAGCTTCTCTGCATTTTTAGGGTATTGTGATCTCTTTACTTTAGCTGTTTTAGTAGGCGTCTAGTGACATCCCACCACCATGATTTTAATTTGCATTTTCCTAATGGCTAATGAAGTTTTTTATATGTTCATAGGCTTATCTGCCATCTGTGTCATATCTTTTGCCCATTTCCTAACTGGGGTTTTTGTTTCTTTTTACTGTTACATTTTGAGAGTTCTATATATAGTCCAGATCTAAGTTCTTTGTCAGATATGTGGTTTACATTTTCTCCAAGTCTGTACTCATCTTTTTGTCCTCTTAACAGGGTGTTTTGAGGAGCAGAAGTTTTTTATTTCGATTTAGTATAAATTATTGATATTTTAAATGAATTGTGCTCTAGGTGTCATAGCTAAGAACTCTTCATCTAGCCTTACATCCTGAATTTTCTCCCATTTTCTTATGAAAGCTTTTACATTATGATCCATCTATGATCTATCTTCAGTTAACTTTTGTGTAAGGTGTGAGATTTCATTTTAAATTGCTTTGCACCTTTGTCAAAAAATCAGTTCACCATATTTTTACAAGTCTATTTCTAGATTATGTTCCACTGACTTATGTATTTATCCCTCTGCCACTACCACACTGTTTTGATTACTGTGGTTATGCATTAAGTTTTAAAACTAGGTAGAGTGATTCTTCTAGTTTTTATTTTCCAAGATCATTTTAGCCATTTTATTTTAGTTCCTTTGCCTTTCCACATAAAAGAATAAGCTTGTTTTTATCTACAAAAAAACTTCCTGAAATTCTGACAGAAATTGTGTTAGATCTTTAGGAACAATTTGACACTATGAGTCACTATAGATCTATAGAACAATTTGGGGAGGACTGATTCACTATGCTAAGTCTTCCAATCCATGAACATGGTAGGCCTTTTTCATTTATTTAGGTCATCTTTTGATTTCTTTTATCCATGTGTTTGGTGCTTTCAACATACAGATCCTATATGTATTTTGTTAGATTTATTCCAACATATTCCATTTTCTTAGAGCAACTGTAAACAACAATGTGTTTTTAATCTTGGTTTCCACGTGTTTGTTGTTAATATACAGGAATACAATTGGCTTCTGTATGCTGACCTTGTATCCCACAACCTCGTTTAACTCACTTATTAGTTCTAGGACATTGTTGGGTAGATTCTTTGCAATCTTCTACATGTCATCTGCTAATAAGGTCATTTTTATTTCTTCCCTTCCAACCTGTATGCCTTTTATTTCCTTTTCTTGACTTCATGTACTGGCTAGGATTCAGTACCTCAAGTTTATATGTATTTTTAATTTGTATGTTTAAATAATTTTAAAACTTACAGAAAAATTCCAAGCACAAAGAATTTTCTTCCCAAGTCATGACAGCAAGTTGCAAACATACCTGATTATTCCATTTTTTTATCTTCTACAATGACATAATCCTACTTACTCATAGTATAGCCATCGAAATTATAAAATTAACAGTGATACTTTACTAACCCAGACACCATTCAAGTTCTACCAACTGTCCCAATAATGTCCTTTAAACAAAAGGATACAATCTGTTCTTTCACGGTATTTTTTAACCTTTTGAAACTGTAAGTCAGTTGTTTTATAGTGTTCCTCCATTTGAGTTGTCAGATATCTATTTCCCTATAGATGAGTTCAGTTTGTATATTTTTGGCATGTTCATCTCAGAAAGATGCTAAGTATTCACTGCATCTTATCGGGTGGTTCAGGATTCTGACATGGTATATCTCATGACTGGTCATGACCACATATTTAAGGCTGGTGTTGGCCAGACTTCTCCAGTGTAGAGGTACTATTCCTCTTCTTATATTTAATAAGTATTTTGTAAAGGGATACTTCAAGATTATGTAAATACCTTGTTCTTCACCAAATTTTCACCCACCAACTTTAGTATCCATTTCAATATTTATTAGTTGGCAACCTATACAAAGGTAGAACTTTCCCTATCCCTCATTTATGTATTCATTTGTTTCTTTACATCAGTATAGACACATTAATTCCTATTTTATTCAATAGGTTGTAACCATTATTTATTTTCATGCTCAGATTATCCCAGGTTTGGCCAGTGGACTCAGCTTGGCTTCTACATCCTTCTGATATGTCTTCATCATTTTTTGGGCATGTCTTTATGTTCTGTCACTACAAGACATTCCAGGCTATTCTTACACTTTCCCTGTCGCAGACGTGGAACCAGCCATTTCTCCAAAGCTCTATTCTCCTCCTAGTGGAGAATAAAATTTGGTATCAAAAGCTAAGCATGCCCAATGGCTCATCAGCTATCGCTGCTCTCAAGATTTCCCAGTGGACAGGGATAAGAAATATAGGTATATACACATACCTATGTTCATATTTATCTGTGTATCTATACTCACTGAAAACCATGCATTCATACCTGGATACAGCAATGCTAACCCAATATTACAGGCTTCTTTTTCAAGGACATTACCACCTTTACTCACATGCCTTCCACATGTGGGCCCAACCCCAAGTGCTTTATAGATTTAATTATTCAGGGACAGAGAAAGAGAAACTTAATGATATCTTTAATACTCTCTTTACTACCCTATGACAAAACTATGTACAAGATTTTTGTCAGTCCAAAAAAAAAAAAAGTTTCATCTGTTAAGGAATTCACAATGTAATAGGACAGAAAGGTGAATGCGGGAAATTGGTGAGAAAGAGATGAACAGGGGCAAGAAATGAAGCATACAAGAAATAGACCAAAGTAATCTAATGCAACCCTCTATAATTCATTCACAAATATTCTCTAGAAGATCTGACAGTGAGAAGATCCACCCTCTGCGTGAATACCTCCAATAACAAGTGTACTAGTTCAGAGGGTTCGTTTGTAGGTTTAAAACAGCTCTTAAGAGCTAATGCTAACCTGATATTCACCAGTGCTATTATTCGCTCATGAACCCTAGTTCTATATTTTGGGCTTAACACAGGATAAAGAACTCTTTTTTCCATGTAAAAGTTCAGGTATCTAAAGTCAGCTATCATGCTGCTCTGTTTAGGTTTTCTCTTTCCCTGTCTAATCAATGCTAGCTTCTTCTCTAAGAGTTCTAGTTCTTCTTCCTTGGAACCACTCCAGTGCATCAATAGCCCGCAGGAATAAATTATTAACATCATAAATAGCTTTGATTTGGCTTTGATTAAAATTAAAGATTTTTTTTTTTTTTTTTGAGAGGGAGTTTTTTTTCGCTCTTGTTGCCCAGGCTGGAATGCAATGGCGCAATCTCGGCTCACTGTCACCTCCACCTCCCAGGTTCAAACAATTCTCCTGCCTCAGCCTCCCAAGTAGCTGGGATTACAGATGCCAGCCACCACGCCCAACTAATTTTGTATTTTTAGTAGAGACGGGGTTTCACCATGTTGACCTCAGGTGATCCACCCACCTCTGCCTCCTAAAGTGCTGGGATTACAGGCATAAGCCACTGCACTAGGCCAAAACTGAATATTTAAAAAAAAAAAAAAAAAATTGAAGATAGAACTAAAGACCCTAACAGTGAGTGAGAAAATCTTTTAGTAAAAAAGCTGTCAACAACGGATTTTGAGAAGGTAAAGCACTACACTGACATCTGGTCTTTATTTTCAAACTTTAATGGGATAAGAAAAAATGTTAGCAAATATTTACATAATAGTTACCATAAAATTTAACTTAAATCTATACTTATTCGGATTATTATTATAGAACTAAGTTTTTATCTAAATCTGCTATTACTAAGAAAGATGACAAGCACTTTCTGGTAAGTTTAAAGGTTTCTTTTTAATGATTTGAAGGTCTATCATCTTATAATTCTAAGACTATCAAAATGTTTCTTAATAATTCTTTGACTTGTCTGCACATTTCTAGAGGGGTTATCTACGAAGCAATTCGTATCATCTATAGTGGTGATGGTTTTAAAATATGTCCACAATTCACTGATACTTCCTCCATCAAACTAATAAGAGTATTAAGTACCCTCTCCTTGAACATGCATGGCCTTAGTGAGTTACTTCTCAAACGGAATGTTGTGGAAGTTGTATGTGACTTCTAAGGCTAGGTCACAAAAGGCAATGAAGCTTCTGCCTTGCTCTCTAAGAATGCTCACTCTTGAAACTCAGTTGCCTTGTGATAAAGTCCAGGTCTCATAGAGATGCCTTGTGTAGGTGTTCCTGGTGACAGCCCAGTTGAGGTCACAGTCAACAAGAGTAAAGAAGTTGCTTCTTCAAGGTGACTCCAGCCCCAGCCCCCATTTGAAATGCAATTACACAAAAGACCTTGAGCAAGAATCACCTATGTGGGGTTAGTCAACCCCTAGATTTGTGAACATAATAAATGTCTCCTATTGTTTTAAGCCACTGTTTTGGGGTGGTTTGTTATATAGCAACAGATAAAACTTTTATACTTTTATTCCTCTTACTGAACCTTCCTGCTTTGGCTATGAAAGTTCTATAGTGGCCTCATAAACAGATTAAAAGACAGTTAATTTATTTCTTTCCAATCCTTATGGCTTTTATTTCTCATTCTTGCTTACTGTACTAACTAGGACCTAGAGTATAAGGTCAGGGAGACAGAAGTATAATGTTAAGTATAAGTGGTAAGAATGAACACACTTACCTTGTTCCCAATATTTTTTTAAAACAATGCTTTCATCATGTCATCATTATGAGTGATGTTGTTGCAGTTATCTCTTAGAAATCTTAGAAGTTCCCTTCTATTTCTAGCTTGCTATGTGTCATTTTTAATCCTCAGCAAGGACTTTAAATAATCTTTCCACACTTATTGAGATAATCATATGGCTCTTTCTCCTTTGTTACTGTGGTGAATTATAAAATAATCTAGGCCGGGTGCAGAAGCTCACGCCTGTAATCCCAGCACTTTGGGAGGCCGAGGCAGATGGATCACCTGAGGTCAGGAGCTCGAGACCAGCCTGACAAACATGGTGAAACCCCATCTCTACTGAAAATACAAAAATTAGCCAGACATGGCGGCTAACGCCTGTAATACAAACTACTTGGGAGGCTGAGGCAGGAGAATTGCTTGAACCCGGGAGGTGGAGGTTGCAGTGAGCCAAGATCGTGCCACCGCACTCCAGCCTAAGCAACAAGAGCGAAACCCTGTCTCAAAAAATAAATAAATAAAAAATAAAAAAGGTATTCTAATGTTAGCTACCCTTACATTCCTGAAATAAACTTAATGTGAACATAATGTATTATCTTTTTAATACATTGCTATATTCAGTTTGCTAATCCTTTGTTAGGATTTCTACATCTATATTCACTTGCATTATTATGAAACATACCGGTAAAACCAGCTGGCCCAGTGTTTTCTTTGTGGATTTTGTTTATTAATGTCTTTAAGTGGACTCTTCAGACTCTACTTCTGCTTGAGTCAGTTTTGGTAAATTATGTTTTTCTAGGAATCTGTTCCATTTTTTCTAAAAAATCATATTTACTGCCATAAAATTGTTGGCAGTATTCAATTCACGCTTTCTTTGTATACCTGTATTTATGTGCCCACTCTTTCTCCTGATATTGTTTATATGCACCTTCTTTCTTTCTTGTTTGATTGATCGTGCTCGATCTTGACAGAGTTGATCAGTCTTACCGAGGCTAACATTTAGTTTAGTTGGTCCCTTGTGCTGTAACTGTGATTTCTATTTCTGCTCCTTTGTTGTTGTTACTTCTTTCTGCTTTTTTTTTCTCATTCTCTTATTTTTACTCTAAATTAGGTTAGACAGCACATTAATTTTAACTTTCATCTTAAAATACTGGGCTAGGCACAGTGGCTCATGCCTGTAATCCTAGCACTTTGGAAGGCCGAGGCAGGCAGATCACTTAAGGTCAGGAGTTTGAGACCAGCCTGGCCAACACAGTGAAACTGTCTCTACTAAAAAACACAAAATTAGCCAGGCCTGGTGGCACGTGCCTGTACTCCCAGCTACTCGAGGGGCTGAGGCAGGAGAATTGCTTGAACTCGAGAGGCAGAGGCTGCAGTGAGCTGAGATCACACCCCTGCACTCCAGCCTAGGCAACAGAGCAAGACTCCATCTAAAAAATAATAAATAAAATATAATATAAATATTTAAGACAATATATTTTCATTGCAGTACTGTTTTAGCTCCTTTACACAAGTTTTGATAAGCAGTATTTTATATATTGTTTATTTTTAAGTTTCCATTATAATTTTGTCTTGACCCACGATTTAGAAATGTTAAAACTTCCAAATTTATGGAAATGTTTATCTTTTTATTAATAACCTATATTTTAATTGCATTAAGATAAAAAATTATGAGCTATAAGATAGGAATTTTTTTTTTTTGAGACAGAGTTTCGCTCTCGTTGCCCAGGCTGGAGTGCAGTGGCACAATCTTGGCTCACCGCAACCTCTGCCTCCCGGATTCAAGCAATTCTCCTGCCTCAGCCTCCTGAGTAGCTGAGATTACAGGCATGCACCACTATGCCTGGCTAATCTTTGTATTTTTAGTAGAGACGAGGTTTCTCCATGTTGGTCAGGCTGGTCTCAAACTCCCGACCTCAGGTGATCCACCCACCTAGGCCTCCCAAAGTGCTGGGATTACAGGCGTGAGCCACAGCGCCCAGCCAGGCATTCTTAAATTTTAAGATTTACTTGACAGCCTAGTCAATGGTCCATTTTTTACAAATAGACCATGTCAGTCCTAGAAAAATGTGCATTTTCTAATTGCTGGATATAGGGTTCTATGTATTTTTCTTCTTATATTAAGGTTAATAATATTATATAGGCCGGGCGCGGTGGCTCACGCCTGTAATCCCAGCACTTTGGGAGGCCGAGGCGGGTGGATCATGAGGTCAGGAGATCGAGACCATCCTGGCTAACAAGGTGAAACCCCGTCTCTACTAAAAATACAAAAAATTAGCCGGGCGCGGTGGCGGGCGCCTGTAGTCCCAGCTACTCGGGAGGCTGAGGCAGGAGAATGGCGTGAACCCGGGAGGCGGAGCTTGCAGTGAGCCGAGATTGCGCCACTGCAGTCCGCAGTCCGGCCTGGGCGACAGAGCGAGACTCCGTCTCAAAAAAAAAAAAAAAAAAAGAAAAAAGAATAATATTATATAAATCTATTTCTTTACAAATATCTTGTCTTATTAAGAAGCCCATGAACATGGATTTGTCAATTTCTCCCCAAAATTCTATTCATTTTTGCTTAATACATCTTGGGGCTACTTTATTAGCTGCATACAAATCTCAGAGCTGATACTGACATCTGCATTCAAAGTAGTTATGCCATTTGCTAAGATCATGCAGGGAGCGTGCCGAAAGCATAGAAGTTTTCCCTTCCTTCTTCCCCCTCTAGTAACTCATTTAAAAAGTATGTTTATTTGAGAATCTTTTTGTTTTGTAGAGCAACAAACCATGGACTATGTAACCTGACACTACCAGAATCATGAGTCTCTGTGTTAATTTCCTTTAAAATCTGACTGTTTCACATGGATGAACCTTGAAGACAGTATGTCAAATGAAATAAACCAGTCGCAGAAAGACAAATACTGCATGATTACACATATATTTAGTGTCTAAAGTAATCAAACTCATAGAAACAGAAAGCAGAATGCTGGCTGCCAGGGGCTGGGGGAAGAGGAAGATAGGGAGTTTTTCAATGGATTTAGAGTTTCAGTTATACAAGATGGAAAAGTTCCAGAAATCTATTGTACAACAATGTGCATACAGTTAACAATACTGTTAATATACACCTACAAGAAATTTATGGTATGGGTTTTTAACACACACACACACACACACACACACACACACACACACAGATTGTTTCATGGCCAGTGAAAAGACATGACAGTTGACTCAATTGCTGGCACTCCCTTTTAGACCAAATAGTAAACTGGGATTTCTACCTGTACTGCAAATAGGAAGATCTCAAAATTTGGTGGTAGTCTCTAATAGTATAAAGACGTTTCCCAAAGTAACCATTACAAGCTACTCTCTTTTCAAACAACGAAGTTCTTGTCCATCTCTTCTACAATGTCTCACAGTTAACTGAGACAACTGAGGCATCTCTAGGTTGTAGCAGATTATGGACCTCTTCAAATCCTTTCAATTTTCTTCCTTTTTTGAGACAAGGTCTCACATTGCTCAGGCTGGAGTGCAGTGGCACAATCACAGCTCACTGTAGTCTCAAATTCCTGGGCTCAAGCGATCCTCCCTCCTCGGCCTCCCAAAGCGTTGGGACTACAATCATGAGCTGCTGCACCCAGCCCAAATTCTTCCTAATTTAAAATATCCTTTTTCCTTTATGTTTCTCGTATTCAGAACTCCAAATGTAGTTTCCATATGTCAGTCTGAGGAGTGGTGCCATAGTGAGTGTAAAAGAATCATGTTAAGATTGTTTAAAAATAAACATTTCCAGACCGGCTGAATCCAAATCTAGAAAAGAAAGATCTGGGACTCTGAATTTTTAAAAAATTCTTTTTCCATTCCCCTTTATTTACCTAGTTCAGGCTACCATTCTTTTTCTTAAAAGCCATCCCTGCCTCCTTGGGCAGAGCCTCTTCTCAGCTCCATCAATGCACTGTCATATCTTACAATATCTGTAACATGCTTATGTGTTAATCTCCTCAAGTATACCATAAATTATTCGATACATAGCATAGTATCAAACATGTAGCTGGTTTTCAACAAATGTTTTCTGAACCAAATCAGCAACTGTCAAGTACTATGTATAGAAATGCATTTAAAAAATTTTTTAGAGACAGTCTTGCTCTGTCACCCAAGCTGGAGTGCACTGGTGCCATTGCAACTCACTGCAGCTTTGAATTAGTGGTCTCAAGTGATCCTCCTGCCCCAGCCTCCCAAATAGCTGGGACTACAGGCATGCATCACCACGTCCCAGCTAATTAAAAAAAAGTTCTGTGTAGAGATGTTGCCCAGGCTGGTCTCAAACTCCTGGCCTTAAGCAATCCTCCTACCTCAGCTTTCCAAAGTGTTGGGATTATAAGCATGAGCCACAGCACCCAGCCAGAAACACATTTTTAAATTACATAATGACTATCAGTTGGAAAAGGTACAGCAACACCATCCCAGCTTTTAAAAAATACACATTCCTGAGCCCCTCTGGACTTAGTGAACGAGAACCACCACCTCCACTGGATGAGAATACCACTCACGGGAAAGAGGTTGTTGAGCTGGTATTTGCAGAAGGAGAACTTTGATTGAGATGGGTCAGAGAGAGGAGGGGAAGAATATTTCAAAAAGGGAATGACATATTTGAAGCCACTGAGGTATTAAAAACCAGTCACGCTAGAAGAACTCCAAGTGATTCAGTTTTACTGAAATGAATAATTTCTAGGAAAATGGGTAGAAAAGATTTAGAGAGGTGTGTAAAGGGGTCAATCTCCAAAAAGCCCAGTATGATAATGCTAAAGAAGTTTAACTTTTTCATAAAAATTGTGCAGCACTATTAGAGAGGAGAGTGGAAAACACACTTGCATTATACAAAGATTACTCCAGATACCATGAAAATGGACTGAAGTGGGAACAGAAGGGAAACAAGGAGATGGGTTTGGAGGCTACTGTAATGACGAGGAAAAGCGTAGTAGGGCCTGAACCAAGCCAATGTGAACAGAGAAGAAAACAGATTTGAAATACATTACGGAGGCTGAGCACGGTGCCTCACACCTGTAATCCCAACACATCAGGAGGTCGAGGCAGGTGGACTACATGAGTCCAGGAGTTTGAGACCAGCCTGGGCAACATGACGAAACCCCATCTCTACAAAAAATCTAAAAAACTAGCTCAGCATGGTGGCATGCACCTGTAGTCCCAGCTACTCAGGAGGCTGAGGTGGGAGGATCACCTGAGCCTGGGAGGCGGAGGTTGCAGTGAGCCGAGACGGTGCCACTGCACTCCAGCCTGAGTGACAGAGCCAGACCCTGTCTTGAAAAAAAAAAAAAAAGAAAAAAGAAAAAGAAATAGGAATACATCATGGAAATGGAAATTAGTATTAGTGACGTGGGAAATGAATGAGGGAAGAATCTGTTTCTGGCTTCAGAAAATGTGTAAATAACGGCACCACTTATAAACATGGGGAAAAGGAGAAAAGGCAGGTGTGGGGCTAAGGCCAGTGAAGTGTGTCAGGGAGGAACACTCACTCAGTGTATACTGAGTCTGAGGTGGCTACAGGACACCCAGACAGAGATGATGACTTGGATACACAGACCTGTAGACAGAAAAGTCCACGACTGCAGATGAGATTTGGGGTTATAAGCAGAGATGGAAACTAGGCCCACAGCAGATGAGATCATTCATCCAAGTGTTACAGTGAGAAGGAGAGAGAAACAGACTCCTGAAGAAATAAAGGCAAAGTGAGGAGGAGACACCCTGAAAATAGGGGAGGGGCCAAAGAGGAAAATCAGAAAAATTACGGGGTTAGGAAAAAAGGCACGGTCGGCTGGGCACAGTGGCTCACACTTGTAATCCTAGTACTTTGAGAGGCCGAGGTGGGCCAATCACTTGAGATCAGGAGTTCGAGACCAGCCCAGCCAACATGGTGAAACCCTGTTTCTACTAAAATTACAAAAATTAGCCAGGCGTCATGGCTCGTGCCTGTAATCCCAGCTACTCGGGAGGCTGAAGCAGGAGAATAATGTCAAAAGTCACAGAGAAGGAAACCAGTGGAAAGTCTCTCATTGCATTTGACAACTACAGCTACAGTGCTTTTAGAATAAGTTTCAGTGGGGAGGCTGGAGAAGAAGCATGGGCTGAAGTGTGCATGGTGGGGAGGGTGGAGAGACAAATGGCACATTGATTCTTTTAAGCCTGTGTACAGGTAAGAAATGTCCATCCATGTAGGTAAGAAAGGAAGTGGGGGCTGGGGTAGGATATAAGGGTTGAGACAAAAGAGAGCGAACCATATTTATACAAAAGAGAAGAAGTTATGAGATAGAAAGAGGCTGAAAACACACAAAAAGCAGTGATGATGAAGAGCAGGGCCCATGAGGAGGATGGGGACGAAGGATTCGGCTAGGACAGAGGGAGGGGAGGCTTCTCTCCTGGGACTTTAGGGAAGGATAGGGGCAAAAGAAAGTGAGTTTCCAGGTGATAGAACATGAAGCTAAGGTGGTGTTTCCTGATTTTTACAATTTTTATCTGTAGAATTGAAAGCAGGACGATATCCTGAGCATGGTGAGGAGCTCTGAGAGATAATTTACTCGGTGCAGAGCTGGAACACGGTGGCAGTGGGGCAGACGAGGGCATGAGGACAGCAAGGCAACCCCAAGCCCACCTAACACTGGAGTCCACCCAAGGCACACGCTCATTTGCCCAAAGTGCAGAGAGGATGAATGACTGATTTTTCCTAAGTTGGAGCTTCACAAAATGGTGGAATTAAAAAATCCAGAGTTATTTTTTAAATATAAAAACAACAAGAAAGTTATTAATAGTTAGGTTAGAGGACAAAGTAATATGCTTCACTACATTTTTTAATCGAAATTTCAATTCAATACATTTCCAACTTCACAATACATGAAAAAGTCAACTAAAGATCCTGCTGAAGTCAAAGAGCAGGTACAGTGGGAGTAAGCAAGTGAAAGCTGGAATGACAGAAAGTAGCCCTCAAGGCAGCAGAGTTTCAGATTTCAGAGGTGAAGATGACTAAAGGTCAATGTCAGCGGAGCTGAACAGGTCTAGGAACTCTAGCGCAATGAGCCGTAGTTCTTTCCCAGAGACATGAAGTCACCCAGGATGAGGAAGGTGGGAAGGAGAGGGTAAGGAGAAAGACAGTGAATGACTGAAGTCAGGAGAGGAGAGGTGCCAAGGCGGTGTGGGGATGTGCTGGCCAGCACAAGCCTTGGAAGAGATCATTTCCATTTGCAGGCTGAAGCATATTGGCTCAGACTAGAAAATCCTGTGGCTACGTGAGAAGCAAGAATGAGCAGTCTCTTTCTGAGAGATCAGGAGAACATGGCTTACTAGGGAGGCATGTGTGGGGAGGGAGGGGGCAAAGAAGAAGAAGAGTAAGGAGAACATGCACTGGGGGCTGCTCCCAGCAGAGCACAGCTCCAGAGGACAACCACTGCATGGTCCGCAGGAGGGAAGCTTGGTTCTCTCAAGGCTAAGTGCTTTTCAATGAGAAGGCATACAGGAAGAGCCTGGTCCCAATGATGATGGAGGGAGGCCTGATAACGCATATTTTAAAGAGTCTCCCTGCAGCCTTCAACTGCAGGTATACAACATAAGTCTAAAAGCTGAGGAGAAAAATCATAAGTTTTATTGATGTATATACTTGAGGATAACTTAAGTTGCAAATGTTTTTACTTTAAAATAAAACATCTCAATTCCAGTTAAAATAAAATTATCAGCTGGGCATGGTGGCTCATGACTGTAATCCCAGCACTTTGGGAGACTGAAGCAGGCGGATCACTTGAGGTAAGGAGTTCAAGACCAGCCTGGCCAACATGGTGCAACTCCATCTCTACTAAAAATACAAAAATAAGCCGGGCATGGTGGTGCACACCTGTAATCCCAGCTACTTGGGAGGCTGAGGCAGGAGAATCGCTTGAATCCAGGAGGCAGGGGTTTGCAGTAAGCCAAGATCACGCCACTGCACTCCAGCCTGGGTAACAGAGTGAGACACCATCTCAAAAAAAAAAAAAAAAAAATCCCATTTAGATCAATTCGATAAAACTAATTAGGGGACTCAAATGTAGTGTAGTGCATCCAATAATTGCAATTACAACAAATATATAAAAATTAAAGGCAACACCAGGTTAGGGAAGGAGGATCCAAGCAAGGAGACTGTGGCCCCAGAAAGGCAGTGCAAGTGACCCTGTGATGGGAATGCTCCACTGGTTTGCATCTAGACTGTGGTGGTGATTCCAGGAATCTACACGTGATAAAACTGCACAGAACTTACACGCACACACAAATGAGTGCATGTAAAACTGGTGAAACCTGGATGGACTGTATTGTTTCAGGTTCCCAGGTGTGATATTGGACTGTAGTTATGCAAGATGTTACCACTGGGGGAAACTAGGTGAGGGGTATACTCGATCTTTCTGTATTATTTCTCAACTGCATCCAAATCTACAATTTTCAAAATCAAAAGTTTTTAAAAAATTAAAGGCATCAAAGCAAGGTGTACAACTGGAAAATACTGTCTTCAAAACTCATGGTAACATTAGAGAATTATTCTCTGTAGCTCAGTGATTCTCAATCAGAGATTTGGAGGCAGGGGAAGGGCACCTAAGTATCAGAATTACTGCCCACACCCGCTATTCCCTGAACGCACACCCACACTGGAACTGCCACCGTGATGAGCCACCTGTTTCAGAGGAAGTGGGTCAAATCTTCAAGTGTGCTGCAACTGAAGAAAATGGAAAACCACTCTTCTAGCTACTTGTCTTTAAGAACACTTCTAACTGGTAGTAAAGAAAAAAGCATTAAGAGAAACATAGTATTTAATAGTAATTTATAACAAACATGAAAGATTTTCAGAGACTGCTTCTCATTTGATTTGCCCAAAATCAGCCAATACACCCTTCTTGGAAATGTATTTGGTCAACATAAGAAAAACATTCTATTCATGTAAGAATAAAAATAAGGATTTTTTTCCAGTAACTGATGGATTTTTCAGTGGTACATCCAGACCCTAAATATCTTATCTATAACCAATGACTACAATGTATATAAAGGTATACAGTCTGTGTCCTTGAACAGTGAAATGGTTCAACCTACACAGGAGATCTTAGCAGGCAGCACCATACCCTAGTCAACAGGCGAACAATCAGTAACAAGCAAAAACCAGAATGTGATCAATCTGATACTGTTTTTCAAGTCCCTACCAACAGGGAGCCCTAAAGAGAAAACCTATGTTTAGCCCACTAAAGTCAAACATAGGGAAATATGCTGAAGCACGAAGGAGGCCCAATTTAATATCTGAATAAGCTGCATGAATCAGAACAAAAAATAAAATCACCGCATGATGATGAATACACCAAAGAACTCTAGTATTATAATTGTTCACACAATTGTGTGCGTCTGTGTGTGTATACATCATAATCTAAATGTCCAACAACAGGGAACTTATGCAAAAGAGTGGTATATCCAAAGCCACTGTCAAAGCAATTAAAAATTGTTTATAATAAAAAAAAGTTTACAATGTACTGCTAAGAAAAGAGCTACAAATGAGTATGTGGCAAGATTCTAATTTTCCGTTTAAAGTACATGTTTATTTTTAAAAACTCCAAAGAATATAAACCCAAGTTATTATTTATTTTTAAATAAGTTTGTTCCTTATACTCTTCTCTGTTTTCTAAGTTTTCTACAGCGAGTACATACTACTCTTATAACTTGGGGAAGGAAAAAAACCAAACTACACCAATAACTATTTTAAGCAAAACTTACAAAGGGGATGGAATGATATGAAAAGGAAATACATATGGATATTATATAGACATCTATAATTACAATTATTTTAAAGAAAGGAAAACTGTGCATAAGAAAAACAGGTTGTGGGAAATACACCAAAATAATGGTGCCTATGTTTGAAGGATGAAATAATTATGGGTAATTATTTTTCCTTCCACTATTCTACACCTTTAAATTCTTAAAGAACGTGTCTTACGTAAATAGGAAAAAAATTACTGTATTTATCAACACTGACCCCAAGCCCTCCTTTTCACTACATCCTGCCTCCTAAAACAAACCAAAAAATACACATGCACACAAACCCACAAGTACTTACATGGGCTTACATCTCTGTATCTGTTTCGATTTCTGTTTTCTGGAAACTTGGCCACTCTATGAGGATAGTCATGGGACTCATTTCGAATTTCCTTAAAATAACAAAAATATATTTTAATATCCCTCTTAAATTCTCCACAGCAAAACTTATCTTCCCAGCCAGCGTAAAATAACATGAAGCACTTATGATATGCCAAGTACTATGGAAAGCACATTGTTTACATCAATTAATCATTTAATCCTCACAATACTAATGGAAACGATTTTCTTCCCCATTATATCTGTGAGGGATGAAAGGCTTTCAAAGGTTAAAAATCCACCAAAGATCCCATAGCTAGTAAGTGGCAGTCCCAGCATTGAACCAAGGTCCTTCAGATGCCAAAGTCTGTGCTCTAGATCTGTTTACTTACTGCTAATTAGGCTCTATTCAACACCTACAAGCAAGCATCAAACACTTTATGAAGCAGAATTAATGCAATGGAGGTATCTATGGTCAGCCACATCATATTCAAATTCTGACTAAAACTCACAGCATCTACCTAAATTTTGGAGTTTCTACCTGAAAATATTTATTTCTTCATGTTCACGCTATTTAACTGTTACTTTATTTTGAACCCAGAAATATCCTCAAATTTTATTTCTATCATGTTTGTCATTACTTCTCCTTAAAAAAAAAATTATTTCTAGAGCCATAAATGTTCAGCAACAAGCCTGGCGCAGTGGCTAACGCCTGTAATCCCAACACTTTGGGAGGCCGAGGCAGGCGGATTCCCTGAGGTCAGGAGTTTGAGACGAGCCTGGCCAACATTGTGAAAACCCAGCTCTATTAAAAATACAAAAATTTGGCCAGGTGTGGTGGCTCACACCTGTAATACCAGCGCTTTGGGAGGCCGAGGCGGGGAATCACCTGAGGTCAGGAGTTTGAGACCAACCTGGCCAACAAAGCGAAACCCCGTCTCTACTAAATATACAAAAAATCAGCTAGGCGTGGTGATGGGTGCCTGTAATCCCAGCTACTCGGGAGGCTGAGGCAGAAGAATTGCTTGAACCCGGGAGGTGGAGGTTACAGTGAGCCAAGATCGTGCCATTGCACTCCAGTCTGGGCGACAGAGTGAGACTCTATAAAAAAAAACCCCAAAAAAATACAAAAATTAGGCTGTGCGCGGTGGCTCATGCCTGTAATCCCAGCACTTTGGGAGGCCGAGGTGGGTGGATCACGAGGTCAGGAGTTCAAGACCAGCCTGGCCAGGATGGTGAAACCTCGTCTCTACTGAAACTACAAAAATTAGCCAGGCGCGATGGCAGGCACCTGTAATCCCAGCTACTCGGGAGGCTGAGGCAGGAGAATCGCTTGAAACCGGGTGGCTGAGGTTGCAGTGAGCCGAGGTCGTACCACTGTACTCTAGCCTGGGTGACAGAGTGAGGCGGAAAAAGCAAAACAAAACAAAAATTAGCCAAGCCTGGTGACGAGCGCCTGTAATCCCAGCTACTCAGGAGGCTGAGGCATGAGAATCGCTTAAACCCAGGAGGCGGAGGCTGCAGTGAGCTGAGATTGCGCCACTGCAACAACCAGCAGGCCTGAGGCTCATCCTAGGCGCCTTCGGGTTCTCTGCATTTCAACATAGAAGACATTCTGTAAGGCTATGTCCGCACTAAGCTCTCACTACTGATGTATCCAGAATGGCCAGGTTTGATCTCCCAGGAAACAGTGTTCTAAGAATTCAAGTAAATACAGAAATGTAACAGAAACCAAAAAAAAAGCATTTTAATAGGAAAAATTAAATTATGCTTTTGCTCACATTATTACATGTAAGAAAAAGCATTTTAAAAGTTAGGTGCCATTTTGTTTATTTGTTTTTATAGACATAGGGTCTCACTTTTTGCCCAGGCTGTTCTCGAACACCTGGGCTCAAGTCATCTACCTGCCTCAGCCTCCCAAAGTGCTAGGATTACAGGTTTGAGCCAACACCATCAGCCGAGTATCTGAAGTTTTTATTTATGAAACATGATGCACAAATTTCTAATATGAAACTTCTCCATTTTTCTGGAAGTGAATGGACTGGTAAGTACTTTTGCAAGATATAAGACACTGTTATTAGCCTGCACGTGGAAGAGAAATTTAATTTTATCCCTTCCAAATGGAAAGTTAATTGACTTAATACCATTTATTGGTTTCTGCATTTATCAGTAACACCTGCTCTATCATAAACCAAGTTTCAGCACACGCAGGAGTCTGTTTCTAGATCCTCATTCTACTTCACAGAAGCATTTGCTTGCCCTTGAGACAGTATCAAATTTTAGTTACTACAGCTTTGTAATCAATGCATCTGGAAGGCAAGTTGTCCCCTATTTATTCTCCCCATTTGCATTGCCGTTCATGATATTTTAATTAATTTTGTAGTTTTCTTCATAAAGGTATGCTAAAGGTTAGCATAAATGTATAATAAAGGTTTATTCTTAGATACCTGATAAGTTTTGTCGCTACTGTAAATGGGATTAAAACAACAACAACAACAAAAACCTATTGACCATTACTAGTGTATAGGAAAGATATAGATTTGCAGGGAGGGGAGGCTTAAAACAACAGGCAGAGCAGGACTCCCTCCACTTCTTCCACTTCTGTGATACACACACACCCATTTTCCACACTTAAGGCCATCTGTCAGGTGCAGATTTCTATTTTTAGCCCAGAGAAACACACTTCTTTGTGTGCACTATACAAAAGAGGGTAAGGCCCCCAGTATAGTAGTAGGGAGATTTAAAATTTACAAAACACAATACAACAGCCAAGTTCTTGGGGTTAAGAAATACATTCATAACATAAATACATTTTCTCAGCTAATAAGATCTCTTGCATTGAGTCCATTCTTTCAAATCTCCAATATTGTTCTACTTTATAAAAAAAATTTCAGTGAACTTACAAGAACCAATATTTCAAAAAGCAGCTCCCAAAGGTGCATATTAGCGTTTATTCCAATATCCTCTTTCTCTTTCTTTTTTTTTTTTTGTTTTTTGAGGCAGAGTCTTACTCTGTTGCCCAGGCTGGAGTGCAGTGGTGCAATCTCAGCTCACTGCAACCTCCACCTCCCGGGTTCAAGAGATTCTCCTGTCTCAGCCTCTTGAGTAGCTGGGATTACAGGCATGCGCCACCATGCCTGGCTAATTTTTGTATTTCTAGTAGGGACGGAGTTTCACTATGTTGGCCAGGCTGGTCTTGAATTCCTGACCTTAAGTGATCCGCCCGCCTCAGCCTCCCAAAGTGCTGGAATTACAGGCGTGAGCCACTGCACCCAGCCCCAATATCCTTTCTTTCTTACTAAAGGTAACTGCTTTTGTTTTCAGACCACAATGAGCCCAGCTGAAAACTATTTGTCCCAGCCTCTAAGGTCCTGTGACAGTCTGGCCAATGGGAATAAGCAGAAACCACTGGGTTGGGGCTGCAGGAAAACGCTGACAAAGAGGACTGGCTCCAGGTACCTTTGTCCTCACTGCTGCCTGCCTGGAACATAGGTTTTGCTGCCGGGGGTGAGGGGTGGGAACAGGCAGGAGCCATCCTGTGACAGCAAGGTAAAATGCACATTCCTAAGAAAGGTAAGCAGAAATACCAGCATTGAGTCATGGGTGACATCAAGAAGCCACAGTAACAGCCCTTAAGTCTCTCTCCAGAATTCATATCACATGAGAAACATAAACTCCTGGTTGTTAAATCAGCTATTGATTAATTTTCTTTCCCATGTAGCTAAATCAGGTCTGTAATATACGCAGCAAAACCAAATCTCAACAGCAACTAGATCTGACACTGATGAGGCATTTTCAGGAATACCCAAGACACAAAAATAAACAATTTTATAAGCACATTGCATAAGCAATAAAATATACAGTATCTGTCTAAATGGCATTAGGAAAGCAGACAGCTGAGCTATTCACTAGGTCTATCACATAAGGCAAAGCCAGCTCTACTTGTGTTCTGGAGCTAAAACCTTCCCCTTCTATCACAGATTCCGAATGTTTCCTCTGGGCACAGTGGCTCACACCTGCAATCCTGGTGCTTTGGGAGGCCCAGCTGGAAGGATCACTTGAGGGTAGGAGTTTGAGACCAGCCTGGGCAACACAGTAAGACACCAGCTCTGCCAAAAAATTTTTTTAATTAGCTGGGGATGGTGGTGTGCATGTGTAGTTCCAGCTTCTTGGGAGGCAGAGACAGGAGGATTGCTTGAACTCAGGAGTTCAAGACTGCAGTGAGCTAGCATCCTGCTACTGCACTCTAGCCTGGGCAACAGAGTAAGGCCCTGTTAAAAAAAAAAAAGTTTCCCATCAGCAGTGAAACCTGTTAATCCAAGGTTTCTCAGCCTCAGCACTACTGACATTTTAGGCTAGCTAATTTTTTTTGGGGGGGGGGGGGCAAGTGGGGACTGTCTTGTGTATTGCAGGATGTTTAGCAGCAGCATCCCTGGCCTCTACCCATTAGATGTCAGTGGCACCCCTCCCTGCATCTGTAACAACCAAAACTCTCTCCAGGCATTGCCAAATGTCCTTCCACAGCAAAATCCATCATGAACATATCCCCCACCAACACAGTAGAGAACCACCGTTCTCATTTAATACCAAACTAGATCTAAATGGCAAGGATCTTTGCTTTAAAGTATAATTTAACCAAAAATTTTAAATCTAATTATTTTTAATATGATTTTTGCTCAAAAAAAGCAAGGAATAATTGAGTCACTAGTTAATTTCTTTCTTAGTGGCAATGATCCAAAATGTAGGCAACTCATAGCACAAAGATATCTTTCACAGTTACTTATAATGTTGAAAGGCTTTAAATAAACTAAATGTCTAATGACAAAGAAAAGACTGGTTGAATAAATCGTGGTACATCCAAGTGAATATCATGCAGCTCTTTTAAAAACAGGCCCTCATACCAAATTGGCAGTAGCATAAACTCACAATCTCTTGGAAAGATAATATATGACATAAACAAAGGAAAAACAAATCAGTAAATGGAACTGAGCTATTATTAATACACGCTATTTGGTAAAAAAAAAAAAAAAAAATTCCACTTAGCTCCTTAGCTGTATTTGAAACTTAAACACACATGTGCATTGCCTACATTAAGACCACACACCACCTTTTTCCAAAGTAGTCTAATTTTTGGAACATTATGAAATGGTCCATTCTGATCAATGGCCTTATAGCTTATCTCCATGCCCAAAGATTTTAAATTGTAAACATACCTACTTTCCTTTTTTTTTTTTGAGACAGAGTCTTGCTCTGTTGCCAGGCTAGGGTGCAGTGGTGCAATCTCGGCTCACTGCAACCTCAGCCTCCAGGGTTAAATCGATTCTCCTGCCTCAGCCTCCCGAGTAGCTGGGACCACAAATGCCCGCCACCACGCCCGGCTAATTTTTTTTTGTATTTTTAGTAGAGACGGGGTTTCACCGTGTTAGCCAGGATGGTCTCGATCTCCTGACCTCGTGATCTGCCCGCCTCAGCCTCCCAAAGTGCTGGGATTACAGGCATAAGCCACCGCGCCTGGCCTGAACATACCTACTTTCAATGTGTTTACTTTCTCCTATTATTTCACCTCCTAATATTTTCACATAATAACATTTAATCCCTCTTGAAATTTGCTTTGAGATATATATGCATGGCTTAAAATAAGGAACTAAATTGATTCTACTATAGAAATAATTTTGCTGGGTTCAAATAATGCTGGGTTGAAATGTAAGAGTAAGATTTTTTATATTCATCTAGCTACTCTTCATTTCATAAGCAGTAACTGTGCCTAAATGGTACTGTTTAAATACAGGGACTCTCAAAAGTCTCAGGACTTCTGCTTAAGAAATTCCAAAAGTATACTTCACATAAAGTCATCATTATACTTTGTTTTTCATTGCAACAAGCCTTTCAAGAGAATCACAGAATTCAGAAGGATATCTTTAAGCAGACATTCATAGAATCCTCAAACTAACTTGGTGTTATAGGATGGTCTTGAAAGAAACTGAGGCCAGGCGCTGTGAGTCATGCCTGCAATCCCAATACTTTGGGAGGCTGAGGTGGGAGAATCACTTGAGACCAGTCTGGGCAACACAGACAGACCCCCATCTCTATTAAAAAATTTTAAAATTAGCAAGGCATGGTGGTACACATCTGTGGTCCCAGCTACTTGGGAGGCAGAAGTGGGAGGATCACTTGAGCTCAGGAGGTCAAAGCTGCAGTAAGCCGTGATCACGCCACTGCATGCCAGCCTGGACAACAGAGCAAGACTCTGTCTTTATTAAAAAAAAAAAAAAAAGAGAGAGGCGGGGCACAGTGGCTCATGCCTGTAATCCTAGCACTTTGGAAGGCTGAGGTGGGTGGATCGCCTGAGGTCAAGAGTTTGAGACCAGCCTGGTCAACACGGTGAAACCCTGCTGAGGTGGGCAGATTGCCTGAGCTCAGGAGTTTGAGACCAGCCTGGGCAACATGGTGAAACCCTGTCTCTACTAAAATAAAAAGAGTGAGCTGGGCAAAAAGAGTGAGCTGGGCGTCATGGCATGTGTCTGTAGTCCCAGCTACTCGGAAGGCTGAGGAACGAGAATTGCTTGAACCCAGGAGGCGGAGGTTGCAGTGAGCCGAGATAACGCCACTGCACTCCAGCCCCACCCCACTCCCAAAAAAAAAACCAAAAAACAAAAAACTAAAGGTTAAAATGATGTAGCCACTTTAGAAAAACAAATGCTGAACAAAGAGTTAACATATGAACTAGCTATTCTACTCCAAGGCACATACCCAAGAGAAACGAATACATACATTCACACAAAAACTTGGACACATATGTTCATGGTAGCACTTTTAATAATAGCTAAAACAATCATTTGTCCATCAACTGGTGAATGGATAAACAAAATGGTATATATCTATATAATGGAATCTTACTAACTTAGAAGAAGAAACAAAGTAATGATACATACAACACAGATGAAACTTTAAAACATTATGCTAAGTTAAAGAAACCAGCCGGGCGCGGTGGCTCACGCCTGTAACCCTAGCACTTTGGGAGGCCGAGGCAGGTGGATCACGAGGTCAGGAGATCGAGACCATCCTGGCTAACACAGTGAAACCCCATCTCTACTAAAAATACAAAAAATTAGCCGGGTGTGGTGGCGGGCGCCTGTAGTCCCAGCTACTGGGGAGGCTGAGGCAGGAGAATGGCGTGAACCCAGGAGGCGGGGCTTGCAGTGAGCCAAGATTGCACCACTGCACTCCAGCCTAGGCGACAGAGCCAGACTCCTCTCAAAAACAAAACAAAACAAAACAAAACAAAACAAAACAAAACAAAAAAACAGATACAAAAGACTACACATGGTATGAGACCAGGACAGGGAAATCTGGAGACAGAAAGTAGATTAGTGGTTGTCAGGGGTTGGGATGTGGGTGAGAATGGAGAATAACTGTATGTACCCAGTCTCTCCTTGGGGTGTTGAAAATATTCTGAAATTAAGATTTAGTTCCACAGCTGTGAATATACTAAAAACCACTAAACTGTACCTTTTAGGTGAATTTTATGGTATGTGAAATATATCTCGGCCGGGCGTGGTGGCTCATGCCTGTAATCCCAGCACTTTGGGAGGCCGAGGCAAATCACGAGGTCAGGAGATCGAGACCATCCTGGCTAACATGGTGAAACTCCATCTCTACTAAAAAATACAAAAAATTAGCTGGCCATGGTGGTGGGCACCTGTAGTCCCAGCTACTCGGGACACTGAGGCAGGAGAATTGCTTGAACCCAGAAGGCGGTGGTTGCAGTGAGCCGAGATCGCGCCACTCACTGCATTCCAGCCTGGGTGACAGAGCAAGATTGTCTCCAAAAAACAAAAAACAAACAAACAAAAAAAAAAAACAAAAACACTCTGGGCCAAGGCAGGAGGATCATTTGAGGCCAGGAGTTCAAGACCAGCCTGGGCAACATGGTGAAACCACGTATCTACAAAAAATAAAAATAAAAATAAACACATAATAAATAAAAATAAAGCCAAGCGTAGTGATGCGTGCCTGCAGTCCCAGCTACTTGGGAGGCAAAGCTGGGAGGATCACTTGAGCCCAGGAGGTCAAGGCTGCAGTGAGCAGTGACTGTACCACTGCACTCCAGCCTGGGTGACAAAGTGAGAACCTGTCTCAATAAATAAATAAATAAATAAATAAATGAAATAAAAATGGAACTCCTGTATTAAGGGCATATTTTGCCAATATTTCTCAAGAAAGACTGAAAGTGAGGTTTTGCCTCACACTCAACAGTATCAGTACTTTTTTTTTTGTCCTCAGATGTTGTCAAGATTTTTCTGTATTGCTTACTCTTTCAGATGTACCTCAAATTTAAACTTTCTTTTGGCTGACTTCAAAAAAAATACATTATAGATATGTGCCAAGTCTTCATCGGAACTGGGTTAGCTTCTCCATTTGAGTCTTCCTTGTCGCTTAATAGAGTTTCGCTTCAGTCTCCTCTGTTCCCTTTCAGGAATTTCTATCACAGACTTGGGGAAGTGCTCTCTCCTAACGCTCATTTCGCACACCTCTTTCCTGAGTTCTGAGAGATTTTTCTCAAGCCACCTCAGTGTTCTGCATTATCTACTCTGCTACTTGGTACTGAACATTCTATTTTAACAATTGTGTGTTATAACTTTAAAAACTCTTTACTGTTCTCAGTTTCTTTTCTTTTCTCCACCTGCTCTTGTATTTGGACACCTGAATTACAGCTGCCTCTACCTCATACTATTTTGCATGCCCTCAATGATCTTGGGGTGAATTTTTCGTTTGTCTAACAACATATGTTTGGTCATCTTTACAGAAAGTGAATACACACATCAGTTCTTAACCCACACCTGTGTGGCCGCTTACACTGTTCACTATCAACTCCTTAAGTCTCAAATATGTGGGAAAGACCCTTCTCTAGTGTGAAGTAATCACAAAGGCTTGTTCTTACCACTGCGCTTTGGTCACTTCAATGATAAATCAGAAAACAACAACAAAAGCTTCCAGTGCATGGGATTACAAGACCTTAATAGTCCTGGGAAATTACACTTATTTGTCATAGTTGTTGTTTTTTGTTTTTTGTTTTTTTTTGAGATTGAGTCTCACTCTGTCTGGACTGACTGGAGAGACTGGAGTGAAGTGGCGCCATCTCAGCTCACTGTAACCTCCGCCTCCCGGGTTCAAGTGAATTCTCCTGCCTCAGCCTCCCAAGTGACTGGGATAACAGGTGCACATCACCATGCCTGGCTAATTTTTGTATTTTTTAGTAGAGACAGGGTCTCACCATGTTAGCCAGGCTTGTCTTGAACTACTGACCTCAGGTGATCCGCCCGCCTTGGCCTCCCAAAGTGCTGGGATTACAGGCGTGAGCCATCACCTTCATTTGTCATAGTTTTCTACTGCCTTTCTTGCTGTCAATTTTTACCTCTATTTACACAATTATGCCTAACAACTCTTTCTTTTTAAAAACTTCAAACTTCAGGCCGGGCGTGGTGGCTCACGTTTGTAATTCCAGCACTTTGGGAGGCTGAGGCGGGCGGATCACGAGTTCAGGGAGATTGAGACCAGGTGATCTGCCCGCTTCAGCCTCCCCAAGTGCTGGGATTACAGGCGTGAGCTACCACACCCAGCTCCTGATTTGTTTTAACAAGTGAAGCTATAAAACAAAGGCTCATATTCTGAATTTTAAAGTTTTAAGGCTGGGTGCGGTGGCTCACGCCTGTAATCCCAACACTTTGCGGGGCCCAGGCAGGCGGATCACTTGACATTAGGAGTTTGAGACCAGCCTTGCCAACATGGCAAAACCCTGTCTCTACTAAAAGTACAAAAACTAGCTGGGCATAGTGGCACGTACCTGTAATCCCAGCTACTCGGGAGGCTGAGGCAGGAGAATCGCTTGAACTCCGGAGGCAGAGGTTACGGTGAGCCGAGAACACACCACTACACCCCAGCCTGGGAAAAAGAGAGACGCCGTCTCAAAAAAATAAACAAGTAAAATTTTAATTTTATTTTACTTATATTTTTGAGACAAAGTCTTGCCTTGTCACTCAGGCTGGAATGCAGTGGTGTGATCACAGCTCACTGCAGCTTTGACTTCAGGGGCTCAAGTGATCCCCCCACCTCAGCCTCCCAAGTAGGTGGGACTGCAGGCACACCACCATGCCTGGCTAATTTTTTATTTTTATTTGCTATGTTGCTTAGACTGGTCTCAAACTCCTGGTCTCAAGCAATCTGCCTGCCTCGGCCTTCCAAAGCGCTGGTATCACAGGCGTGAGCCATGGCGCCTGGTTTTGAAGTTTTTATTTTAAAAATCTATATTACTGCAACTTAATTTCCATCATTATCGGGGTGAAATAGTTATAATATTTTATTAAATAATGTCAAATAATATTTTTAGTATTTCGTACATAGCTTTGTTCTATGTATGGCATACAGAAAACATTACATCGTTAGACCAAATTCTCCCTCGAACTGCTACGATGTAGTAGCAAATAAGAACTTAGGAAATTGAAAAAGAATAATCTTCTGTTAAATTTTAATTTTATAAGGTAGGACCTTAAGATAATCCCAAATTGATAATGAGTTTCTCCTTATGGGCTAACATACCTAAGTTTCTTTCTTTATACTTTAGGTCTCTAAGTGAATCCTAAATTATATGATGAAAAGTGTTCCCTTTGTTAGTCAGATGTTTGTGCATATACTCTCTACAAAGATGCTCAGAAAAGGACACAGTGAAGTATGAAGAATCTTGCATACTTTGAAACACCATTACTTTAGGATGGTAAAATAACCACTTACTTATAGCCCTTAATATGCCTGCCACTGGCTGGGGAGAGAAGATCCCTGGTGGAGTAAGTTCTTTTCTTCACTACATTTTTTTTTCTTTGAGAAGCTCTCTTTGAGGAAGAGAGTTTAGAGACTAAAACAGCTCACTGTCACTGAACCCTACTGTGTGTCAGGCATGTGCTATGTGCTTTTATGTGTGTTATCTAAGAGGTGGTTACAAATGAGAAAACAGACTCAACTTCCAAGATTTATACTGCAGTTAGGTAGCAGATACAGATAGGAATCCAGTACTTAACTTTAGCATATATATATATATGTATATATATACATATACATATATATGTGTATATATACATATATATGTGTATATATATGTATATATATACATATATATGTGTATATATATGTGTATATATACATATATATACGTATATATGTATATATACACGTATATATATGTATATATATACGTATATATATATGTGTATATATATATATATATATATAGAGAGAGAGAGAGAGAGAGAGAGAGAGAGAGAGAGAAAAGCGTGTTGTTTTTTTTTTTTTTTTGAGACAGAGTTTCACTCTGTTGCCCAGGCTGGAGTGCAGTGGCGCGATCTTGGCTTACTGCAAGCTCCACCTCCCAGGTTTACACCATTCTCCTGCCTCAGCCTCCCGAGCAGCTGGGACTACAGGCGCCCGCAACCACGCCCGGCTACTTTTTTTGTGTTTTTAGTAGAGACGGGGTTTCACCGTGTTAGCCAGGATGGTCTCGATCTCCTGACCTCATGATCCGCCCACCTCGGCCTCCCAAAGTGCTGAGATTACAGGAGTGAGCCACCGCGCCCGGCAGCACATACATATTTTTTTACTTATATTTACATATATTTATATACATATGCTCCCTATGTATACATGGATTACATGGACTTGGCAAAAATTAAACCGTACAAAAGGGTATATAGTGAAAAAGTTAAGTCACATTCTCCTCTCCCTCAATCCTTTCCCTTAGGTGATAACTGTAACCAGTGCCTTGTATATTTTCCGAGACATTCTATCCATATATAAGCCAGACTGCCTGTCTGTCTTCCTCCATCCAAGTATCCATCCCACCCTCACAAAACAGATATTAGCATACTGTTTTGCACTTTGATTTTTCACTTAGTATATATTAAAAGTACTTCCATATAGATAATGAGTTCTTTTTAACAATTTAATAGTATTCATCACTTAGCCAGTCATCTATAATGGGACACATAGGTTATTTCTAGGTTTTAGCTGTTATAAATAATGCTGCTATGAATAACCTTTCAAAGAAGCTATATCAATGTATACTGTCACCAATAATATAAGAAAGTGCCTGAGCTTCACCTACACAATTATATTAATGAACTTTTTCATCTTTGTCTGATAGGTGAAAAATGGTATTATTATAGTCATAATTTGAAATTGTTATTATTGTGAAGGTGAACAGCTTTACCTGTTTTTAAAAGCCATCTGTATTTCCGCTCTCTTTTTGATATGTAGTTCTTTACATATTAAGAAAGTTTAGTTTTTGTTATATATTGAAAATATTTAAAATTTTTTATCTTTTGACCTTTATGGTATTTATGTCAAAAATTTAAATTTTTATGAAATCAAACTTAAACCTTTTTTCTCTAGGTTTCTGTGACATGGCATTAAAAAATCCTTTTTCACTCTGTTGATTACAAAAAATTTTCTCCATTGTTTTCTTATATAATTTTATGGTTTCATTTCTTTTATGTTTAGATTATTGCCCAACCGGGACTTTACTGTAGTATAAAGAATGAGGCAGGGCAGGCATGTTGGCTCACATGTATAATCCCAGCTCTCTGAGAGGTGGGCTGATCACTTGAAGTCAGGAGTTCAAGACCAGCCTGGCCAACATGGGGAAACCCTGTCTCTACTAAAAATACAACAATTAGCTGGGCGTGGTGGTGCACGCCTGTAATCCCAGCTACTGAGGAGGCTGAGGCAGGAGAATCGCTTGAACTCAGCATGCAGAGGTTGCAGTAAGCCGAGATCGTGCCGTAGCATTCCAGCCTGGGGCCACAGAGCAAGACTCTGTCTCAAAAAAAAAACAAAAAAACAAAAAAACAAAAACAAATAAAAAACCCACAAAAAACATAGAACAGAAGCAGTTCCCACTGTTACGAAGTTACTCCAACTTTCTAGGGCTACCCTGATTGATGTACCAGGTCCTTTACTGGGACTAGAGGGGTACAAACTCTAGGAATCCTGTAGCCTTACCTCAAACCACAGGAAGAATTCCTAGAAGTACTATGAAGTAAACTGTAATGAGAAATTGATAGCTTTCAGACTATAAAACCGTTCAAATATAGTGAAAGAAGAAATAAAATAATTCAGTATCAGATTTTCCTTAGGGGAATGAAAGCAGTTTGAAAAAAGGTTATAAATGATCAGTGACACGAACCAAATGAAACTGACAGAGCAAACGGCATATTAAATCAGACATACTGGATTTGAAAAGTTATTCATTGCATTCCCTTCCTCCATTCCTCTCGTTTGAAAAGTATCCAACCTTGAGCCAGTTTCTTTGTTTTGAGACAAACAGTGCTGGGATTACAGGTGTAAGCCACCAGCCCGGCCCCTGAAATCAGTTTCTTGACCACAATTTCTTATCCTAGGGATCACCAGGTGGGCCTATGAACCTACTAAAACCACATGCTAAGTTTGCGGGGGATTGTATTTGTGCGGACATTTCCTCTCATAAACATGTTTCATCTTAAAGGTGTCTAAAGGTATCTATGATCTTTAAAAGCAAGGATTTCACTGTTAAGTCAAAACAACTTCTTGAACCATTAGTAGTACTGTACCGTACATAGAACATTAAATCGGCACAACATTTAAATACATTTAAAATGGCATTACATTCATTCTTAAAAGCTATTTCAGATAATGGCACTGCAGGGCAATGCTATTCCAATTAAGAATGTAACAGGCTGGACGCGGTGGCTCACGCCTGTAATCCCAGCAATTTGGGAGGCCAAGGTGGGTGGATCACCTGAGGTCAGGAGTTCAAGACTGGCCCAGCCAACACAGCGAAACCCCATCTCTACTAAAAATACAAAAATTAGCTGGGTGTGGTGGCGCATGCCTGTAGTCCCTGCTACTTGGGAGGCTGAGGCAGGAGAATCACTTGAACCAGGGAGGTGGAGGTTGCAGTGAGCCAAGATCGTGCCACTGCACTCCAGCCTGGTTGACAGAGTAAGACTCCGTCTCAAGAAAAAAAAAAAAAAGCCTCTCCCTCTCCCTCTGCCTCCTCTCCCTCTCCCCACGGTCTCCGTCTCCCCACGGTCTCCCTCTCCCTCTCTTTCCACAGTCTCCCTCTGATGCCGAGCCGAAGCTGGACTGTACTGCTGCCATCTCGGCTCACTGCAACCTCCCTGCCTGATTCTCCTGCCTCAGCCTGCAGAGTGCCTGCGAGTGCAGGTGCGCGCCGCCATGCCTGACTGGTTTTCGTATTTTTTTGGGGGAGACGGGGTTTCGCTGTGTTGGCCGGGCTGGCCTCCAGCTCCTAACCGCGAGTGATCCGCCAGCCTCGGCCTCCGGAGGTGCCGGGATTGCAGACGGTGTCTGGTTCACTCAGTGCTCAATGGTGCCCAGGCTGGAGTGCAGTGGCGTGATCTCGGCTCGCTACAACCTCCACCTCCCAGCCGCCTGCCTTGGCCTCCCAAAGTGCCCAGAGTGCAGCCTCTGCCTGGCCGCCACCCCGTCTAGGAAGTGAGGAGCGTCTCTGCCTGGCCACCCATCGTCTGGGATGTTAGGAGCCCCTCTGCCTGGCTGCCCAGTCTGGAAAGTGATGAGCATCTCTGCCCGGCCGCCATCCCATCTAGGAAGTGAGGAGCGTCTCTGCCCGGCTGCCCATCGTCTGAGATGTGGGGAGTGCCTTTGCCCCGCCGCCCCGTCTGGGATGTGAGGAGCGCCTCTGCCCGGTCGCGACCCCGTCTGGGAGGTGAGGAGCGTCTCTGCCCAGCCGCCCCATCTGAGAAGGGAGGAGACCCTCCACCTGGCAACCGCCCCGTCTGAGAAGTGAGGAGACCCTCCGCCCGGCAGCCGCCCCGTCTGAGAAGTGAGGAGCCCCTCCGCCCGGCAGCCACCCTGTCTGGGAAGTGAGGAGCGTCTCCACCTGGCAGCCGCCCCGTCCAGGAGGGAGGTGGGGGTCAGCCCCCGCCAGGCGAGCCGCCCCATCTGGGAGGGAGGTTGGGGGGTCAGCCCCCCGCCCGGCCAGCCGCCCCGTCCGGGAGGGAGGTGGGGGGTTCAGCCCCCCGCCCGGCCAGCCGCCCCGTCCGGGAGGGAGGTGGGGGGGTCAGCCCCCCGCTTGGCCAGCCGCCCCGTCTGGGAGGTGAGGGGCGCCTCTGCCCGGCCGCCCCTACTGGGAAGTGAGGAGCCCCTTCCGGGAGGGAGGTGGGGGGATCAGCCCCCGCCCGGCCTGCCGCCTCGTCCGGGAGGTGAGGGGCGCCTCTGCCCGGCCGCCCCTACTGGGAAGTGAGGAGCCCCTCTGCCCGGCCAGCCGCCCCGTCCGGGAGGAAGGTGGGGGGGGGTCAGCTCCCCGCCCGGCCAGCCGCCCCGTCCGGGAGGGAGGTGGGGGGTTCAGCCCCCCGCCCGGCCAGCCGCCCCGTCCGGGAGGGAGGTGGGGGGGTCAGCCCCCCGCCCGGCCAGCCGCCCCGTCCGGGAGGGAGGTGGGGGGGTCAACCCCTCGCCCGGCCAGCCGCCCCACCCGGGAGGTGAGGGGCGCCTCTGCCCGGCCGCCCCTACTGGGAAGTGAGGAGCCCCTCTGCCCGGCCACCACCCTGTCTGGGAGGTGTGCCCAACAGCTCATTGAGAACAGGCCATGATGACAATGGTGGTTTTGTGGAATAGAAAGCAGGGAAAGGTGGGGAAAAGATTGAGAAATCGGATGGTTGCCGTGTCTGTGTGGAAAGAAGTAGACATGGGAGACTTTTCATTTTGTTCTGTACTAAGAAAAATTCTTCTGCCTTGGGATCCTGTTGATCTGTGACCTTACCCCCCAACCCTGTGCTCTCTGAAACATGTGCTGTGTCCACTCAGGGTTAAATGGATTAAGGGCAGTGCAAGATGTGCTTTGTTAAACAGATGCTTGAAGGCAGCATGCTCGTTAACAGTCATCACCACTCCCTAATCTCAAGTACCCAGGGACACAAACACTGCGGAAGGCCTCAGGGTCCTCTGCCTAGGAAAACCAGAGACCTTTGTTCACTTGTTTATCTGCTGACCTTCCCTTCACTATTGTCCTATGACCCTGCCAAATCCCTCTCTGTGAGAAACACCCAAGAATGATCAATAAAAATAAAAATTAAAAAAAAAAAAAGCATAGAACAGAAAAGTTTAGTTTTCTTCTACTCAGGAAAGTGAGAGCTTATATTCTTTAAAGTTAGCCTGTGGAAATGTATCTCTTCCTCAGTTATCAGCTGCTATGTCTTAAATTTTACATGCTAAACTGATTGAGGATTTAGTATATGGCTAATCACTCTTATCCAAAGTAAGGGTGGTATTATTAAAAGTTCAGTTTATTAGTTGGTTTAAATATCCTCTGACTCTCAACAGCTTTCCATTAAGAAAAAACTACCTTAATGGGGCATTAAGTTAAGGAATAGAGAGTAGAGAATCTAGATGAGGATTTCCAAGGGAAACAAATCATACGTAACGTTTATTCAAGAAAGTGAAGAGCACACTATGTTAATTTTAATTTCGCGTACCCAGACCTTATCTGTCCATCTCTCTGGTTTATCTGGACTATTTGGAGACCAAAGGGAAGAAGGGGAGTAGAGAGTGGACAGGTAAGAGGACAAAGACAAGGTAGCTAAAAGAACAGCAGGGGACTGAGAGAGCTGTAACAGTTCTCCAACTGGGAATCAGAAATTCTCTGCAGAGTAACTATCTGGAAAAAGTAAAAAGGGCTTTTAAGATTCTGGTTGGCCAAGCACTGTGGCTCCCCAGCATTATGGAAGGGTGAAGCCGGAAGATCGCTTTAGCCCGGGAGTTCGAGACCAGTCTGGACAACATGGTGAGAACCTGTCTCTACAAAACATAAAAAATTAGCCAAGCATGGTGGCGTGCATCTGTGCAGTGAGCCGTGATCTCATCACTGCACTCCAGTCTGGGTGACAGAGTGAGACCCTGTCTCAAAAAACAAAACAAAACAAAATTCTGGTTAAGGGCTGGGCATGGTGGCTCATGCCTGTAATCTCGCCACTTCGGGAAGCCAAGGTGAGCAGACCACTTGAGGCCGGGAGTTCAAGACCAGACCAGCCTGGCCAACAAGAACAACAACAAAAAGAAGAAGAAGAAGAAGAAATTTGTCAGGCGTGGTGGTGTGTGCCTGTAGTCCCAGCTTCTCGGGAGGCTGAGGCAAAGGACCACTTGAGCCAGGAGTTTTGAGTCTGCAGTGACCTACGATCGTGCCACTGCACTCCAGCCTGGGTGACGGAATGAGACCCCTTCTCAAGAAAAAAAGAAGATTCTGGTTAAAATCAAGAAATCAAAAAAGAGGCAACTAGAAAAGCTAGGAGACAAACGCAACTATCTGGATTTCCGTAATTATAGATATCAGTAATCTATAAACACATGTCAAAGGCAAAACAATATGATTTCTAGGTATACATTCCCCATTGGGGCACCCATCCCAAGGCTGCTTTCCCTTCAAGCAGTGGTCTTTACCTTTTGAGGGATCACAGACAAATCCACTAAGAAACTGACAAAAGCTACAGAATCACCTAGAAACGAAATACCTGGGAACACACGTACATAAAATTTAGCAGTTTCAGGAGATTTGCAAATACCTTTCAAGTCTGATCCCTGGATCCCAGACACTGTTTTAAAGGCCTCAAGTCCCAAAATGACCCTACCTATTATAACACATCCACTCCCTCCTAGCCATCAAAATTAAGACGATTCCCTCTGTGCCACTGATCTCAAATAGATCATAAGAAGAAAGCACTACAGGTAGTCACATGGGTAAATTAGGGCAGTGCTGAAACGAGAATCAGAAGGACTGGATTTGAGTCCCAGTTATGACACTAGCAGATATTGTAACATCAGATAAGTCACAACACTGTATTGGCCCAGTGTTTCCTCAGCCATAAATGAGGGGTTTGGAATAAACTAAGGTGCTGACATTTTAAAAGGGAACAGTTTTCCTGTGTTTACTGAATATTTACTGAGCATCTAACATGTTTCAGGTCCCGTAGGTAGGTGGTGGGAAAACAAAGAAAAAAAAAGACCACCCTCAAGGAGCTACACAGAACAGACAAGTAGACAGTTACAAAACAATGTGGTTCATATTCTAATAAAAGAATATAGAGAACTAAGAAATGAGAGAAGGGGGAGCATTTAACTTTGCCCAAGGAGACTACGGTCTAGTCTTGAAGATGTTTCCCAAATAGATATGGTAGGCATGGAGTATATCCAACACATGAAGACTCCAAGGTGTGAGAGAGTAGCCAATCTTCAAGGGAATTCAGAGTTTGTGCAACCATGTAAAAGCACTGAGATTAGACAGCAGGCAGGAGAATGTGTAACTAGTAGGCAAGGGAAGTGTTTTAGAATAAGACAGCTTTGATTCACCTGCCTAACTGGCTGCCCCGCTGTAAGTATGAGAAGAACAGTGTGCACTTGATATCTGACTTCTAAAAATTAGCTGACTCACAAATGGTAAAAATTGTTCTCTAGCAATATTTGAACTACAAATTTCTAATAAAGAAAAATGGCGGCCAGGCGCAGTGGCTCATGCCTATAATCCCAGCACTTTGGGAGGCCGAGGCAGGTGGATCACAAAGTCAGGAGATCAAGACCATCCTGGCTAACACGGTCAAACCCCGTCTCTACTAAAAATACAAAAAATTAGCCTGGCGTGGTGGCGGGCGCCTGTAGTGTTGGCGGGCGCCTGTAGTCCCAGCTACTCAGAAGGCTGAGGCAGGAGAATGGCGTGAACCTGGGAGGCAGAGCTTGCAGCGAGCCGAGATGACGCCACTGCACTCCAGCCTGGGCAACAGAGCAAGACTGTCTCAAAAAAAGAAAAAGAAAAAAGAAAAATGGCCAGGCACAGTGGCTCATGCTTGTAATCCTAAGCCTTTGGAAGGCTGAGGTGGACAGATTGCTTGAACTCAGGAGTTGAAGACCAGCCTGGGCAAAATAGTTAAACCCTGTCTCTACAAAAAATACAAAAAAATTAGCCAGGCCCAGCTACGTGGGGGACTGAGGCAGGAGGATGTCTAAAGCCCAAGAGGTCGAGACTGCAGTGAGCTGAGATCACGCCACTGCACTCCAGACTGGGTGACAAAGTGAGACCCAGTCTCAAAAAGAAAAGAAAGAAAAAGAAAAAAAAAGAAAGAAAAAGGAAAAAAAGAAAGAAAAAGAAAAATGTGGCTGGGCGTGGTGGCTCACACCTGTAATCCCAGCAGCACTTTGGGAGGCCGAGGCAGGTGGATCACCTGAGGTCAGGAGTTCAAGACCAGCCTGACAAACATGGTGAAACCCCGTTTCTACTAAAAATACAAAAATTAGCTGGGCGTGCTGGTGGGCACCTGTAATCCCAGCTACTCGGGAGGCTGAGGCAGTAGAACTGCTTGAACCTGGGGGGAGCAGAGGTTGCAGTGAGCTGAGATCACACTACTGCACTCCAGCCTGGGGGACAGAGCAAGACTTGGTTTCAAAAAAAGAAAAATGAAGTCAGTCAGGAGTTCCATTGTTTATAAACCCTAATTAATCAACCAATTTCCAAGAGGCTGAGGTGAGAGGCTCACCTGAGCCCAGGAGTTTAAGGTTGCAGTGAGCTATGATTGCACCACTGCACTTGTACTCCAGACTGGGCAACAGAGTGAGAACTCTTTAAAAAAGAAAGGAATTTAAAAATAAATAAGCCAAATTCCTTCTGAGCCATCACTTCTTAGAAACAACCCATAACATAGCTTTTGCGATTCCCCAGTTTTAGTCTTTTCCTCAGTAGGCACACAGACTCCATTCCTTCTCTCTGCCTTTCTCAAAGCTCAGCCTGATGAAGACAGCAATCAGCAGTGAC
Source organism: Homo sapiens (assembly GCF_000001405.40). Lineage (NCBI taxonomy): Eukaryota > Metazoa > Chordata > Mammalia > Primates > Hominidae > Homo > Homo sapiens. The sequence goes on from NC_000018.10 coordinate 12,879,039, forward strand.
AAAAGGAAAAGCCAAAAAGGGATCATGAACATTACTCAAAAAGTCAGAATTAACCTCACACAATCAGACCAAATTAAACTTTTCCAACTGCACCCTTTGTTTTGCTGTTCTTGTTTTAGAGACAGGATCTCACTCTGTCACCTAGTCTGTAGTGCAGTGGCACAATTATGGCTCACTGCAGCCCTAACCTCCTGACCTCAAGTGATCCTCCCACCTCAGCCTCCCAAAGCGCTGGGATTACAGGGATGAGCCACCGCCTGGCCAGCACTCTTTCACGATCAATTCTTCCACCTGTGTGCTCTTGGTCCCATTGACTCTTGCTTTCTAAGATTTCTGGCTCCAACAATCATCCCTTCTATTTCAACCTCCACCTCTCTCTTTAGGTTCATCCCTGCAATCACATAAATATATCAAGTTGCCCTTTCCTCGTAAAAAGTCATTCATTCAGCACATATTTTCAAGTGCTTACTAAGCACCTGATACTGTGCAAAGCACTGGCAGTGCCTTCATGAAACTCTGAAGAAGTAATAAAAAATATAAACTCAGATTAACAGAGTCTGTTCTGCTCCAACCCAATAATTCATTTCTAAGAAACCTCCTATTATCAAACTCATGAAATAAAAGACACTTTTCAAAAGGAGCAAAAAGGAATAAGGGACCAGAGTTCCAGACTCAAAATACTAAATTCATTTTTCCCGCTAGAATTTCAACAAGGTATCAAGTTCTCCTACCACTAAGCAAGTCCAGCTTTTAGTTGTACTCAGTTTTTGCTCAAGAGCAAAGCCTTTCTTTTCCCAGCTCCATGAGCATTACCAAAAAAAGCACAACTCTTCAAAAACATTATCAGAAACATCACCCACTGCTGTGCTAAACAAAGCAGAAAGCCACCTTAAACACTTTTTTCCTACTCAAGCTGTGTTACTTTCAAGATAGTGGTTTGCTTAATGCAAATTGTGTTCCCGAAATCATTTGCTGCTGTATGACATCCAATTCCCGCTATGAAAGGGGAAGTCTTGGGATGCTAAAGAAGTACGCAACAGGGGCTCATACCCAGCATGGGCAGGTCAAGAAGGCCTGCCAAGGAAGTGAGACTTCAGGGATGAGTAGGAGGCAGTTTAAGCAAGAAAGGAAAGAGAAGGGGGGAAAGTTGTGCCAAGGCAAAGAGAACAACATTTACAAACGCCCTAAGGGGAGAATGGACACACACACTTCCAAGAATACAACACAGTGGAAAAGAGGGAGGAAAGTGATAGGGGAAATCAAGCAAGAGACACAGGCCATGAGGTCTTGTGAGCCGGAGGAGGGGCTGAATTTACACTGTGAGCAACGGAAAGCCGTTCAAGGGTTTAAGTGAGAAGTCACACAATCTTGCTTCATTTTAGCTACCTCTCCCCACTTCTTCAAGTTGGGCTTCTAAAAAGAGCAGTGTACACTTGGTAGTTTGCATTTCCTCCTACCTTCTCTCCTGAACTCCAGGTATCTGTCTTGTGTAGTCCGCTGACACAACTCCCTTTAAGGTATCTGTTAATCTAGCTGCTCAATGTCATGGCCCTCTCAGGCTGGCCCTTACCTGTCAGGTGGCCCTGCTCACCCTCAACTCCCTCCACTGCTTTCCTCCCCACTTCTGTGGTTGTTCCTCACCAGTCTTTTTTGCAAGTTCCTCTTTCTCCACCCATCCTTTTAAATGTTGTCTGTCAAGATTCTGTCCTTGGCCTTTGATATTTCCAAACGCTCTGTATCTTCCCTAGATGATCTCATCAATGTCTAAGACCTCAAATATCACCCATGTGTTCATGATTTCCAAAATCACATTTACTCAGACCCTCTCTCCCGAACTCCAAATTTATACATTCAACTAGCTTCATTTCAGTGTCTCGCAGGTACCTCAAACAGAATTAAAGTTTCAAAACCAAACTTGTACATAACGTATACCCCTTTACCATTTCATTTCAAATCTGTATCTCCCCTCCATCCCTCCTGCCACTGCCTAACAGAAGCTCATCATGTCTCTTCAGGTTTACTCCAACCGACTACTGCCCTGTGCTGCGTGCCTACACTTTCCTCATCCAGTCTGCTAGCAGTCAGAACGATCTTGCTAACAAGTAAATATGATCAGCCCAGAGCAGTGGCTCATGCCTGTAATCCCAGCACTTTGAGAGGCCGAGGCAGGCGGATCACCTGAGGTCAGGAGTTCGAGACCAGCCTGGCCAACATGTCGAAACCCTGTCTCTACTAAAAGTACAAAAAAATCAACCGGGCATGGTGGTGTGTGCCTGTAATTTCAACTACGCAGGAGGCTGAGGTAAGTGAATCACTTGAACCCAGGAGGCAGAGGTTGCAGTGAGCTGACGTCGCACCACTGCACTCCAGCCTGGGCGACAGAGCGGGACTCTGTCAAAAAAAAAAGAAGCAAATATGATCATGGTATTTCCAGACTTACAATTCCACAATGAGTTCCTATTAAACAGCTCAAATTCCTTAGTCTGATCTAGGCTCTGCCTTACTCTCCAGCATCTCAACTTCACACCAGTCTCCAGGCTAAACTGTGGGTGGTTCTCTCAGCATTCCCTCAGTGCCTTTGTGCACTCCCTCCTTGCTGGAACAGTAATTCTCTTCACCTCCCTTGTCCTCTTCCCCTGGCCAATGTCTTTCAAGACTTAGGTGAGGTCCTCCCTCCCTCGAGAAGCTTCACCAGAACTCCCATGTGTACCCCTTTTTGGGAAATACAGGACTCCTAGGTAACTCAACTCCACAAGACCCTGTGCTTCAAGCTAGCTTTACATGTATCACTTTAACGTTTTCATCAGCTTACCTATTTACAGGGCTGCATCCTTAAAAACTGGGACTCCTGTCTTTTAACAAGAATCCTCAGTGTCTAACACTAGCACATAACAAGCATGTTATGAACGAATGAATGAAAATATGGAACTACAATGAGGCCCCAAAAGAATAAGCCCTAGAGTGAGCACCTCGAGGGTAGGAAACTTGCCAGGAGCATTCTCTGCTGAATCCCCAAGGCCAGGAGCAAAAGCTGCAACTCCACTGGGGGTCCGGGCATATTTGTGGAATGGCTGAATGGATGTTCTAAGGCCACAGGAGAACACATAGCTCAAACTTCCTGACTTGCTTTCCATTACTAACTTTCTTGGTTTGTGACCTACTTTTACTGTAACACCAGTGTGCATGCCATGGTTTCTACTGACCAAACTAATGGTCTTGTTTTCAACTAGGAAAAAATAATATGAGCATTGACCAACCAAGGAAACTACAGGATTCCTCGGTAAGAATCTATAGAAGGATTTCCTTATCTTTTTGAAAATGCATGTGAAATCTCCAGTGGATGCGAGTTAAGTTCATTTTTCTGGAAAGAGGAATCACAATTCTCATTGAATTTTCAAGGATATTAATGATACCAAAGAAAATTAAATTTCTTAAACCAAAATGTTAAGCTGAATTAAGTTATATTCACTTTTCTCTTTTCAAATCTATTTCGATATATAACCTATCCCTTAGAGAGACAGCAGCCTCTGCTAAAACAAATGTAACTGGAGAAGATGCAGCTGGCAGGCTCTCTCACATGAAGATTCCTACCAGAATTTGCGTTTCAGATTGTCTATAATTGGAAGAGTCCTTACCAGCATTCTTTAAAACTTAGATCCCTATTCTAACATACTCTGTATCATGGGAATCAGAATATTTATACTTCCCACTAATGTGTTCAAGAAGAAAACGTTACTTTCTGAACACATTTTTCACTGCCATCTAATTAAATGGAAAGGGGAAAAACCCAGGATCATCCATTTACAGGAAAGCCCGTCTTTTACTTTACACAGAGAGAACCAAACATCAGAAGCAGCATTAACTTAACCGTCACCAAATTCAATCTTGGGAATAATACGACAAGGATTAAACGAAGGGGAAAGCAGTTACATCATTTTAAAAGAGATAAAGTTTTGTTTGAATTAAAAGGTAGTCTAGTTGACATAAAAAAAGCGAATCACAGGTGTTTATACTACATATTGCATCTATGTGAGCTGAACAGGCACGATTAGGGCGATAGGCATCGGAACACCGTGCCCCCGGGGAGGGGATGAGGGCACTTTCTCAGGGCAAGGAAAGGCTATTTTGATTTGAGGGGGCTTGCAAGAGGGGATTCATTTGTGACACCCGTCTGGGAGCACACATGAAAGCTGCGTTTCACTGTAGGGAAAGTATACCTCAGTAAGGAAAACTATAAAGAGAATGACACGCTATCACTGGACGAACACAAGCAAAGCCTCTTTCGTTCCGGGAAGGTTCTATGGGGGCCGAACCCACGCTGGGCGCTGCTGGGCCACGGGGGAAAATGAAGACGGAGGGTCCCGAGAGCGCTGCCCTCGCCAGAGGCCACGAGCCACCCCCAACCACCGCGGCTCCGCCAGGAGAGCGAGCTTCGCCTCGCAGAGGGCTGCGGCGGCCGGCCCGGCGCCCAGAGCGGCCTGCTCCCACAGGTCCTGCGCGGGCGCCAGCTGGACCCGGACGCCGCGGCCCGGCTCGCCCGCCCCCGCCCTCACCGCTCCCGGGGACGCCAGCTGCCCACCCGGCCACAAAACACCCGGCCAGAGAAAGAGCTGTCCGCGAGCAAGAACCAAGCACAGCGGCGTGGGAGCTACGGCGAAGCTGCGGCCCGGGGGCGCGCGCCCGAGCGCCCCCACGGCTTTCCCAAGGACCCCCAGACCCGGGCCGCGCAACGCTGGTGGCGCATCCACGCGCTCCCCAAGAAGCCGCTGTGGCACCGCCCTCCAGAACTAACTGCGCTTGCGCTAACCATGAGCTGCTCAGCTCAAGTATGCTTTTTTTTTTTTTTTTTTTAAACCAAAAGGAGCAAGAGAGCGGTCAGCGCAGGCGCGCCCCTGACGCGGACCGCGCCGCCACTTCCGCCCCGAGCGAGAGGCTAGAGGCGAGAGGCGGGGGAGGCGGGAGGGACCCTGCGGACAGGGCACGAGTCCGGGTCTCGGAGGAGGTCGGCGACTGCCGCGTGGGTCCGCGACTCACCAAGTACAGCGGCTGCCAGCGACGCTGAGTATCCAACTCTTCGAACTCCCGCTCGATGGTGGTGGGCATGGCTGCGGGAGCGAGCTGGCGCGAGCAGAGCCTGCGCCGGCGGAGAGGCTCAGGCCCCGCACGATCCGGGGAGAGCGCTGGCGCTGCGGCGCATGCGCGCTGCGCGCCGCGCCCCGCCCCCACGCCAAGCCCTGTCGGCCGTGGGGAAAGTACCTGGAGCGTCGGACGTCAGCGCGCAGACTCGGCGCCCGAGCGCGGCGCGAAGTCGGCGGCGGGGCGGGGCGGGGCGCTCGGGGGGCGGGGCTCGGGGTGCCCAGGTGGGAGGGGGCGGGGCCAGGGGACCACCCGGCGGCCGTGGTCCCTGCGCGCGGCACGAGGTGAGCCGCCCCTTGGGCTTGCGTCTTCCGACAAGAGAGAGGCGGTGGTCCGTGGGTAGCGCGGGGTTACTGGAATGGGACTCCCTGAGGAAGTCCCCTGAGAAGTCGCCGGCACGCTCCGCCTTCCTTCTTGCTTCCCATTTCTCGTTTTCTTCTCAGCCTTCATAGTTTTTTAAAGTGCTGTATTTGAATATTATTTTAAACATCATCTAGGTCAGATTAGCGGCCTGTGACCAACTTGGAAACAAATTCCTCATTCTTTTCTGCCCTGGTGTCAGCTCCTGTAAGCCTGCAGATTTTATGCCAAATAAACCGCTGGAGCAAAAGGAAAGGCAGCCAGCCTCTCCCGGAATTTGGGAGAGGGATACCTTGTTAAGAAAACGTTCTACAACTTACGAATTAGATTTAACTGTAAAAAATAGCACGTCCTCTTTTACCAAACAAACGTACTAGTTAGGGAAATCATCTTGCTTCAGATTTAAGATAGTTCTTTTTTAGTGCTTGTAATATCCTGCTATATAATCTTCATAAGAAACGTGAAGGGTTAGGAAAGGTTTAGCCGTGCTGTCCAGTATTGGGATTTAAATTTTAAATATTAACTTAATTCCTCAGTGGCACCAGCCACATTTCAGGTGTGCCATAACCATGTATGGCTAGTGGCTGCTATGTGGCAAAGTACATATGTAGAACGTTTCTATCATCGAAGACAGTTCTTTTGGACAGAGCCGGCCGAGAGGATTACAATACTTGGGGCAGAAAAGTGTCCTTAATCACATAAAATAATGAAAACCCTAGCCAGAAAAAAAAAAAAAAAAGTTGGCTACGGAAGCTAGAAGAAATCGTATTAACAAAAAAGCAGTCAGCAAGCTTTCTACTTACATAGTATGATTTAGAGATACAGGAAAGCTTCCCCCGAAAGACCCCACAATGTCTAATGGTCCTTGGTTCTGAAATTCTGTCATTGAATCTGATTATTTTGATTAAAGGCATGGTATCTCCCAGAATATCCTGTGAATGTTCGCATTAGTCTGCTCATCAGATTGCTTTCCAACCAAAAAATACTGTGTTCTACAAAGGAGGAGCATCTTTATCTCAAAGCAGCAGTTCTTATCGCCAAGTATTCAGCATCTCTTTGGAATTCATTTGTCAGCCTCTCTGGTTCCGGGAGCTGTATTTGCCTATCTTAGTTTGCTGAGTGCAGCGAAGAATCTAGAACAGTGGTTCTCACACCAGCATCATTTGCATCCAGTGTGAGCTTCTTTGAAATGCAAATTTGAAGGCCTCACCCCAAACTACTGAATCAGAATCTCTGGTGTTGGGGCCCCAGGAGACTACTTAAGCAAGCTCTCCTGGGGATGCCTGTGCCCCCCCAGAGTTTGAGAATGATTGCTCCAGAAGAATACCTATACAGGGCTGCACTGAAGCCCGGGGGTAAAAAGAAAACAGAGGTTAACTTGCTTCGAGATATCCTGCTGACAAGATATGACTTGGTCTCTCCGACATATGTGACTCCCAACCCAACTAGTTCCTAGCTTGCTGTTTCTAAAGGACCCCAAATGTAGACTTTTGCCCCTTTTGAAGTCAAGATCAGAAGTTCTCAGGATTTTAAAATGTCAGGCTTCCCTATTGCCCCCAAATTGTTCAAAGTCCTTTGATAGTAGGCATACTTTTATGTGCATACTGTTTATATATTTGAGGAAATATATAATGAACAAAGTCTATTAATTTAAAAAATTACAAATTCATTTAAAAGAATTATGAAATTAAGTAGCAAAGTGTATTTTTAAATAATAGTACATATATGTATGAGATACTCATTTTACAGATAATGCTTGGTGGATTACATATTTGGATTCATAGCAATGTCTTCAACTTACTCCTTGGCCCCTTCAATCCCTGTTTGGGAACCACTGCTCTAGACCAAAGGAAATGAAGCATAGCGAGAGTTTGGAGTCCCTTCTTTCACTGGAACAAGGCCTGCCTTCTGCACTTTAGTATACTGTTTAAGAGGCTCTCTCCCCTCAATGTATAATTTATACCCCTTTCAGAGAAAACTCTACTTACTACCCATAGCCCCTCCTGTGGTTTGAATAATGGTGTCCCCTCCAAAATTCACGTTGAAACTTTATCCTCATGGTGGCAGTATTAAGAGGTTGGCATTTGGGGAAGTGATTAAGTTATGAGGGTTCTGCTCTCATGAATTTGATTAGTGCCTCATAAAAGGACTGGAGGGAATTAGCTTGGGCCGTTTTTGCCCTTCTGTCCTGCCATGTGAAGGCCCCTAGGTGGCACCATGAGGAATGGGCCTTCAGCAGACACCAAACCTGCTGGTGCCTTGACCTTGGACTTCTCAGCCTTCAGAACTGTGAGAAATAAATTTCTGTTATTTGCAAATGACACAGTTGCAGCTATTTCATTATAGCAGCACAAACAGACTACCCTTATAGCTAGAACTTCAGAGGCACAAGCATATCAAAATACAGCCTAAAAGCCTGGTGTCTACAAGAGCTGTACATTTATAGAGCTGGGCAGACATTTGTTATACAAATTCAGATTGTACAGATTACAGTGAGAATGAACTTCAGTTAAATATATGTAGTTTTTAATAAACTTTTAATTGAAATATACACAAAAATGCACACAAATCACAAGTGCATAGCTCAGGGAGTTTTTACAGAGTGAACATAGCTGTCTATCAATACTCAGGCCAAGAACAGGAAATTTATCTCTCCTCCAGAAAGCCCCTGGAGCGCCATCCTAAATCCTCCCCCTTGAGTAACCAGCCCCAAGCCCTCTAACACCGTAGATTAGTTTTGCCTTTTTTGAACTTTGTTTAATTATATAATATGTGCTTTTTAATGTCTGACTGCTTTTGCTCAAGTTAGTGAGAGTCATCCACGTTGTAGGAATAGTTTGTTCATTCTTGCTGCTAAATAGCATATGATTGTTTGAGTCTACTACCATTTATTTGTTCTGAATTTGGTTGTTTCCAGTTTGGCCTTCTCATGAAGAGAACCATTAAGGACATGTTTGTCCTTGTCTTTTGGTAGACATACACTCATTTCTTGTGGGCATATGTCTAGGAGTGGGATTGCTGGATTGCAGTGTATCTATATGTTCATCATACACTGCTGAACAGTTTTCTGAGTGATTGCACCCGCACTTGAGCTTGGACACAGGATAAGGATGGCCACTATCATCACTTCTGTTCTATACTGTATAGTTATAGCAACAAGTGAGGAAAATTAAGAAGTGGTATAATGATTGGAAAGGATGAAACAAAGTTGATATTATAGCCAATATATTGTACACATAGAAAATCCAAAGTAATCTACAGGTCAACTATTAGATTAATAAGTGAATTTAGGCTAGGTGCAGTGGCTCACACCTGTAATCCGAGCACTTTGGGAAGTCAAAGTGGGAGGATCACTTGAGGCCAGTAGTTGGAGACCAGCCTGGGTAACATAGTGAGACTCCATCTCTAAAAATAAAAAAATTAGAAAAAAAAATTGAATTTAGAGATGTCTTTGAAAACAAAGTCAATATAAGAAAAAGCAGTTGTATTTTTTTTTTTTTTTTTGATGGAGTCACTCTGTCGCCCAGGCTGGAGTGCAGCGGTGCAATCTCAGCTCATTGCAACCTCTGCCTCCTGGGTTCACGCCATTCTCCCGCCTCAGCCTCCCAAGTAGTTGGGAATACAGGTGCCCGCCACCACGCCTGGCTAATTTTTTAGTAGAGATGGGGTTTCACCGTGTTAGCCAGTATAGTCTTGATCTCCTGACCTCGTGATCCGCCCACCTTGGCCTCCCAAAGTGCTGGGATTACAGGTGTGAGCCACTGCGCCCGGCAGAAAAAGCAGTTGTATTTCTACATAGCAACAGCAACTAGAAAATTTTTAAACATTGGAATATAAACTATTCCGAAAAATTCTTAACAAAAGATTAGCAAAACCTCTAGTCTGAAAACCACAACATATCACTCAGAGGAATGAAAGAAGAGCTAAATAAATGGAAGGATATACGATGTAATGTCTTGGAAACTTTAGTATTGTAAAGTTGCCAGTGCTTCTCAAAGTCATGTATGAATTCAGTGCAATCTCAATCAAAATCTCACCATATTTTTGTAGTGGAAATTGACAAGCTGATGCTACCATTTACAAATAAAAATGCAAGGGGCCAAGAATAGCCAAAATAATCTTAAGGAAGAAGAAAATGGAAGTTTTACCTCACCAGATAATAAGATTTACTCTAAAGCTACGATAATTAAAACAGCGTGTTCTTAGTGTGAAGATAGACAAATAGAAGAATGGAACAGAATAGAGTCTAAAGAAGAACTCAAGGGCCAAAAGTAGCCAAGAAGAACAGATCTGGAAGACATTATCCCTCCAGATATCAAGATCTCTTATAAAGATATGTGGTATCGACGCAAGGAAAGGCAAGCTGACCAAGGCAAGCTGACCAGTGGAACTAAACAAAGTCCAGAAACAGGTTCACACATATAGTCATCCGGTGTGTATCTTTGTGTGTGTGTATTTCACAAAGGCTTAAAGTAATGTGTCTTCAATAAATGGTGCTACATCCAAAAGAGCATAACTATATGTTTCCATTTTATATGAAGTTCAAAAATAGACAACAGAATAGTGATTACCTCTGGAGGCAGCTGGGGGCTGCCTCTGGTAGGGTGGGGGTGTTGCCTGGGAAGAAGCATGAGAGAATCTTCAGGGGTCCTGGAAATATTCCATATCTTGATTTGGTTGGTGGTACACTGTTGTGTATAATATACACGTATTTGTACATGTGTGTATAAAATGTCATTGAGCTCCACATTTAAGATTTTTTGGACTTTATTATATGTATGCTAACCTCAATAAAACTAAAAAATTCCTCACTCGAGTGAAAACTTTTTTAATTTAAATAAAAATAAACGGTATTTCATTTAGAAATGGAAACCAGGCACATTATCTTACACAGTATTTCATAAACTACCATCACCTAGTGAATATAGCAAAAGACTGTATATGGCTTCAAAGCCACATAATGCACCTAAATTCTCTAAAATTGCCAGCAATTACAAAGTGATAGATATGAGCCACATAGGATCAAGATGGGGATTCACTCATTCCATATTTTGGAGCCACAAAGTATATCTGCTGCCTAGGTTTGGACCAAATGCAATTAATGTATCAAACAAAAAATCCTAATATTTATTCAGCTTCATCCACAGCCTCCAAAAATGGTTTTAGTAAAAGACCAAATAAATTACGGTTTTTAAAAAAACTTTCGGGGCTGGGCGCGGTGGCTCACGCCTGTAATCCCAGCACTTTGGGAGGCCGAGACGGGCGGATCACGAGGTCAGGAGATCGAGACCATCCTGGCTAACACGGTGAAACCCCGTCTCTACTAAAAATACAAAAAATTAGCCGGGCGTGGTGGTGGGCGCCTGTAGTCCCAGCTACTGGGGAGGCTGAGGCAGGAGAATGGCGTGAACCCAGGAGGCGGAGCTCGCAGTGAGCCGAGATGGCGCCACTGCACTCCAGCCTGGGCGAAAGAGCGAGACTCCGTCTCAAAAAAAAAAAAAAAAAAAAAAATTTCAGGCTCTGTGTGGTGGCTCACACCTATAATTGCAGCACTCTGTGGGACCAAGGTGAGTGAGTCAGCCTGGCCGACATGATGAAACCTAGTCTCTACTAAAAATATAAAAATAAGCTGGGCGTAGTCACGCGTGCCTATAATCCCAGTGACTCAGGAGACTGAGGCAGGAGAATCGCTCAAACCTGAGAGGCAGAGGTTGCCGTGAGCCAAGATTGCGCCACTGCACTCCAGCCTGGGCAACACAGTAAGATTCCGTCTCAAAAAAAAAGCTGGGTGTGGTGGCACATGCCTGTAATCTCAGCTACTCAGGAGGCTAGGCAAGACAATTGCTTGAGCCTGGGAGGCAGAGGTTGCAGTGAACCAAGACGGCGCCTGTTGCACTCCACCCTGGGTGACAGAGTGAGACTCTGTCTCAAAAAAAAAAAAAACTTCCAAAAATAACTACCTAACCCAACTACACAGAATATGTGGTAGGCCTTCCAATGAACTATCATAGTCCCTAAATATGTCAGTTATCAATTTATTGACATTAAGCTCAAGGCTTCCTTTTTCACCTTCTCTATGAGAATGGATCTGGGCCCTTTAAATATTTTTCCTTTGCCAGCTGACACAGTGTTAAGCTTTGTCAGTAGGGGGAGTGGAGAGACACTTAAGGAGAAAGGGCTTGCTGGGAACCGCACAGGGGAACTGTGCTTGCTGGGCTGACTCCAGTGACCAGCAGCCTCCCCCAGCACCTTGCTCCTGGGGGTGCGTCTGTAGCAGAGTACCTCCCGTGAGACATCTCCCCGTGAGCAACTTTCCCATACACCCAGAGGGCAATAGAGTAGATTGAATGGGGGCCTCTCAAAAATGTGTCTGCCTGGAACCTGTGAATGTGACCTTCTATGAAAAAAGGGTATTTGCAGATTGAGCTACAAATCCTAAGATCAGATCATCTTGGATTATCAGGGTGAGCCCTAAATCCAATGACAACTGTCCTTCTAGGAGAAGGGCAGGGAGAGATTTGAGACAGGAAAGGGCCATATGAAGATGGAGGCAGAGGTTAGTCACTCAGCTACGGGGAACACCTGGAGCACCCAGAAGCTGGAAGAGGCAATGAAGGCTCCTCCCTGAACCCTTCCAAGGGAGCAGAGCCCTGCAGACACCTTGGTTTTGGACTTCTGGCCTCTAGAACTAAGTGAGGATAAATGGTGTTGTCTTAAGCCACCAAGTCCATGGTCATTTGATATGGCAGCCAGCTGTACAAGGTTTCCAGCTAGTTCCACAAATGCACCCCCACAGGGAGGGCTCTCCATGCAGCGGGCTAGAGGCACGCCTTCTCTAAGAAGATCTGGGACTCCTTAGAGTTTCATCCCTCAGCTTCTCAATGAAAAAAAATCCTTAAGCTTCTCAATGAAAAAACTTTTGAATGGAAGTACCTTAAAATTAAGGATTTCTGTTCATCAAATGACAGCATTAAGGAAAAGGGTGAACTGCAGAGTAGACGTTTTGCAGTGAATACTTCCCCAAAAGACTCAGGCCCAAAATAAAGAACGCCTACAAGTCAGTATGAGAAAGATAGCTTAATAGGAAAACGGGCAAGAGATTTTTGAGTAGGCATTTTGTGAAGAGGATATCCAAATGGCCAGTAAGCATATGAACCTTACCCTCATTAGTCACTAGAGAATGCCAGTTACTCCTATAATGAGATAATACCTCACCCCACCAGAGTGGCAGGAACTGGAAGCAGCTATAGGTCTTACACCTGCGGGGTGAATGAATGTTGACTGGGGGAGTGAGGAGTGTAACCGGGCCCTTTGAGATTTCAGCACCCCGCATTTTTAGTGGCTGAAACCATGAACATTCTGATCAGGCCCTTGCCTGCTTGCACATGTTAACTGCCCGCTTTCTGCCAATATCCCTTGCTCCCTCAATATAATGATAAACTGCTGATGTGCTGTTTCTTCACCAAGAGGAGAAGATAACTTCAAGGTCACAAAACATTTTTGCAGAGGGAATGGATGCTGTTAAGGATGTCATGACCGGCTGTTGATGCCCAGAAGTCTGGTTGTTCAAGGCACTATCTGAGACTGAAGAAACACAGACTTTCCCATCGGTTCCCTGAAACTCCCCCTCCCTTTTGTCTAGCTGCACAAAAACTCCCTGCTTCACCTTTTTGTTAAGACAGATTTGAGAGATCTTGCCCTCCTGCCCTCTTGCCTTGGTCAAATTGAATAAACCTTTCTCTATCTCCAAGCACCAGTGTCTCAGTGTTTGGCCCCAGCTGCTCATGGGGTACACAGGTCTGAGTTTGGGGTTCTACAATAGAAGTACAGTCCTAGCAAATCAAGCTGCATTGAACCATTCCAGAGGACAAAGGGTGGCATAAAAATCTGTTGGAAGAGAAGTTACCAGAGAGTGACAGATATATACTTTACCACGTTGTTAAGATAAATATCACAATTTTGCCTTGATTAGTCTTGGAAGAAAGAATAAATAATGGATAAAGGAAGATGAAAACTAGGTGACTTTGATCAGTATTCTAAAAATGATTCATGTGTCTTTTGTTGTTGTTTTAGAGACAGGATCTCATTCTGTCTCCCAGGCTGGGGTACAATGGTGCGATCATAGCTTACTGCAGACTCCAACTCTTGGGCTCAAGAGAGCCTCCCATCTCAGCCTCCAGAGCTGGGACTACAGGCATGTACCACGCCCGGCTAATTTTTAAATTTCTTTTGTAGAGATGGAGTCTCACTATGTTGCCCAGGCCAGTCTCAAATTCCTGGCTTCAAGTGATCCTCCTGCCTTGGCCTCCCAAAGCATTGGGATTACAGGTATGCGCCACCATGCCAGTCCCTAAAATGATTAGTTCTTGAGTACTTTGTTAGAACCATATTCCTTTGTATGTGTTAGATGGTTCTCAAGTCTCCTTAATTCTTGAAATCTAGAGCTTTTTATTTATTTTGATAATTTTGAGTCTGCATCCATCAGTGTCCCAGAGGATGTACAGTTGTGAAACCGTTGGCACACTAAGAAAGGTAATTAAAGAGAGTTTAAGGACAGAATGATTTACAGAGTTGTGGACAAGATTAGAAGAAATCTAAACACTCAGGGCTAAACACTCAGGGTTAACAACTGTGTGGAAATTCTACCAATCCATGGGTCTGAAGGTGCAGGGGACAGGAGCAGTTACCAAAACCCAGAGAGAGGGCAGGAGAGGGCTATCAGATGGGCAATGTGGCTTTCTGTGAAGGAGCACAGCCACAGCAGGCCCATGGCTTTGGCAGGAACACACACTGTATTCCTTTCCTACTGCTGCTGTGACAAATGACCCCAAGGAGTCCAGGGGCCCTGGCTCATATTCAACTAGTATGAGGGCTCATAGAAGTGAAACAGTGTTGAAGCAATTAAAGCTTCTCCAGCTCAGCTTATCACATCTGAATTCAAGACCTTGTCTATAGGCCAGGCGTGGTGGCTCACGCCTGTAGTCCCGGCACTTTGGGAGGCCGAGGCGAGTGGATAACCTGAGGTCAGGAGTTCGAGACCAGCCTGGCTAACATAATGAAATCCCATCCTACTAAAAATACAAAAATTAGCCGGGCTTGGTGGTACGCCCCTGTAATCCCAGCTACCCGGGAGGTTGAGGCAGGAGAATCGCTTGAACCTGGGAGGCGGAGGTCGCAGTGAGCCGAGATTGTGCCACTGTACTTCAGCCTGGGCAACAAGAGCGAAACTCCATCTCAAAAAAAAACACAAAAAAACCTTGTCTATAAAACTGTCTTCTTTCCCTGTTTTCCCTATCACAGCTAATGGCATCACTTATTCAACCAAGCTACAAACCTGGAAGTCATCTTCAACATCTCTCTATCCTTTATCTTCTGTGTCTAATGGGTCGCTGGTTTCTGTTGCTTCTTGCCTCCCAAGAAATCTCTCAAATCAATGCTCTGCTCTCTGTCTCCCCCTGCTGCTGCCTTAATAAAGATTTCATCCTCTTCCTGTCTCCTGCTCTATCCTGATGCTCGACCTTGGGTACCACCATTGGGTACCAGTATGGTGCCTGATTATAGTAGATGAAAAGTCAATGTGGCCGGGCACGGTGGCTCACGCCTGTAATCCCAGCACTTTGGGAGGCCGAGGTGGGCGGATCCCGAGGTCAGGAGATTGAGACCATCCTGGCTAACGTAGTGAAATCCCGCCTCTACTAAAAATACAAAAAATTAGCTGGGCGTGGTGGTGGGCACCTGTATTCCCAGCTACTCGGGAGGCTGAGGCAGGAGAATGGCGTGAACCCAGGAGGCGGAGCTTGCAGTGAGCCGAGATCGCGCCACTGCACTCCAGCCTGGGTGACAGAGCAAGGCTCCGTCTCAAAAAAAAAGAAAAGAAAAGAAAAGTCAATGTGATTGCAAGAATAACAGTGAATCTTTGTTGGACGTTCTATTGTTTCCAAATTTCCTATTACATAAAAATGTTGTAATATCTTTTTCAGACATAACTCGTCCCTTTTTTTTTTTTTTTTTTTTGATGGAGTTTCGCTCTTGTTGCCCAGGCTGGAGTGCAATGGTGCGATCTCGGCTCACCACAACCCTAGTCTCCCAGGTTCAAACGATTCTCCTGCTTCTGTCTCCTGAGTAGCTGGGGTTACAGGCATGCGCCACCACATCCGGCTAACTTTGTATTTTTAGTAGAGACGGGGTTTCTCCATGTTGGTCAGGCTGGTCTCGAACTCCCGACCTCAGGTGATCCGCCCGCCTCATCCTCTGAAAGTGCTGGGATTACAGGCGTGAGCCACCGCGCCCGGCCCACCTCTCTTCTTTTGAAGGACTTTTCCTTTGGATAAATACCCAGAAGTGTAATTATTGGTCCAAAAGTTTATTAGTTATCTCCATTTGGATTTGTCTAGAAGCAAACCCTGAGATGGAGATTTGAGTCCATTTGAGATTTGAGATGGAGTCTTACATGGGAGGTGATGCCGGGAAACACTAGTAAGGGAGAAGGGAAGGGAAACAGGGAAAAGAAGAAAGCGTGTTTATTAACAACCAGTTAGCACTGTGGGCAACAAGAGGACTTCCAGCCTGCTGGGAAACTCTGGGGGGTGGGGGGCAGTAAAGAACATACTGTCAAAGTTTCCAGACCAAAGGGCAAGGAAACTCAGTTTTAACCACTAACTCCCCACCTGTCATGGTTTGAAGACTGTTTCTAGAGCTACTTAGCTCTCTGCCACTCCTACTTTGCCCTGTATGTAAGCTGAGCTTGTTTCCATGGCCAGAAAAAAAAAATTAAAGCAGAAAATAGCCTCTGGATGTAGAAGTACATGCTGAAGGTATGTGGGAAAGGTGCTTAAAGCACCTGCTGCTATTTTTTTTTTTTTTTTTTTTGAGACAGGGTCTTGCTCTGTCACCTCTGCGGAGTGCAGTGGTACAATCTCAGCTCACTGAAACCTCTACCTCTTAGGCTCAAGCAATCCTCCCACCTCAGCCCCCTGAGTAGCTGGAACCACAGGCGTGTGCCACCATGCCCAGTTAATTTTTGTATTTTTTGTAGAGAGGGGATCTTGCCGTGTTGCCCAGGCTGTTCTTGAACTCCTGGACTCAAGTCATCCACCTGCCTTGACCTCCCACAGTGCTGGGATTACAGGTGTGAGCCACTGTGCCCAGCCAGATATTTTTATAGCTTTTGAAATCCACTGTTAAATTGCTGTATGAAAGAATAGAATCAATGTAATGCTATAGGCAGCGATTTAGAACTATATGTTTGCCCACATCCCTATGAACCCTCCCAACTTGGCCTCCTGGAGTGCTGGAATTAAAGGCATGAGCCACCGTGCTTGGCCTGGTTCCTTTTTATCCACAACTACTTCCCACTTCTTACTATTTTATGCTTATGTGCATATCAGGCTGCTTCTGAAATGAAATACTATTATGTTAATAAAAAACACAAAAGAATTGATATTGTTGCAAAAACATACTTTCTCCCAGGTGAAACAGAGTCCAGACAGTTTTAATTAACATTTCTTTGACTAGAAAAATTTACATGAAGTATATTGTATATTCTTGTTATGAGGAGACACATTCAAATCCCTGAATCTTAATTAGTTCATAGCCATATGAATGATCATCTCTGAGCACCTTTCACTTTCCGCTCTGGGGCTTCTCTGATGCTGTGACTTGCAACACCTAAACGAACACACAATTCACTGAAACATTCTTAACTCAGATGTGCAGAGGAGTTAGCACCAGTGGCACCACTCTTTTTTTTTTTTTTTTCTGTGCACATCCACCTTTAATAGCTTCTTCCGTCACTCTTTAGATCCAATTACTAAAGTCTTATTGAATCCAAAATAGATCACATCATTTACCTGTAAAGAGGAAAAATACCCTAAAAACATTTGTGGAAAAGGTTAAAAATTGTAAGCCATACTAACGATTTGTAAGAACTTTAGAATTTTTTTTTTTTTAAGCAAAGGCAGCTACCAAAGTGTTCTGGGCGGGGTGGGGGGGGGGGCGAGGGAGGTGAGTATGAGTGGAGTTGGACCCTTATAAAGGGACAGCGACAAACACCTCATACTCAAAACAAGGGGACTTCCCCTGTCATTTGCGCCGTCGGGCCACTGCAAATGTCCGTGCTGAGATGCCTACGTTGTCACTCGACACAGCCGCCAAAGCTCACCCGGAGCTGCGTCAGTCCCCACTGGGTTCCTCCAGGCCAAGGAGGTACGACCTCCGCCGCAGCATATAAAGTAAATGTCCAGGACATGGGAAGAAACCCGCCGATACAGCACCCGGGTGCCCAAGCCCCCGAGAACTAGGCCGCGCGGGTACTACGGGGCCAGAAAGCCCGGGCCAGGGCGGGCCCACGAGCGAGCACCGTCGGGAACAAACCGGGAGAAAGAGGAAGAGCCGGCGCCAAAGGTATCCCGCCCACCGCGGTCCCCCCAGAACTCTTCCTGCGCTTGCAAGCGCCACGCTGCCCACAGGACTGCGCCAGCCGGCCGGCGCCTCAACAGAGCGCGCCAGGGAGCAGCGCCCGTCGGGAGCCAAGACGCCTGAGCCATCGAGGCCGCCGCCGGGCCAGGTCGAGGCCGCCGCCGCCGCCGCCGCCGCCGCCGCCGCGGCACCACTCTTAACCGATGTTGATTTCCCCTTTCACACCCCAGGAAGGCAATTATTTGATTTTTTTTTGTTTTGCTTTTGTTTTGTTTTGTTTTGAAACAAGGTCTTGCTCTGTTGCCCAGGCTGGAGGGCAATGGTGTGATCATGGCTCACTGCAGCCTTGACCTCCCGGGCTCAAGTGATCCTCCCACCTCAGCCTCCTGAGTTGCTGGGACTAGGTGCATGCCAACATGTCCAGCTAATTAAAAAAAAGTTTTTTTGTAGAGATAAGGTCTCACTATATTGCCCAGGCTGGTCTTGAACTCCTGAACTCAAGGGATCTTCCTGCCTCAGCCTCCCAAAGTGCTGGGATTATAAATGTGAGCCACTGCACCGAGCCTCCAGGTGGCCGATTCTCGGATGCATTTCTCATGGCTCCTTAGAAAGTCCCAGTGGGGGCCGGGCGTGGTGACTCATGCCTGTAATCCCAGCACTTTGGGAGGTCAAGGCGGGTGGATCACCTAAGATCAGGACTTTGAGGCCAGCTTGACCAACATGGTGAAACCCCATCTCTACTAAAAATACAAAAATTAGCTGGGTGTGGTGTCAGGCACCTGTAATCCCAGCTACTTAGGAGGCTGAGGCAGAAGAATCTCTTGAACCCAGGAGGCGAAGGTTGCAGTGAGCCAAGATCGTGCCATTGCACTCCAGCCTGGGTGACAGAGTGAGTCTCTGTCTTAAAAAGAAAAAGAGAGAGAGAGACAGACAGACAGAGAGAGAGAGAGAGAGACAGAGAGAGAGAGAGAGAGAGAGAGAAAGAAAGAGAGAAAGAAAGAAAGAAAAGAAAGAAAGAAAGAAAGAAAGGAAGAAAGAAAAAGTAAGTCAGTCTCAGTGTGAACAAGCGTCATTTGTGTCTGGTGATGGACGTGACAAGGCTTTCTTATGTTTGCTTTTCCTCCTCACCTGTTCATCCTCCTTCCCTGCACTGCTGCTCTCTAGAAGCGCTTTCCCAAATAAAGTCCTTGCAACAAGCCTTGGTCTCAGGGTCTGCTTTCAGGGAACTCAGGCTAAGGTAATTAGTCACAGACATGGGCCTAGGAAGCAGATTCTCAGGATGGGATTTTGGAGCTGGAAAACACAGAGCTAAGAAACACGAGGCTGGAGTGAGTGGCATCTGGTAACATCACGATTGCTAAGGATCTCACCCTGGTGGCTTGGGATGAGGTGCAGGTGGAAGGTAAAGCACTGGGCATGTGGCAGCTCTGACACCTAAGTGGTATTGGGGCGAGGGGAACTATAACGATTTTGGAGGTTCCTGGTCTTTGTTAAATGCTCTGGACGTCTTGAAAAAAAAGTCAAACAGGTTTCCACCTGCAACTGTCAGCTTGAGGCAGGTTGTGGAAGCAAAGCGGCTCCATAACTGCATTCATGGAGACGCTCATTTTATTCGTAGAATGTGTGGATGAAAATCAGGCACAGCACTGTGTTATTAGGAAAACAGAGATGCAAAGGAGCATGAATGCATAGCCATAAATGGTCTCGTCCTCAAATCATTGACTTGAGAAATACCTGGGTGGACTTGGACCAGCCTGAGAACCTTGCAACCCCAGGTTTTTTTGGCTCCCCCAGGCCAGCAGATGTGCGCCCCCATTCTTACTAGATTCACAGAAGCCCTCACATGAGAAAGTGTCTCAAAGGGCAAGGAAACTCAGTTTTAGCCACTAACTCCCCAAAAGCAACCCCTGCCACCACTTGTTACCTCCATACTAAGAAGCAGGGTCTGATCCCAACACAGCTTAGGTAAACAGTCCAAACTCCAGGCAGAAATCTTATATATCCTAAGAATTGTAAGACCTGTCTAATGTGGACCAACAGGAAGGAGAGGAAAATGGGCAATTATAAAGCTTAAGATGTTGGGCCAAGGAAGATGCAAATATAAGGATGGGTAGAGAAGGATTTATTGATATAGGAATATACCCCTTGGTTTGGGAGTCCTAGTCAGGGCATCTGAATCCACTTCTCATCCACTGCTCGGATAGTTTCCTGAAGCTTGGGCAGGAAGATGACCTACAATGAATGAGGTGAGGATGCTTTAATTTCCTTGGCAGAATACTAGACGAGCTCAGGGAAATTAGACATTAGAATAGGCTTAGTATGTGGTATCAGAGAACCCACTTCCCGGCTGTGTTCTTTGGGAAGACTCAGAGGAGACTCCCTTCATAAAGCACAAAGACCCACTGGTGAGGGAGGCATGACCATCTTTGAGAAGCTTGGTAGGAATTGTCCTTTGTAGGCCAGAGCCGGCCAGTGGAAGATCCTGCCAATGGATGCCAGGTATCAATGGGCATGACGGGATTCTGAAATCGCAGAGAGGAGGCAGCAGCAGAAGGGGAATGAAGTTAGTATCATGGGCAGCAAGGCCAGCATGGCAGTTACGCTGCTGTGACCTGCTAGGATCTGTGGGCTCTGTTCCAGGGGCTGAGACGGGTGAACAACAATTAGGTTGTGACTTGACTTGGACAATTTGAAAAAAAAAAAAAAGAAGTGCTGGGAAGCTGAAGTTTGAAATTAGCCACTGCAATGGAAAATCACAATCCTTCATTCAATTTCCAAAGCTAAGTCAGTTCACAGATCTAATGCACATTGATTGAAGGGAAGCCTGCCAGTTCTCTGTAATGAAAGACTCTGCACCACCACTAAAAATACAGATGATAACTATTACCCTAGTCCTTCACCAATGGAACCTACAGCCACCTAGCAGCCCAATGGTGCCAAGGAAATGGATAGAAAATCTGAGTTGAAACTTCAGATACCACGGGACCTGAAATCCTGTTATGTTCCTCCAGTTACACTCAGAGCTTTTGAAGGGCAGATGATACATGGAGTTCTGACCCAAGTATACCCTGCAGTGGGTCCACTGGGTCCAGGAACATGGCCTGTGGTTATTTTCTCAGCTCCCACATGTATAATTAGGATAGATATATACCTAGTAGTTGGCAGAAACCTTACAATGATTTCTAGACATCTAGACATAGGGGGGAAGACACAGGAGAGAAGTCCCTGAAAAATCAGAAGCAATACTAGAAGGAATTGCAGAGAGTAGCACCACCATAAGCAACTTCAAGGATGGAGGGTGGCAGTCCCCTTCAATTTACCCAAGTGGCCCTTACAAAAATTACACAGATCATGGCAGATAAGGGTGGACTACTGTAAACCTAACTAAATGGAGCCCTGCTGGGCGCGGTGGCTCACACCTGTAATCCCAGCACTTTGGGAGGTTGAGGCGGGCGGATCACCTGAGGTCAGGAGTTCGAGACCAGCCTGGCCATCATGGTGAAACCCCGTCTCTACTAAAAATACAAAAATTAGCCAGCTGTGGTGGTGCACGCCTGTAGTCCCAGCTACTCAGAAGGCTGAGGCAGGAGAATTGCTTGAACCTGGGAGACAGAGGTTGCAGTGAGCAGAGATCGTGCCACTGCACTCCAGCCTGGGTGACAGATCGAGACTCTGTCTCAAAAATAAACAAATAAATGAATAAATAGGCTTGGCGCGGTAACTCATACCTGTAATTCTAGCACTTTGGGAGGCCGAGGTGGGTGCATCACGAGGTCAGGAGTTTGAGACCAGCCTGGCCAACATAGTGAAACCCTGGCTCTACTAAAAATACAAAAATTAGCCAGGCATGGTGGCGCACACCTGTAGTCCCAGCTATGCAGGAGGCTGAGGCAGGAGAATTGCTTGAACCCGGGAGGTGGAGGTTGCGGTGAGCCAGAATCAGGCCACTGCGATCCAGCCTGGGCAACAGAGCGAGACTCCATCTCAAAAAATAAAAATAAAAATAATAATAATAATAAATAAATAGAGCCCCAATCATAGGTTGTATGGACTGTAGCATGGACTACACAATGTGGTATATGGTATGAACAATCAACACAGTTTCCAAAGCTTGTTATGTGGCTACTGAACCATTAATATCATACTTCTCAATATCTGCCAATAAAGAGGATCAAAATAGTTAGTTTTTACTTGGAATGAACAACATTCATCACACTCACTGTCTTGCCCCAGAACCTCTACTTTCTGTCCCAACATAGCCCACCAGGGTCTTGATCTTCTTGGCATCTGCAGAATGTCACATCAGCCCACTGTTTGAGGATGTCATGTTAACTGGACCTGGTGAGCGGGAAGTTGCAAGTCCTCTGGCTGCCTTGGTGAGACGTATGCATCAGAGTGTAGCAGGTACACTGTAAATATTAAGAAATCCAGGCCGGATGCGGTGGCTCACTCTTGTAATCCCCGCACTTTGGGAGGCCAAGGTGGCGGATCACCTGAGGTCAGGAGTTCGCGACCAGCCTGACCAACATGGAGAAACCCCGTCTCTACTAAAAATACAAAATTAGCCGGGCATGGTGGCACATGCCTATAATCGCAGCTACTCGGGAGGCTGAGGCAGGAGGATCCCTTGAGCCTAGGAGGTGGAGGCTGCAATGTGCCATGATTGTACCACTGCCCTCCAGCCTGGATGACAGAGCAGGACCCTGTATTGAAAAAAGAAGATAAAAGAAAAGAAAATTCATTCCCTGTTAAAGTTTTTAAAAGATGAAATGGTCTGAGCATGATGAAACATTCTAGTGTAAAGAACATATCATTGCACCTTGCCCTCCCTACCACTGAGAAAGAGGCAGAGCATTTGGAAGTCCTCTTTGAATTTTGGAGGCATCATGTGCTACACTTAGAAACTTTGCTTCAACCCATTTATCAGATGACTTACAATTCTGAGTGGCGCCCAGAGCACGACCGGGTTTTGCATCGAATCGAGGTCCTGGTGCCCCTCCTCCCCTCGCTGCTGGAGGTTTCTTAGCTGCAGTTCATGCCCTCCATCTGGTTCCCTATGACTCCTTTCTCAGCCCATCGCCATCTGGCCGTACACGGTCATGTGTTGTTGTCCTTGTTGTTTTTTCCTGCTGTTGCCTCCTCACTCCTCCAGACATGATCTGAGACCACCCCAGCCAGCTCTTTCTTTCACATGGCCCACACTCTGGCCACAGAAAGCAGCCACGCATCTTTGCCCTGGCAAGCTTGAGGTGATACTTAATTTTATGTGTCAATCTGACTGCACCATGGGGTGTGCACATTAAACACTATTTCTGGTGTGTCTGTGAGGGTGTTCAGGATGGGACGGACATTTGAACTGGTGGCTCAGAAAAGTCGATTGCTCTCCATCCAATTCGTTAGGGGCCTGAGTGAACCACAAGGGGAGGGTGGGGGAATTCACCCATTTTTTTGGTCCTGCCTCACTGTTTGAGCTGGGACACAGGTTTCCTCCTGCCGTTGGGCTGGAATTTACACCACTGGCTTCCCTTGTTCTCAGGCCCTTGGACTTGGATTGGAATTACAGCCGTGGTTTTCCTGGGTCTTGAGTTTTCAGATGGCAGATCGTGACACTTTTTACCTTCATGCTCATGCAAGCCAGTTCCTCATAATCTCTCTCTTCTCTCTCTCTCTCTCTCTCTCTGTGTGTGTGTCTACAATATGTGCCATATAACAAGGTTTTGTTCAACAACAGACCGCGTATATGACGCCAGTCCCCTAATATTATAATGGAGCTGAAAAATTCCTATCACCTGGTGATGGAGCAGCCATCGTAACATCTTAGCACAGCTCATTGCTCATGTGTTTGCAGTGGTGCTGGTGTAAACACACCTGCTGTGCTGCCAATCATATAAAAGTCTAGCATACAATTACATAAGGTATGGCACGGTGGCACACGCCTGTAATCCCAGCACTTTGGGGGGCCGAAGCAGGTGGATCTCTTGAGGTCAGGAGCTTGAGACCAGGCAGACTAACATGGTGAAATCCCATCTCTACTAAAAGTACAAAAATTAGCTGGGCATGGTGGAGCATGCCTGTAATCCTAGCTACTTAGGAGGCTAAGGTACGAGAATTGCTTGAGCCTGGAAGGCAGAGGTTGCAGTGAGCCAAGATTGCACCACTACACTCCAGCCTGGATGACAGAGCAGAACTCTGTCAAAAATAAAATAAAATAAAGTAAAATAAAATAAATACAATATGTAAGGTACATAATACTTGATAATGGTAATATATGACTATGTTCCTGGTTTATGTCTTTATTTTTATACTTTTAATCATTATTTTAGAGTATACTCCTTCAACTTATTTAAAAAAAGTTAATTCTAAATCAGCCTTAGGCAGGTCCTTCAGGGGGTATCCAGAAGAAGGCATTGTTATCCCAGGAGATGGTATGCATGTTACTGTCCCTGAATACTCCCAGTGGGACAATATGTGGAGGTGGAAGACAGTGATGATGATCCTGACCCTGTGTAGGGACAGGCTAATGTGTGTGTTTGTGTCTTAGATTTTTTTTTCTTTTTTCTTTTTTTTTTAAGATAAGGTCTCACTATGTTGCCCAGGCTTGTCTCAAACTCCTGGGCTCAAGTGATCCTCCCTCTTCAGCATCCTGAAGCTCAGATTACAGATACACGCCACCATGTCCAGCTTGTGTCTTAGCTTTTATCAAGAAAGTTTGAAAAATTTAAAAGAATTAACATTTTTGAAAATAGAAAAATAAGCTTTCAGAATAAGGATATAAAGAAAGAAAACATTTTTGCACAGATGTGCAATGGGTTTGTGTTTTATTTACTTATTCACTTTTTTTTCAGTTGCCCCAGAACTGAGCAGGTATTTATTCATTTATTTTTTGAGACAGGGTCTCACTGTGTTTCTCATGCTGGAGTGCAGTGGTGTGGAGACAGGAGTTCAGCAGGACTGATTTTGCAAAGTAGAGGTCACAAAGACCCCGATGCAGTAAAAAAGCTGGCCCAAACCCACCAAAGCCAAGATGGTGTGGAAAGCAACCTCTGGTCACCCTCACTGCTCATTATACAATAATTATAATGCATTAGCTTGCTAAGAGACACTCCCACCAGTGCCTTGACAGTTTACAATGCCATGGCAACGTCAGGAAGTTACCCTACATGGTCTAAAAGTGGGAGGAACCCTCAGTTCCGGGAACTGCCCGCCTTCTTCCTGGAAAACTCACGAATAATCCATTCCCTGTTTAGAATATGGTCAAGAAGTAACTGTAGAAATAGCTGACCAGCAGCCCTCAGGCTCCTCTGCCTACAGAGTAGCCACCTGTTCCTTTACTTTCTTAATAAACCTGCTTTCGCTTTACTCTGTTGGCTCACTCTTGAATTCCTTCCTGTGTGAAGCCAAGAACCTACTGTGGCCTTCCAGGCTGAACCCCAATTTTGGGTTCACTCTGTGACAGCACAACCAAAGCTCACAGCAGCCTTGACTGTCCGGGTTCAAGCCATTCTCCCACCTCAGCCTCCCGAGTAGCCGGGACTACAGGCATGCACCACCACACTAGCTAATTTTTAAATATTTGTGGAGATGAGGTTTCACCATGTTGCCCAGGCCGGTCCCAAACTCCTATGCTTAAGGAGTCTTTCTGCCTCGGCCTTCCAAAGTGCTGGGATTATAGGCATGTGCCACTGTGCCTCCATGGGTTTATGTTTTAAACTATTATTACAAGAGTCACAAAGTTTAAAAAGTGGCAGTGTGCGGTGTCTCACACCTGTAATCTCAGCACTTTGGGAGGCTGAGGTGGGAAAGATTGCTTAATCCCAGGAGTTCAAGACCAGACTGGGCAACATAGGGAGATCACCGTCTCTATAAAAAACAAAAACAATAACTAGCCGGGCATGATAGTGTGCACCCATAGTCCCAGCTACTTGGGAAGCTGAGGCACGAGAGTTGCTTTAGCCCAGGAGGTCGAGGCTGCAGTGAGCCATGACCATGCCACTGTACACCAGCCTGGGCGACAAAGCAAGACTCTATCTCTACAAATTTTAATTTAAATTTAAAAGATGTTGTGGTAAGCTAAGGTTAATTTATCATTATTGTTGTTGTTATTTTGAGACATGATCTCACTCTGGCACTTAGGCTGGAGTGCAGTGGTGCAATCACAGCTTACTGCAGCTTTGACCTCCCTGGCTTAAGATATCCTCCCTCCTCAGCCTCCTGAGTGGTTGAAGCTACAGGCACGCCCCACCAAGCATAGCTAATATTTTAGTTCTTTTTTTTTTTTTGTAGGGACATGGTCTCCCTATATTGCCCAGGCTGTGTTGAACTCTTGGCCTCAAGTAATCCTCTTGCCTCAGCCTCCCAAAGTGCTGGGATTATAGGTATAAGCCACCACACATGGCCTAGGCTTGAGTTTTAGTAGTTTCATTTAAATGTCCTGCTGCAATGTATTTATTCAATCCCCTGTTGTTGGACATTTAGATTGTTTCCAACTTTTCACTATTAGAATAACAGTACAGGGCCGGGTGCTCACACCTGTAATCCCAGCACTTTGAGAGGCCGAGGTGGGCAGATCACTTGAGGCCAGGACTTGGAGACCAGCCTGGCCAAGATGGGGTAACTCCGTGTCTAGTAAAAATATAAAAATTAGCCAGGCATGGTGGCACGTGCCTGTAATCCCAGCTACTGGGGAGGTTGGGGCATGAGAATCGCTTGAACCCATGAGGTGGAGGTTGCAGTGAGCCAAGATTGCACCACTGCACTCCAGCCTGAGCGACAGAGCAAGACTCTGTCTCAAAAAAAATACAAAACAACCACCCCCTCAAAAATAAATAAATAACAGTACAATTAAGAGCATTTGGATACCCGTTGTCCAGTTTCCTTACAGAGACACCATACTCATCCCTTTCCAATCAGTACTGTGCTCTGTGTGACTAGGGCAACCAAGCCTGGAAATACAAGTCGGCCTTGAACACCAGGACTATTCCTGGTGTGCAGCATCCCGGACAAATGCACACAGCTTGTTCTAATACAAATACGTACACAACTTGTTTTTAAAATGTGTTGCAACATTCATAGGCCCACATGATGTATATAGATTTATTGATAAATTATGATGGATTTAGAATAATAGAGAGATAAGAGGGACTTCTGTATTTAATCATCCAGCCAATGCACATGAAGGTTCTCTGTAGTGTCCAGGCGCCATCTCTTCTTGCTCTTTATTGTCAAGTGCCTTTCCTGGCTAAGGTCATATCTCCAGGAGGAAAAGGTAGCAAAGCTATGAGCACTGCCCATGCTGTGGCTCTCAGGAACCCATTTGTGCTGAAGCAGTGTCGACCTTCCTGTCTCTGCAGCTGCCTGGGACTTATACCCTGCTGGTGGCATCCCCTCTTGTGAGGTTGCAGCATCGCTTGCTGTCGTGCATGCTGGCTTCTGCTGATGCTCTCAAAGCTGCTTCTGGACTTCCTTGATTATCACCAATGCCAGTCCTACCTGCAGGATGCATGAGAATACAAAGGCTGGTGCCTCTTCTGGTCATTGTAAATTCACCACTTGGGATTTTATAGCATGAAGGTGGAAGAGAATCTTCCATCCATGTCTTTTGAACTCTTTAGCATAATCACTGAAGTCTTAGAAAGTGATCTCTCTCAAGGCTGAGCCCACCCTGGTGTCCACACCCTGCCACAGTGCGGTGGGGGGTAGCAAGGAGCCTACACCTTCCCAGCAAGCCAGAAGCTCATCCTGAAGGACTTGAGCCTGACCAGGTAAAATGAGAGATTGTCACATTGACTGCAGGCAAGAGAGGACAACTGCAGGTCCCATTAGCAGTGGATAGCAAAGGTCACGCAAGTCCTCAGAGGACACAGCATGTGGCCTGCAGAGGGGCTGAAGCGACCCCTTTGGGTGCTAGAGGCAGGGGCATGGGTATAGGACACTGCGGCCACCCCCCCACCCTCAGGTGCTGTGGCCTATGGGCAGCATCGCACCCAGATGGGCCACGCTCGTCCACACACATGCCTGTCAGTAACTGAGTGCTCTGAGCTGGCCATGAACCTGAGGCAATCGAGAGTCACCAAAGCCAGTGTGTCGGTGACACTCTGGTGGCCCGGCCGCTTGAGATTCCAGGGGAGAGGCACTGTGCCAGTAAGAGTTTGCATGGACTCACTGCCCTCCAGGAACTGTCCATGGACAGGGAATCTTCCCCACCCTCTTCCCACCCCTCCAGCCCTGGCCAGCACTTTGGGCTGTGGATCTGCACTCACGGTGGGAAGTAGAGGGTCAGAGTGTGCTCTGAAGAAGAGAAATGGGTACAGAAACCCCTGAGAGTCCTGGTCTGGGCCTGGGGTGCCCACCCAGTCGGCCAGACCCAGTGGGGGGCTTGGAACATGTTACGAAGGTGGCACAAAGCAGGCTTCTGAGGCACAGCACCTGCCTCTAAAGGCTGAGTCCCAACCGCAGCAGTCGCTGAATGGTGACTTTTTCTGTCTATTCACTGGAGCGAGGGGTTGTTCTTATTACCACTGTTGGGGGTGGGGAGCAAATGTGGAAAGCTTTGTGCCTTCCAGCCAGAGGTACCCCAGCACTCTGTTTAGCCAGACTGTTAGTAAATGTACAGTAATGGCTTATAGAATAAAGAAAGAGAAGTTCGGGAACACATCGTTCTCATCCACTAAAAATAACTTTGAATGCTTATTTTTTTTAGTAATACTCTTTTAGCTATAGATTTGCTTCATAGGCTCTTGAATCCTTGACTCTCTCCGGCTAAGCTCTGAGACTAACTTTTAAAATGTTGTTTTAAGGAAGGCTAATGTTTTTACAGGGCTTGCCAAAATAGATAGGGATGACTTTTTAAAATAACAGTTCCAGGAAATATGTAATGACTTTTTTTAAACAAAGGATTCAGAATCTGGATTGTGGAAAATGCTGTATTGATGCTTCCTACAACATTTTTGGGAATCTTTTAAAATGAAAGTAATGATTTAATTAACAAAAATATGTGGCTTAAGGGACTGTTTGTGGGGCACTTTGGATTGTTTAAAGCTAATTTTTCGGCTGAGCGCAGTGGCTCACGTCTGTAATCCCAGCACTTTGGGAGGCCGAGGCGGGCGGATCACCTGAGGTCAGGATTTCGAGACCAGCCTGACCAATATGGTGAAACCCTGTCTCTACTAAAAATACCAATATTAGCTGGGCGTGGTGAGGGGCTCCTGTAGTCCCAGCTACTCGGGAGGCTGAGACTCAGAGGTGGATGTTGCAGGGAGCCGAGATCGTGCCACTGCACTCCAGCCTGGGCGACAGAGAGACTCCGTCTCAAAAAATAAAATAAAATAAAATAAACCTGATTTTTCATCTTTTACAAGCGGGAAGGAAATTTTCCATACATTATGAGAGTGAACAGTGATTGTTTCTTTATTATATGGATTTTTAAACTCGCTCAAATTTTAAGTATTTACCCATCCTGGGTTTTTAGACTCTAGCATCCGCTTTCAAATGAAAACTTTATGCAAGCAGTTTTGCCTTTCTAATGTTTTTCCAAGGAACAAAGAAGAGAAGGAGATGGAAGGAAGGAAGGAAGGAAAGAAGGAAGGAAGGAAGGAGGGAGGGAGGGAGGGAAGCAAAGAAGAAGAGAGGAAGGGAGAGAAAGAAAATAGAAACTTCTGGATTCATAATTACGGACCACCTAGCTAATCATATCCACTTTGTGTCTGTGTTTAAAGGACAGGACAAACACACTACGCTTTCAGCCTGATTTCTCAGTGACACCGCCTTGCAAAGACTACTTGTATGTTACTCTCTGCTTTACATGGCTACGTTGTTTGAGGGCAGGAGTTGGTGAGAATTAGTTTGGAAAACTGACTTCTCTCATTCAGACATAGCTTTTCTGGAGCAGAGTTTTCCAGAACATTTACTGGCAGCATAACATAGATGATGTCACAGAAGTAATTCCCGCACTGCCAAGCTGCTTAATTCCCCTGTTAAATGCTGCCCTGATGTCAGCTGCCCACGCCAGGAAGACTGCCAGAGGTGTGCTGCATTCACAGACTCCTTACCACCCCCAGGAAAGCCACCCTTTTCACTAACATTAATTTCAAATAATAAGTTATATTTTTCTAATCAATATTTGATTTATTTGAGATTTGAAATTTTAACTAAGACTTTTAGAAGTTAATTCATTTCAAATGATAGAGCCTGATCTCATGACACCAGTGTCATCTATAGTGGGGCTGGGAAAAGACATGAAGTTGTGGTTTTCGTATGTTTGCCACATACAAACATATAAAAGGCAAGATGGTACTGAAAAATACAAAAGAATCAAGAATGTTAGCATTTTTTAGAAATGCATATGCCCCGCCCTCAGAAAGATGTTTTAAAAAGATATCTAATTCCCATATATATATATATATATATATATATTTTTTTTTTTTTTTCTTTTGAGACGGGGTCTCGTTCTGTTGCCCAGGCTGGAGTGCAGTGGCGGGATCTCGGCTCACTGCAAGCTCCACCTCCCGGGTTCACGCCATTCTCCTGCCTCAGCCTCCCGAGTAGCTGGGACTACGGGCTCCTGCCACCACGCCCGGCTAATTTTTTGTATTTTTAGTAGAGACGGGGTTTCACCATGTTAGCCAGGATGGTCTCGATCTCTTGACCTCGCAATCCACCTGCCTCGGCCTCCCAAAGTGCTGGGAATACAGGCGTGAGCCACCGCGCCCGGCTAATTCCTTTATATTTCTAGTCCTAACTTTCAACGTTTTGGATATAAAATGGCATTTTGTATAATAGAAGACCTTGAAGGTCTTTTTATAGTTCTGTTATTCTAAGAACTCATTGCTTCATCAAAGGAGAGAACTGGACACAGGAATTTAGTGGCCAAGAAAGACCTTCGCTATTAACACTCTTATTCACGTTATATTGCAGTACTGCGTGGGGATGAGTGAGTATCTGGGCTTACTTAGAAGGTACTCTGGTATTTATAAGAATGAAGAGCACCAGTTCATTTTCAGTAAATCTACTGCCATAAATCATTGTGTTCACATCTCTATCAAACATAAATCAAGCCAGGCGCGGTGGCTCACGCCTGTAATCCCAGCACTTCGAGAGGCCGTCACGGGCGGATCACGGGTCAGGAGATCGAGACCATCCCGGCTAACACGGTGAAACCCCATCTCTACTAAAAATACAAAATATTAGCCGGGCGTGGTGGCACACCGCCTGTAGTCCCAGTTACTCTAGAGGCTGAGGCAGGAGAATAGCTTGAATCCGGGAGGCGGAGGTTGCAGTGAGCCGAGATTCGGCCACTGCACTCCAGCAGCCTGGGCAACAGAGCAAGACTCCGTGTCAAAAAAAAAAAAAAAAAAAGAAAGAAAGAAAAGAAAAAGTCCCAGACACGAGTGCCTTCTGTTTTTTTTTTTTTGTTTTTTTTTTTTCTCGAGACGGAGTCTCCCACTGTCACCCAGGCTGGGGTTCAGTGGTGCATCTTGGCTCACTGAAACCTCCGCCTTCCGGGTTCAAGCGATTCTCCTGCCTCAGCCTCCCGAGTAACTGGGATTACAGGCGCCTGCCACCACGCCTGGCTAATTTTTGTATTTTTAGTAGAGATGGCGTTTCGCCATGTTGGCCAGGTTGGTCTCGAACTCCTGACCTCAAGTGATCCGCCTGCCTTGGCCTCCCAAAGTGCTGGGATTACAGGCGTGAGCCACCACACCCGGCCAATACTATTTTTTAATTCTAGCTAATATATACAAATTTTATTGATCTAGATGTACTTTAGAGCAAATTTTAAAAGTCCACCAAAATCTTGTTGGTCGAAACTCTTTTAAATATATAGATTAATTTGGGGGAAATTGCCTTTACAGTATTGAATCTTCCTTTCCACTTGTTCAAATCATTTGTGCATAGTGCAGTGCTTATAGAACTCTCCACATATGAATTCTGCGTAATTTTTCTTAATAATAACAGCGAATACGAATTGAACTCTTACTATGTCGGAAACTGTTTTAAGTACTTTAAGAGTATTAACATTTTAATCCACAACCCTACAGATAGTTCCATTGATTAATATTATTCCTACATAATAGCCCGCGCTGCTCAGCAGACTGGGAGGCCCGGCGTCCCCGGGCGAACGGAGGCTACAGGTTGGGGCAGGCCGGGTGGGGCCCAGCGAGTGGGCGGGGGCGCGAGCGGGAGCGGAAGCGGGCCCGGGCCGCACTGCTGCCGCGTCTAGCCGCCTCCCAGGCTGCCTGCGCCGCGTGGCTCGCCCCCGGGACTTGCCAGCAGCGAGTGGGGCCTGACTAGCTCTTCACCACGCTCCACTGCATCGGCAAGGGCTGGTTCTGGGAGAGGCGCAAGGGCATCGACCTCCGCACCAATCAGGTGGTGGTCATTAGGGCAGTGGACCCGGAGGAGGCCGAGGACGCCCAGCAGGAGAACCCTGCGCTCAGCTGTGCTACAGCCCCGAGTCACCGCTGCTCTTGCTGCTCTCTGTGAGTTTCCCCCGGAGGCCCAGAGCGGCGGCAGCGCGCAAGACTTGCAGAACTCGGGCCCCCTGGAGGAGACCTAACCGCCACGGTCTTGGGGAGGTTCCGGAGGGCCTCGGTTGTCTGCACTCCCAACACCAAGAAACCCCTGAGACGCGAAGCTGCCAGCGTGCTGCCCTCAGAGCAGGGCGACGCAAAGCCAGCGGACCCCGGGGTGGCGGGGCAGCCCACAGACACGCAGGTCGACTGGAACAGTTCTTGGCAGCCTCTTCTGGAGGGCGTCTGAGGTCGTCAGCAGCGGCCTACGACTTCAAGGCAGGCTTCTGACCCCTGGGGATCACGCCCATCGGACTAGCCAAGGAGGAGCCTTCGCACTCCGACCTGCACCGCATGCGCGCCCAGTTCCTGATCCCCAAGAGCAGCCCGTCTGAGCTGGAGGACCGCGGCAAGCCCTTGGAGGAGCTGGCAGGCCTGGCCCGACGAGGACCCCGCGTCCTGACACTGTCAAGGAGCTCCGGGAGCGCAAGGCGACCGCGCGCTCCGCCAACACCTTTTCTTCCGGGGTTCATGGGCGCTGCCGGCGCTGGAAATCCCAGGGGCACGGCGAGGAGCCCAGCTCCTAGGATCCCGACATCGCCAGCGCGGCAGAGGACGCGGATCAGGCCTCCCCGCAACCCGGCGTCCCTCTACAGTCCGGCCGAGTCCACGCAGCAAGCTGTACTGGAGGACGGCCCTGCACGGCTCGCAGAAGCCCGCGGAGCCCGTCGAGAGGCCCCGTGTTCGTCCACGCTGGGCGGCGCGCCTTCCGGGAGCGCAGAGAGAAGCGCAGGCAGAGCGGCGGCCGCAAGACCCGCCTTGGAGCTCCACGAGCCGGTGCTGCACACGGCAGAATCCCCTCGACGTGGGCCCGCAGAGCCGGGGACAGAGAGAGTCTGAGCTCTGTTAACAGTGGTGCTGACTTGGAAGGTGCCTCGTGTGCGTTGGGCCTACAGGCCACGTCTCCTCCCACCCCTGCGCTGTGCCGTCCTGCACGCGGGGATGCGGGTCCCTGCGACCATCTCCCCTCCCCTCCTGGCCCCACTGCAGCCACACCAGGCAGCGGAGCCCGACCCCTCTGCGGGCCCGCGCGGCCCAGTGGCTGCTCAGACTAAGGAGCACAGCAACTATCGGGCAGCTCTGCCTCCTTCTTCCACGGGTTATTGGGGAGGCGACAGGGCAGCCCCCAGAGGAGCGCCCCAGCCGGGCCTTCTTATCCTGCCCCGGGCCGCTGTGCTCTCGGCCCGTGATGGCCATAGATTTGCCTTGTGGTGTTGGATCAGGAACTGTGTCTGCTCTTAAGTGCTTGTGTGATCCAGAATGTTTTGTTTTTTAAGGAAATTGGTCTTTTCAGTTGGGTGTTGAGTGGTTTTCCAGATCACGTCTGATGGATCCTCGGATTATAACAGAGAACATGGCGGCCCAGAGGGAATGGACCCAGATGGTGTCATCTAGAGCAACTGGGATGAGATTGTTGATAACTTTGATGATATGAACTTAAAGGAGTCTCTTCTTCGGGCCATCTATGCTTATGGTTTTGAGAAGCCTTCAGCTATTCGACAGAGGGCTATTATTTTCTGCATTAAAGATCCAAAAAGTAATTCCGGCACCTGGAGACTATATGGGAGCCTGCATTGTCTTGCTTGCATTGGTGGAACAAATGTTCGAAATGAAACGCAAAAACTGCAGGCCGAAGCATCACATACTGCTGTTGGTACACCAGGGAGAGTGTTTGCTTTGTTAAACAGAAGATATTTTCTCCAGAATGGATCAAAACCTTTGTTTTGGTTGAAGCAGATGAAATATTGACCCAAGGGTTTAAGAATCAAATAATGAGATTTTCCAAAAATTAAATACAAGTATTCAGGTTGTGTTGCTTTCTGCCACAGTGCCAACTGATATGTTGGAAGTGACCAAAAAATTCATGGGAGATCCAATTTGAATTCTGGTGAAAAAGGAAGAATTGAACCTTGAAGGAATCCGTTTTATATTAATATTGAGAGAGTAATGGAAGTTGGATACACTTTGTGACTTGTACGAGACACTGACCATTACACAGGCTGTTATTTTTCTCAATACAAAGCACACTGTCAACTGACTGAGAAAATGCATGCCGCGGACCTCACAGTTTCTGCTCTGCGTGGTGACATGGACGAGAAGGAGAGAGATGTTATCATGCGGGAATTCCAACCAGGGTCAAACCGTGTTCTGATCACTACTGACTTGGTTTGTGGGACTGATGTGCAATAAGTGTCTTTGGTTATAAGCTATGATCCACCTACCAATTGTGAAAACAACATTTGCAGAATTGGCAGAGGTGGTTGATTTAGGAAGAAAGGTGTGGCTATAAACTTTGTTACTGAAGAAGGCAGGAGGATTCTTGGTGACACTGACACTTTCTACAGTACTACAGTGGAGGAAATGCCCATAAATGTGGCTGACCTTATTTAATTCCTGGGATGAGATAGTTCTGGATGCAGTGCTCAATGTTGTTGAATGGGTGATCACAACCTGCATTATGCCTCTTTCTTTGGGAATATTTGAATCTTGTCTCAATGCTCATAATGGGCCAGAAATACAGATTTTGATAGCAAAGCAACATTAGTCATGAGGTCTTGTGAGGAAAGTCATTGGCTTTATCCTCTTTAGAGTTAGACTGTTGGGGTGGGTATAAAAGATGGGATTTGTAAAATCTTTCTTCTTTAGTAATTTATTTCTTAGTTCTGTAGAAATGGTTGTATTCAATGTTCTCTATCATTTAATACTATACTTGTGGACTAAAAGATACAAGTGCTGTATAAAATCAGCTAACTATGTTAAATGACCATATCTGTCTTTACTGCGTTTGTCATTAGCCTGAGTAGAAAGGCCTTTCAAATTGTTTTTTAAGAAAGCATTTGAATGCATTTTGTTTGGTATTGTGTTTTTTGTTTTTTGTTGTGAGACAGTGTCCCGCTCTGTCACCCAGGCTGGAGTGCAGTGGTGCCATCTTGGCTCACTGCAGCCTTGACCTCTTGGACTCAAGTGGTCCTTCCACCTCAGCCTCCCCAGTAGCTGGGACTACAGGCACTGGCCACCACACATGGCTGATTTTTGCATATATTGTAGATACAGGGTTTCACCATGTTGCCCAGGCTGGTCTTGAACTCCTGGACTCGAGGATCTTGCCCACCTCAGCCTCCCAAAGTGCTGGGATTACAGGTGTGATTACTGGCGCCCAGCCTTTGGTATTATATTTATTCAATAAAGTATTTAATTAGTGCTAAAAAAAAAAAAAAGAAAATTGAATTTGTTTCCTTAAATATCCTTAGGTTAAGATGTTAGTTTTCATAAAACATTGAGAAGCCTCTGCCAATTTCAATAAAGACCTGACTTGGAAAAAATATATATGTATACACACACACACACACACACACACACACACACACACACATATAATTCCTATATAATTTATATTTTTGTTGCTGTGTTGAGTGGGATGATTCCCCTTTGCATTTTCTAGCTGAATAATGATGATATAGGAAAGCTATTGATTTTTGTAAATATGTTTTGTAACTGGTGCATATCTCTTTTTTGTTTTAACAAGTTAAAGAAGCCTGGGCAACATGGCGAGATCCCACCTCTATAGGAAATTTAAAAAATTAGCCAGGCATGGTGGCATGGAGTGAAGTCTCAGCTACTCGGGAGGCTAAGTGGGAGGATTGATTGGATCCAGAAGTTTGAGGTTGTACTGAGCTATGATTGTACCACTGCACTCCAGCTTGGGTAATAGAGCAAGACTCTGTCTCAAAAAACAACAACAAAAAACAAATAAGTTAAAGAAAGTAACAGCCCTGTAATCCCAGCACTTTGGGAGGCCAAGGAGGGCGGATCATGAGGTCAGGAGATTGAGACCATCATGGTTAACACGGTGAAACCCTGTCTCTATTAAAAATACAAAAAATTAGCCGGGCGTGGTGGCGGGCGCCTGTAGTCCCAGCTACTCAGGAGGCTGAGGCAGGAGAATGGCGTGAACCCGGCAGGCAGAGCTTGCAGTGAGCCGAGCTCTCGCAGCTGCACTCCAGCCTGGAGACAGAGCGAGACTCCATCTCAGAAAAAAAGAGAAAGTACCAGCTCAGCAACCACTTAAGAATGCTGCTCTATAATAAATAACGTATGATTATACACACTTATATTAGCATAAGCTTTTTAGTAAACTTTATTTGAATATCATTTGCCACATATTGATGTTTTTGTCAAGAACAGACCACGTATACAATGGTGGTACCATAGAATTACAATGGAGCTGAAAAACTCCTTTTTTTATTTTATAATTTTTAAATCTTATTTCATTTCATTTATTTTTTATTATTTCTTTTACCTAACAATAATAACTTAAGCAGAAAAATTCCTAATGCTTAGTGACATCTTGATGATCCTGACCCTGTGTAGGTCTAGGCTAATGTGTGTATTGTGTCTTAGTTTTTAACATAAAAGCTTAAAAAGTAAACAATAAAAATTTCTTAAAATAGAAAAAAGCATATAGAATAAAGATATAAAGAAAAGTAATATTTTTGTACAGATATACAATATATTGTGTTTTAAGCTAAGTGTTATAAAAGAGTCAAAAGTTTAAAAAATTTTTAAACGTTTATAAAGTTAAAAAGCTGGCTGGGTGCAGTGGCTCACTCCCGTAATCCCAGAACTTTGGGAGGCCGAGGCAGGAGGATCATTTGAGGTCAGGGGTTCAAGACGAGCCTGGCCAACATGGAGAAAGCCCATCTCTACTAAAAATATAAAATATTAGCCGGGTGTGGTGCTGGGTTCCTGTAATCTTGGCTACTCTGGAGGCTGAGGCAGGAGGATCGCTTGAACCCGGAAGGTGGAGGTTGCAGTGAATTGAGATCCCGCCACTTTACTCCAGCCTGAGCAACAGAGTGAGACTCTGTCTCAAACAAACAAACAAACAGAAAAACCCAAAAAGTCAAAAAGTTACAGTAAGCTAACGTTAATTTATTACTAAAGAAAGAAAAATGTTTTTTACAAATGTAGTGTAGCCTAAGTATAGGGTGTTTGTGAAGTCTGCAGTAGAGTACAGTGATGTTCCAGGCCTTCACATTGCTTCAGAGCAACTTCCAATCCTGCGAGCTCCATTCATGGTAACTGCCCTATACAGGGTTATCATTTTTATCTTTTGTACTGTATTTTTACTCTATCTTTTCCATGTTTAGATATGTCTAGATGCACAAATACTTACCATTGTGTTCCAATTACCTACAGTATTCAGTACAGTCACATGCTGTACAGGTTGATAGTTTAGGAGCAATGGGCC
The DNA here is from genome assembly GCF_000001405.40 of Homo sapiens. NCBI lineage: Eukaryota > Metazoa > Chordata > Mammalia > Primates > Hominidae > Homo > Homo sapiens. Next base: position 12,916,770 of record NC_000018.10, read on the forward strand.
ATATCATATAGCCCAGGTATCTACGAGGCTATACCATCTAGGTTTGTGTAAGTCCACTGTGTGGTGTTCACACAATGACAAAACCTCCTAATGACACATTTCTCAGAACATACCATTAAGCGACATATGACTGCTTTTGTCATTAATCATATTTAACAATAAGAATTACTATCAACTAAGAAGATTCCACTAAGTGACAACACTGTATTTGACACATTACATATGCAATCTCATTGAATCCTTGCCACAACACTGTGTAGTAAGAATCGTCATATCCATTTTACAAATGAAAAACTGAGGCTCAGAGAAAATCAGTAACTTCTCTAAGATCATACATTTCTACTCTGTTGCTTTGTATAGAACTTGTAAACATACACCACCTGTTCTCAAGTTTTAAAATTTTTACCGGGCATGGTGGCTCATGCCTATAATCCCAGTGCTTTGGGAAGCCAAGGCAGGAGGCTCACTTGAGGCCAGGAGTTTGAGGCCAGCCTGGGCAACAAAGCATTTGTCATTAATTATAGAGACCTCATCTCTACAAAGAAATTTTAAAAACTAGCTAGGCATGGTGGCACATGCCTGTGGTCCCAGCTACTCAGAAGGCTGAGGCGGGAGGACTACTCGAGCCCAGGAGTTCAAGGTTGTAGTGAGCTATGATGGCGCCACTGTACTCCAGCGTGGGTGACAGAGTGGGAGCCTGTCTCTAAAAAAAAACCTAAATAAATAAAACTGTTAATTATAAAAGACTGTAATTAGACTTTGGTAGTCTAAGATAAAGAGAAGTGAAGAGGGCCCAACGTGGGTGAATTTCTGCAGTGCTGTGTTCTTAAAACCTGGGTTTTAGCATGCACGTCTTCCTCTCTATAATTTCACTATAGTTTGAGATAAGGAGGTGTGATGTTGTTGTCTGAAGGTGGCTTCTGAGTCCATGAGTCTATGAATGTCTTATCTGAGTCTCAAAAAGCTTTAATTTCTCAGTGTGGTGAGAAAAAAAACTCAAAAAGAAAATTATATTGATCACTTCCCAGACTCAAAAGTATTAATATTTGCCTTTTCTGTCTCTTTTATTTTTGTCCAAGACGGAGTCTTGCTCTGTGCCCAGGCTGGAGGGCAGTGGCACAATCTTGGCTCACTGCAACTTCTGCCTCGTGGGTTCAAGCAATTCTCCTGCCTCAGCCTCCTGAGTAGCTGGGATTACAGGCATGTGCCACCACACCCAGCTAATTTTTGTATTTTTAGTAGAGATGGGGTATTTTTAGTAGAGACCATGTTGGCCAGGCTGGTCTTGAACTCCTGATCTCAGGTGACCCACCCACCTAGGCCTCCCAAAGTGCTGAGATTACAAGCATGAGCCACCGCGCCCAGCCTACCTTTTCTTTTAAAGTCTATTTTAAGTTGTGCTAAGGCTTTATTTCAAGGTGTCTCATAAACGCTACCTTTCTCCTTAATATTTTCACTTTGTTAGCTACACTAGAATTAACTCAGACCTGTTAGCAATGAGACTATCATGTTCTTCCATTCTCCTGAAGTTGCCTGCTCTCAGGCAGAGGTTGTGACAGTTTTATGAGGTGGTGCCATTTCTGGTTTTGTTTGTTTGTTTGTTCTGTTTTTTATGAGACAGAGTCTTGCTCTGTCACCCAGGCTGGAGTGCAGTGGTGCAATCTCGGCTCACTGCAACCTCCACCTCCTAGGTTCAAGCGATTCTCTTGCCTCAGCCTCCCTGGTAGCTGGGGATACAGGCGTGCACCACCATGCCCGGTTAATTTTTGTATTTTTAGTAGAGATGGGTTTTACCATGTTGGCCAGGCTGGTCTTGAACTCCTGACCTTAAGTGATCCACCTGCCCCAGCCTCCCAAAGTGTTGGGATTACAGGCGTGAGCCACTGCACCCAGCCCATTTCTGGTACCTAAAGCTTTTGTGTTTCTTTCTCTCTCCTCCTAGTCTAACACTTTTAGAAATTTTATCATTTCTTTTTTCTTATAATGAAATACTTAACTCCAGCTTTTCATAACATGCCAGGTATGTAACCGAAAAAGGTGCTTTCTCCTTCTACTTGGAAATTATAACCTTTCTTTCTTTAAGGCAACTCTTCTCACAGCTTATGGTTATGATCTACAGATCTTTATGGTAGTCTCAACTCAGAGTTGCCCTTAAAACAAAGTAGGGTCTACCAGTCATGTAAGTTATTTGACTTCATGTAGACACACAGGAAAGGTTGATTGTACTGAACTCAGGCAGGTCCGTTTGTTGAACTGAAAGCCTGAATCTAGCCAGTGATATTTCCAACCCAGTTCTGTTGAGAATTAGTTAATAACCTTCAGCTTGGTATAATGCTTATAAAATTTATTAGATTTGAATAAATAAATTGAAGAGAACCCTGGTTTGGAAATTCAAACATACATATACGTGACTATGGGAGAGAAAGGTACAATGAACTGTGATTTGGTAAAATGTCACATTAAAGAATTATTATTTTATAACTTTAGCAGCTTTAATAAAAGCTGCTAAAAATAAACTCAAGATGGATCAAGGATTTAAATCTAAGACCTGAAACTATAAAAATTCTGGAAGATAACATCAGAAAAACCCTTCTAGGCCGGGTGCAGTGGCTCACGCCTGTAATCCCAGCACTTTGGGAGGCCAAGATGGGCGGATCACGAGGTCAGGAGATCGAGACCGTCCTGGCTAACATGGTGAAACCCCGTCTCTACTAAAAATACAAAAAATTAGCCGGGCACGGTGGTGGGCGCCTATAGTCCCAGCTACTCGGGAGGCTGAGGCCGGAGAATGGTGTGAACCCGGGAGGCGGAGCTTGCAGTGAGCTGAGATTGCGCCACTGCACTCCAGCCTGGACGACAGAGCGAGACTCTGTCTCCAAAAAAAAAAAAAAGAAAAAGAAAAACCCTTCTAGACATTGGCTTAGGCAAAGATTTCATGACCAAGAACCCAAAAGCAAATGCAATAAAAACAAAAATAAATAGCTGGGACTTAATTAAACAAAGAGCTTTTGCACGGCAAAAGGAATAGTCAGCAGAGTAAACAGGCAATCAACAGAGTGGGAGAAAATCTTCACAATCTATACATCTGCAAAGGACTAATATCCAGAATCTATAATGAACTCAAACAAATTAGGAAGAAAAAAACAAACAATCCCATCAAAAAGTGGGCTAAAGGACATGAACAGACAATTCTCAGAAGAAGATATACAAATGGCCAACAAACATATGAAAAAATGCTTAACATCACTAATTATCAGGGAAATGCAAATCAAAACCACAATGCGATACCACAATGTGATACCACAATCCTGCAAGAATGGCCATAATAAAAACAATTGAAAAATAATAGATGTTGGCATGGATGCGGTGAACAGGGAACGCTTCTACACTGCTGGTGGGAATGTAAACTATACAGCCACTGTGGAAAACAGTGTGGAGATTCCTTAAAGAACTAAAAGTGGAACTACCATTTGATCCAGCAATCCCACCACTGGGTATCTATCAGAGGAAAACAGTCATTATACGAAAAAGATACTTGCACACGCATGTTTATAGCAGCACAATTCACAATTGCAAAAATGTGGAACCAACCCAAATGCCCATCAATCAACAAGTGGATAAAGAAACTGTGATATATACATATATATATACATACATATATAATATATATATACATATATATATATATACAATGCAATACTACTCAACCATAAAAAAGGATGAATTAATGGCATTTGCAGCAACCTGGATGAGACTGGAGACTATTATTCTAAGTGAAGTAACTCAGGAATGGAAAACCAAACATCATATGTTCTCACTCATAAGTGGGAGCTAAGCTATGAGGATGCAAAGGCATAAGAATAACACAATGGACTTTGGGGGATAAAGGGCAAGGGGTGGGAAGGGGATGAGGGATAAAATACTACAAATTAGGCCAGGCACGGTGGCTCACGCCTGTAATCCCAGCACTTTGGGAGGCCGAGGTGAGGTCAGGAGTTCAAGACCAGCCTGCCCAACACGGTGAAACCCCATCTCCACTAAAAATACAAAAATTAGCCGGGCATGGTAGCAAGCACCTGTAATCCCAGCTATTTGGGAGGTTGAGGCAGGAGAATCGCTTGAACCCGGGAGACGGAGGTTGCAGTGAGCCGAGATCGTGCCACTGCACTCCAGCCTGGTTGACAGAGCGAGACTCAGTGAAAAACAAACAAACCTACAAATTGGGTGCAGTGCGTACTGCTCGGATGATAGGTGCACCAAAATCTCAGAAATCAGCGCTAAAGAACTTATTCATGTAACCAAACGGCACCTGTTTCCCAGTAACCTATGGAAATAAAAATTAAAAAAAAAAATAAATAAAAGCTGCTGAAACCACTTAGCCTCCTTCACAGTGAAAATGGTGCTATGTTTTTCACGCCTATTTGCAAACTTTGTGCCAAACTAAATGTTAACAAGAACTTTAAAGAAAAGTTTCACCTCCAAACCACAAACAGTGCTCTGAAAGTGCAAAAACAGCAAAAAGTCAAACACAAACAAGCCTAAAGCTTTGTGAGGCCAGAAGAAACCACAGGTCATAGAAAAATACACTTTCCCTTTCACACTCTCAGTATCATACTCGGGGGCTGTCATGAGAGCGAGGGTGTCTGGGCTTAATACAGTCACCTTGCAGCACCTAAGCCATGACACCTCAGCTATCTGCGTGTAGCACAAGGAGGACACCGAACAGGGATGGAATGTGCACATCACTGAGAGCGTTTTTATGTTGACTTTCCTCTCTGTATCAGCACCAGAACGTCTTCCTGTTAGCTTCAGTGGTCTCTGTGTTGTCAAGGAAAATGACCCACAGTAACTGTCTACTCACCAGCTTTGCCTAAGTCACACTTATAAGGCTCTTGATGCGTAACAGGCTTATTAGTTTCCAAGCAGGTAGCATTGATTGGTAAAGGAGGAAAAGACTCCCCATTTATGCTATCAATCAGCCTCTCTTACAGTAATCTTTTAGGCATTTCAACAGCAAAATAGGCAGGTGTTTACCAAAAAAGCCTTCATAAGCACATCAAAGTTCATATTTTAGCTGCTTAAGAAAAAAAATTAACTATGGGACATTTCCATAAACAATAGACCAGGCACGGTAGCTCATGCCTGTAATCCCAGCACTCTGGGGGGCCGAGGCAGGTAGATCGTCTGAGGTCAAGAGTTCTAGGCCAGCCTGGCCAACATGGTGAAACTCTGTCTCTACCAAAAATACAAAACATTAGCTGGGCGTGGTAGTGCACGCCTGTAATCCCAGCTACGTGGGAGGCTGAAGCATGAGAATCACTTGAACCCGGGAGGTGGAGGTTGCAGTGAGCTGAGATCACACCACTGCACTCCAGCCTGGGCAACAAAGTGAGACTCCATCTCAATAAATAAATAAATAAATAAATAAATAAATAAATAAATAAATAAATATTTTGTCTTAATGACTCATTTGCAGAAGTCAATGTATCACTCAAGGCAATGAAGTTTAGCATTATAGAGTTCAAGATCATATACAAAGACCTGTCCTCAAATTCCCCTCAAATGAAAAACAGTATGCCAGTAAGCTTAGTAAATAATTCGTGGAAAAAAAAATACATCTCTAGAAAATGATTTTTTTAAATTTTATTCATTAGATTGCACTGTTTATAACAGCAACAAATTGGATGCCTGCCAGTAGAAAACTGGTTAAAATACTGGCACATAGTAAATGCTCACTAAATGCTTACTGAATGAATACATGAATGATAACAGTTTCCATTGCTTCCAAAGCTCCCTTGCTTCCCTCCTATTCTCTAGGCTCCTGTTGATTCTGTGAGCTCCAAAAGCTCTCCAGTAAATCTTGTCTCTGTTTATGATTGCAACCCAAAAAAGCTGATGGATACATAATATTAAATGTGGTAAAAAACCAAATTCACTTTATACCAATTCCATTCTACAAACAATATTATATTTCAGTTCAATATAATTATAAAGGTATAGTTTTAGAATTAGTTCCGTTGTTTCCTGATATACCAAATCCTACTTCAACCCTTAAGAGGTTTAAAAATAAAGTGAGGTCTCTTCACTTGACATATGTATCAGAATGGAACACTGGTAATTAGAAGACTTATCAGAGATCATAAGCTCCAATGGACAGAGATGTCCCAGACAGTCACAAGGTGAAAAAAGGTACACCAGTGACAATTAGGAAGACGCACAGGTTGGTGGTAGGCATATTGATTTAGTCGCAAGTAGAATTGGCCAAGTAGGACAATGAAGAAGGATACTGAAGGATATTGAAAGGATACTGAAAAACAGGGTCAAGGAAAGCAGAAGGCGCTCTTTACTGGAGGACTTAATACAAAATAGGTAGCAGGGAAACCCAAGATTATCCTATTCAAAATATGGGACCTGAAGGGCAGATCTAGTAGGGGAAAGCAGTTCTATGCTGTAACTTACACTCCACAAGTACTGCCATCCAAATAGCCTGTATTTGGGCTGGGTGCCGTGATTCACACTTGTAGTCTCAGCGCTTTGGGAGGCTGAGGCGGGAGAATCATTTGAAGCCAGGAGTTAAAGACCAGCTTGGGTAACAAAGTGAGAGCCCATCTGTACAAAATAAAAAGTTAGCTGGGGCCAGGCGCTGTGGCTCATGCCTGTAATCCCAGCACTTTGGAAGACCGAGGCAGGTGGATCACCTGAGGTCAGGAGTTCGAGACCAGCCTGGCCAACATGGTAAAACCCCATCTCTACTAAGAATATAAAAATTAGCCGGGCGTGGTGGCACGCGCCTGTAATCCCCGCTACTCAGGAGGCTGAAGCAGAAGAATTGCTTGAATCCGGGAAATAGAGATTGCGGTGAGCCGAGATTGCGCCACTGCACTCCAGCCTGAGAGACAGAGTCAAAACAAAACAAAACAAAAAACAAAAAACAAAAAAACAAAACAAAAAAACAACCAAAAAAAAAACTTTAAGATAAAAGAATGTATGAGTTGGCTTTCATTCATTTATGGTTTGAACAAATATATTTGCATTTGCCAAGATGTATTAGTCCCTTATTCTACCTTGATAAAACCATGATCCGGGTGCAATGAGGCATGAGAAACCTTGGCAGCAATTGCCTTCATGCTGTCCAGAGGCAGAAACATTGTTTCTAGGTGGGAGCTCCTGATTCCAAACCTCTCACCTGGAAGTGACCTTGAGTGGGTGATAAAATCTCCCTTCTCACCTCCATCTTTTACATTGAAAACACCCTTAATTTCAGTGAGAAATGGAATCAGTATAATGATGGATGAATCACAAATACACACACACACACACACACACACACACACACACACACACACGTGACCCTCTTGCCTCAGCCCCTCAAGTAGCTGGGATTACAGGCGCCTGCCACCACACCTGGCCTAAAAAAAACTAAGGTTTGTTTTTTAATTTCATTTCATTAGTACTGCAGATTACTCCATGAATATTGAGTTACTATTAACAAGTTCTGTAAGTTGACTGGAAAACATCTATCATAAGACAGGGCAGCCACTAATGGGCAGAAACAGGAGCCATGCAGAAGAATCCATTACGTTGTCCTCCAGCGTCACTGAGAAAAATGCCTGTATGATAATTCATTGTGAAGGGCTGGACTCTACAGGACTTTATAAATACCAATGTCAGCGTATCCATTCATCACATAGAGTGGCTAATATATATTTTTCATGCAACTTTCTAAGAATTAAAATGTATTCATATAGAAAAATATCTGTCATTTATTTTTGTTGGATTCTAATTTATAATCATGAAAATCAATAATCTAATTTGAATTTACTTGCTCTTCTTACCATCATCTAAATCATTATTAAATGAAGCCAAGTGATATGCTTCTCTTCATCTCTAAGTGGAAATGCACATTCAATTTATTTTAAAACATTTTGCAAAGCAACATCACTTTCGGAAAACACTTAATAATTGCCTGGCAAATTATTCTCTACGGCCTAGTGCTATTCTTGTTGAATTCAAGAGCTCGATGCAGGAAAACCTCGGGGGACTGAATAAAGAGCATCCTCCTGTTCTAAAGACGGGCCAAAGGGAAAGAAGCCCAGATTCCACAATCTTTCTCCCAAAACTTGAACGTTCAATTAGCTAAGTTTAGCTGCCCTGGCCCTTCTTGTGCTAAGCTTGGTTTGTTCCCATCTCTCTGTTGCACTCAGGAGCTGAAGGTGCCCTTTTCCATGCAGCATAGACATAGTTGTGGAGGCACGGGGGAGACAGGGCACCCTGCTACGGGAGGGTCTGAGGACACAGTGCTGCCTGCAAATCCTGTGCTCAGCATGGCTCTTCCTAGTTCAGCACAGGAACTGCTTGCCCTTCTTCTGTGTCCCCAAACCTAGAGGAGATATTCAAAATATGTAAGGGCCAGGACAGTGAGGGCACTGATGAATCAGAAGAGATGCCCACCAGTAAGCTGAACCGGGACTTCCCAGCTAATGGTCAGCCCTGTTCAGACCCCTAAGCCCTAACCTGCCTCCTCAGCTCTCCATCCACCCCAGCCCCTTGAGAGTGTTTCTAGATACCAAAGAGTAGCCAAATGTGTCAGGAGACATGGCCTAGGGCAAGACATGCGGGAGCAGCATTCTGGTCTGGACAAATGACAGGGGAGGATGAGCCTCAAAGGAGGAAGGTAGGAGAGAGAGAGAAGTGCCAAAGAAATTAGAATTAAAAAGAGACAGGCTGGGCCGGGCGCGGTGGCTCAGGCCTGTAATCCCAGCACTTTGGGAAGCCAAGGCAGGCAGATCACGAGGTCAGGAGATGGAGACCATCCTGGCTAACACGGTGAAACCCGGTCTCTACTGAAAAAAATACAAAAAAATTAGCCAGGCGTGGTGGCAGGCACCTGTAGTCCCAGCTACTCGGGAGACTGAGGCAGGAGAATGGCGTGAACCTGGGAGGCGGAGCTTGCAGTCAGCCAAGATTGTGCCATTGCACTCCAGCCTGGACGACAGAGCAAGACTCTGTTTCAAAAAAAAAAAAAGTAGAGACAGGCTGGGCGCAGTGGCTCATGCCTGTAATCCCATCACTTTGGGAGGCTGAGGGGGGGACGGATCACTTGAGGTCAGGAGTTCAAGACCAGCCTGACCAACATGGAGAAACCCCGTCTCTACTAAAAATACAAAAATTAGCTAGTCCTGGTGGTGCACGCCTGTAATCCCAGCTATTTGGGAGACTAAGGTGGGAGAATTGCTTGAACCTGGGAGGCAGAGGCTCCAATGAGCCAAGATCATGCCACTGCACTCCAGCCTGGGCAACAGAGGGAGACTCTGTCTTAAAAAGAAAAAAGAAAAGAAAAAGGAGATAGACACACACCCCGCTGCTGGGATACATGCAGTTGGGCCAGGTCTGCAGGGACTCAGATGATCTGCTCTGGCTCTCGCCCAACAGCTTGGAATGGTCCAACTCATCTCACAGGCAGTGGGCAGTTAAAGGGTCTGCTGTTTTGCATGTTTGCTCCTGGGGCATGGTCCTCAGAACAGGCAGGAGTGCACAAGACAGGGTAAAGCCCCTCAGAGTGCCAAAGGGTGTGTTCATATGCCTGACAATATGCTCTTCTGGCAGGGAGATTGGCAGCTGCATATGCCTGGGAGGATTTGGGGAACCCAGGGACCTGCATGTCCAGCTAGAAATGCCACACTTCTTCCTCCCCTGTGTAGCCTTCTCGGGGTGGACATGTTTCTGTGTCCGCCGCCGTTAGAGAAACCTTATGCCATTTCACTGTTTGTGTTTTGTGAATCGCTGTCTATTGTGGCAGCAGCACACATACACATTTGCAGACAGATTCCAGAACAAGAGTGGTAATTGACCGTCCACAAAAGCACTTGGCTCCCAGGTTATAAGCCACATTTTCTATATTATTTATCTTTCTTCCAAGACAGAACTCCCGTGAGGAAAAGGCTGACTCACAACCATTTCTCCAGTCACCTCCCTTGAAGAACATTAGGGTAGGAAGCTTCCTGGTGAAAGGACCTTTGTTCACCTGGATGCAGTCTTTGGCTCTGTCTCCCCTAGACATTCCTAGGAAAAGGGGAGCACATCTAAGGAAAACAAAGCTGCAGTTTGGCTCATCAGTGGGACTTACCCTTGGAAGGTGATACCTAGCTGAAAGGCAACCTGGAGGTGATTTTTGTTCAGCAGTCAGCTGTGTATAATGGCAACTATTGAATAATGAGGCCTACGGCTAGTTGATTGATTAAAATGGAGCGTGGTGTAGTGCCTGGCCACTCAAAATACGATCCATGGATCAGTATCAGCACTACCTGAAGCTTATCAGAAAAAGAAGCACTTGGTCCCATCCAAGACCTATGTGTGAGAATCTGCATTTTAACAAGACCCCCAGGTGAGCTGTAGAAGTGAGCTGCAGTTTGAGAAGCCCTGGTGTGGTGTGCAAAGGTGCTGGACTTGGAGTTGGAAGATCTGGTTCCTTGTGCCAGCTCTGAGCCTTACTAACCACGTGACCTCTGAGCCTCAGCTTCTTTATCTGCAAAATGGAGATGATCCTAATAATCTCTTCCAATATTTCCTTACACGGTTGTTATAAGTCAGCCTAAAATAAATATATGAAAGCATTCTGTAAATGTACATCACTCTGATTAAAGCACTACGATAATAAGGCCACGTACGTTTAGTGTGGATTTGATTCCTGTGTTGATGTTACCTAAAGCTGTATGTTGCTGCAGGCCTAGACAGTTGCTTGCAGACATGAGCCTTGATTCTCAGAGAATCCAAGTATGAGAGTGAACTGATTTAGGATTGCTGAATATGTGACATGTCTCATGCCAATTTCAGCCTCGAAGTTTTGCATTTAGGATATCTGCGATGCCAGACTCCGTGCTACTGCCAGCCCATGCTGCCTGCACTGTTTCTGTCCTCCATTCCTTTCTTTAACTTGAAGCACAAGGCATTAAAAAGACAAAGGCCAGGCGCGGTGGCTCACGCCTGTAATCCCAGCACTTTGGGAGGCCGAGGCAGGCGGATCACGAAGTCAGGAGATCGAGACCATCCTGGCTAACATGGGGAAACCCCGTCTCTACTAAAAATAGAAAAAATTAGCCGGGTGTGGTGGCAGGCGCCTGTAATCCCAGCGACTCGGAAGGCTGAGGCAGGAGAATGGCGTGAACCTGGGAGGCAGAGCTTGCAGCGAGCCGAGATCGAGCCACTGCACTCCAGCCTGGGCGACAGAGTGAGACTCCATCTCAAAAAAAAAACAAAAACAAAAACAAATAAATACCCCATGGAGATATTATTTTGTACAATTTCCTCATATATCTAAAGCATTATAATAACCCCCACACTCCTAGTCTTTTATCTATGGCAAATATTGGTGACCTGAAAATTTTGCCTAAAATGGAAGATATTATACGTAACTATGAGAAATTTTAAGTTGAAACCTGATACTGTCCTGCAAATATCATAATCTGTGCATGTAGTGACATCATAGACATCTGCTTATGATTACTTAATTATTAAAACACTCTTTCTAGAGCCTGATTATCAACTCCATCTTAGGGATGAGAAAATGGAGGTATGAAGCCATTTTAAGTGACTTGCCTGGGGTCACATGGTAGGCAAGTGTTGGAGCCAAGCCAAAGCCACGTGATTTGATTCCCAACCCCGCATACTGGACCCCAGTTTTGTCCTTCCAGGAAAAGAAGGAAATAAGCACTAGGCCAATGGTCTCAACCTTGGCTACATGCTGGAGTCATCTGCGGGGCTTTGAAAACTACTGACGTCACATAGACTGGGAAAAAATATTCACAGCTCATTTATCTGACAAATGTCTTGTATATGGAATATATAAAGAATTCCCACACATCAACTAAAAAAAGAGAAACAACACAGTGTTTAAAAATGGGCAAAAGACTTGAATACATGTTTCACAAAACATGATATACGAATAGCCAATAAGCAAATGAAAAGATGCTCAACATAATTTGTAATCAAAGGACTGAAAATAAAACGACAATGAGACATCCTTTCACACTCACTAGGAGGGCTAACATCAAAAAGATGATCACACCAATGTTGGCAAAGACGTAGGGTGACTGAAGCTCTTGCACATGGCTGCGGGGAGTTTAAAATAGGACAGCCATGTGGGAGAACTAGAGCAAATCTTTATAACAACATTAATCTTCAACCTAGAAATTCCTTCCTACGTACTTAATGGGGAGAGAAATGAATAGGTTCCCAAAAGAAACTTCTCTAAGAATGCTCATACAACATTGTTCCAGTTTATCCAGTGTGACTAGAAAAATCCCCCCACGTTGGTGAAATACAACCAGCATTTTTCACGCCCATCGATTCCGCCCGTGGTCAGGAAATAAGAAGGGGCATAGCAGAGCAGCTCTTGTCTGCCCCACGATTGCCAATGTTGGGCACAGCTTGTCCTCAATGGCCCTCCCACTCACACGCCAGCCCTGGGGCTGGGCAGCTGAAGACTGGGCCCAGCCAGGACTTCCATTTGGGGTGTCTGCAGTGGCCTCCAAGCATGGCGGGCTCAGGGCCCTAAAGCCAGTGTTCCCAGAGAACTCCCAGTTCTGGGAAGCTGCCTGGCCTTTTTATTTGCATGGCCTTTTGTAACACAGCCTCAGAAGTAACATAGGGTCTGAAGTAGTCTACTCAGGCTGTCATAATAAAATACCACAGATGGGTGGCTTAAACAACAAATATTTATTTTTTTCTCACAGTTTTGGAGGCTGGAAGTCCGAGATCAAGGTGCCAGCAGGGTCAGGTCCTAGCTTGTGAACAGCCACTTTCTTGCTGTGTGCTCCCAGTTCCTTCCCTCTGCACCTGTGCAGGGAGGGAGAGAGACTGAGCTCTGGTGTCTCCTCTTCTTCTTACGAGGACACGCCAGGCTTCTTGAATCAGGGCCCCACCCTTATGACCTCATTTAATTGTAATTGCCTCCCTAAAAGTCCTACCTGCAAATATAGCCACACCAGGGATTAGGACTTTGACATGGGAATTTTGAGGGACACTTCAATCTTTTACTAGTCTCCATTAGTTGAAGCAATCGCAAACCTGCCTGGCTCCAGTGGGAGGGGCTACAGAAACCATTTCTGATGAGAGTGTCAAAGTCTGTGGCCCTGCTTCAAAACCTCAGCCTCATTCATTATAACCCCAAACTGTAAACAATTCAAAAATCCATCACCATCAAAATAGATAAATACATCACGATATATTCATGTAACCAAATGTTACTCAGCAATAAAAAGGAACATACAACCACATGGGTGAATCTCAAAAACATTTTTTTGAGCAAAAGGAGCCAGACCCACCAAAAAAACAAGCCATGTGATTCCATTTATATGAGGTCTAAGAAGAGATAAAACTCATCTATTGTGATGGAAGTCTGAAAGTGGTTGCCTCTTGGGGTTGGAGTTCATTGCAAGGGGCATTATAGAAATAACCTTCCGTTGTGATGGGGATGCTCTGTATCTCGTTTCAGTGGTGGTTACAGGGGTGTCTACAACTGTCAAGTGTCTTTGAAGTAAACATCTAATAATATGTACATTTCGGTGTCATGTGGATTATTTCTCTATTTACAAAAGTAATAATGATGACAATGCTGGGTCCTGCTCCCAGAGATTCTCATTCAGTTAATCTGGGGCAGATCCTGGGCAAGAGGATCTTCAAAAGTTTTCCACAGGATTCCAAGGGAAAGTAAAGCTGAAGACCACTGTGCCAGGCCAGCACAGTTCTCAGGGGGAGGGGAGACCAACAGAGCATCCGTCATGAGAATCAATGGCTTGCTGTGTAACAGATGGCCACGCACTTCGCTTAAAACAACTCAAATTTGTTCTTACAGTTCTAGAGATCAGAAGTTTAAAATTAGTCTTAAGGAGGCCCCTGGAGAATATCCATTCTGCTTTAGTCTATTTGGGCTACTATAACAAAATACCACAAATTGGGTGGCTTCTAAACAACAGAAATGTATTTCTCATAGTGTGGAGGCTGGGAAGTCCAAGATCAAGATGGATTTGGTGTCTGGTAAGGGCTCATCTTCTCACTGGAAGGGGCAAGCTAGCTCTTTTGGTGGATCTCTTTTACAGGGATGCCAATTTCAATCATGAGGGTCCACCGTCAAAACCTAATCACCTCCCCAAGACCCCACCTCCCAATATCATCACCTTGGGGGTTAGAATGAAACACATGAATTTGGGGAGACACAAACATTCAGACCATAGCACCTGCCCTGCCCCTTCCAGCTTCCAGGGCTGTCTATTTGCTCTGGAAAGAGCGACTCTATCTTCCAAGCAACTGCCCTTTGTTGTAAGCAGTGTAAGCAAACTGCCCTTTGCTTTGGAGAAAGACACTATTGTTTGTCTTCCAAGGCTGTTCATTTCACCAACATTCTTGAAAAGGTAACCCAGAACAAAGGGAAGCCAGTGTCCCACTGCAAGACATGGCCGCATCACTCCAATCACATCACCTCCTCTGACACTGACCCTCCTGCAACCCCCTTACAAGGACTGTTCCGTCACACTGAGCCCACCCAAATAAGCCACGACCATCTCCCCATCTCAAGGCTCTTAACTTGCTCACATTTGCAGAGGTCCTTTACCATGTAAAGTAACCTATTCACAGGTCCTGGGGATTGGGACATGGACATACTTGAGGGGCCATTATTCAGCCACCATACTGTGATGCTCAAAATGAACTTGGTTGAGATGTCAGAGCGAGGACTAAATCTCCACCTAGAATATTGGAACCCAAAGGGCTCAGGAAGTTTCCAGCGCCATCTCAAACTATTTCTTAAGAGTGACCTACAAAAAAATTTCCATGTCTCCCTAGACTATAGCATTACACATCAGCTGTCCCAAATAAACGGGCCCTGGGGTAGTGGTCGCATTAACCGAAAACTATTTTCTTTCCCAGGTCCCAGGACAACAAGCCCCATTACAACATAAGAACTTGGGAACAGTAACTGCCCTTTGTGACAAGGGGAAGAGGACATGCAAACGTTAGTTACAATAGCAGTGAGGAGTACTGGTGGCGGCATGCATTCCTATTTCTCCCTTTACAGAAAGATTGAAGTGGATCCCAGCTGATTCTTACAAGTATGTTGGTAGGACTGATCGTGAAGCATTCTCTCTTCTTCTCTTTCTCTCTCCAAATATTTATAAGAACTTACTGTGTACCAGGCAAATAATGCTTGGGAAGACCCTGTGCTTCCTTCCCTACTCTCTCATTCTTCCAGTGTCTTCCAGAGGCAATTCCTGCAGTTCTTGCAGTGGTTGCCAGTTTCCTTGCTTATGGACTGCCAATTGCTCTCCTCTGCTTACAGGATGAAGTTCAGGGCCTCCAGTCTGGCACCTGGGGTCCCGTCTTGTCTGTGCAGTGTTCTCCCCCAGGACTCACAAAATGACTCTCACACCCCAGCAAAGTCCATCTAAATAGGAACACCTAGCCATTTTTTATTGTGTTGCTTAAATACTAAATTCTTGACATAAGGCATCATAAAGTTTCCTTCCTGCAGGTTATAGTGGAGGACGCTGAAGCTGCTGGACCCCAAGGTTGCTGCCATTGCCACCACGATGCACAACGGCCTGAGAACTTCTCTGGCCCAAGGGCTGCTTCCTGATGCCCAGCCGTGTCTGACTCTGCCTGGCTACAACGACTTCTTCTTGCCCAAACTCCAGAGACCCATCTGTTCTGTTACTTACCCGTCACCTAGGAATGGTTTGATCCCAGTCACCTGACAAACTTCTGGAAACTCAAATGCATCGCACTAGGAGAAGGTTGGATCCCTGAAACCCATCCGTGAAGGCCTGAGTAGTCCCAGGATCTCAGCTAAGAAACTACTGGACTAGGCCATCTCTGAGGTCCTTTCCTCCAGTGAAAGTCTGTAATTCTGTAATTTTACTCCAATTGTGTCCTTTCAATACATAATACAAATTATGGTGGGAAGAAAAGATCCCAGGGAAGTCAGCGAGGAAGACCCTCCCTTCCCTTATTCCAAGCCACTGCAGGCATCCCTGGCCTGCAACATATACTCTTCTTGGCAAGGCAATCCAAAATGCTCTCTGACCCCTTCACAGGAAAGAGATTGAGCCCTTCATCCCTGCCCCAACTGTTGCTGCTTGGACACTAAGAGAGAGGCTAGAATAGCAAGGGTTTCCCTCAACAGCAGGACTGTTGACCTAAGGTAGAAAGGTGGCTCTCCTGGGTTCCTGCCACCTGGCTCTGCCCTTCTCAGCACTGCTACTGCCTCTGCAAGAGCCTTCTCTCGCCTTCGACCTCAGTCAGAAAGGAAAACATGCACTCGGGGCTTCTTTTGGTTTAGATAGGCTCTCCCCTCCAGAGCACAGGAGTGAGGAGCAAAGGATGTCTGCATGACATTTTCTCCAGTGCTTGCTACGGGGAGACAAGAAGAACACCACTGCCCAAAAGTTCCAGAGGGGAATGCCACTCAAGGCCATGGGCCCCAGGCAGCCCGTTACTATGCAGATGGCAGCCTCCTGGTGCAGAGGACTGATGTGAATCCTCAGAAAGCCTAGAGGTGCCATTCTGCAGCCACCTTCTCCATTCTAGCAGCACATTTTTCTCCCCACCACACCTCCCAGAGGAAGAGGACCCTCCTCATCCTCTATACTCCTGTTGCCAGATGAGTCTCCCTGGGTGTTTCACATTTTTGCATGCCTTGCAGTCTTTGCATGTCTGCCTTCCCTTTGTTCTGGGTTACCTTTTCAACAATGTTGGTGAAATGAACAGCCTTGGAAGACAAACAATAGTGTCTTTCTCCAAAGCAATGGGCAGTTTGCTTACACTGCTTACAACAAAGGGCAGTTGCTTGGAAGATAGAAAGAGCAGCTCTTTCCAGAGCAAATGGGTAGGCAGGCTTACTGCCCATTGTCAAACATTCAGGGTCCCCAAGCTCAGAGATTGTCATGAATTGCAAGCCACTGCTTGTGCAGGTGTCATCCGGCCCCACATGCTAGGACTTAGGGCAAGGAAATGTGGGTACTATGGCTATAGTGATTGTTGTAAATAATAACACGGCTTCTAGCTAGGCACAGTGGTTCATGCCTGTAGTCCCAGAACTTTGGGGGTGCTGAGGCAGGAGGATCGCTTGAGCCCAGGAATTTGAGGCTGCAGTGAGCGATGATTGCATCACTGCACTCCAGCCTGGGCAACAGAGTGAGACCCTGTCTATAAAAAAAAAAAATACATAACACAGCTCCTGCCAGTATCCATATCCACTAGTCTGTGACGGCGCAACGCATTAGCTGGCAAGTAAAGTACCAGACCCCTCCAGGGCGTTGACACTCCCTAGTGCTGGGCTGAGGGCACATCAGCCCCTCTCCTCTCCCCCTGCCACAGCTTACTTCTGTGAAGGCCTCTCGTGTCCTGAGCACTTCAATTTTATTTTATTTTATTATTATTATTATTTCTGAGACAGAGTCTCACTCTGTCGCCCAGGCTGGAGTGCAGTGGCGTGATCTTGGCTCACTGCACCCACCGCTTCCAGGGCTCAAGCAATTCTCCTGCCTCAGCCTCCCGAGTAGCTGGGATTACAGGTGATCACCACCACACCCAGCTAATTTTTGTATTTTTAGTAGAGACGGGGTCTCGCCGTGTTGGCCAGGCTAGTCGCGAACTCCTGACCTTAAGTCATCTGCCTGCCTCAGCCTCCCAAACTGCTGGTAAAGGCATGAGCCACCGCGCCCGGCCAAATTTTATCAACTCAATTAACATCAAATTTAGAAATGTAAAGATTTTATTTCCAGTTTGACGATAAGCTGCCTGCCCTGTGACAGACCACTGAAAAATTCAGCTGTGGCTGACACCTAGGAATTTGCAGTTACAGGACGTTTCCAAGTTCCATATGCGATGTCATAGTGCCGCCTGCTGGCTCCTGTCTCACAGGAATGCTACACATGCAGACGGTGGGTCTGACCCCGCAGCTCACACACAGTTCACGGATGAACCTGAGGAAAGTAGGAATGAAGCTCACAAATGTCATGTAGAACAAAAGGAGCTGGGTAGGAAAAGTATAGATTGTGTAATTTCATGTACAGGAAGCACAAAACAAGTGAAACTTCACAAAACAAGTGAAACTAACTGTACCAGTCAAGGTTTCGCAGAGAACTAATGGGAGATCTATGGATATATTTTAAAGGAATTTATTTAAGGGAATTGGCTCATGTGATTGTGGGGCCTGGCTGGTCTATAATCTGTAGGGCAGGTCAGCAAACCAGAAAAAGTCTGGTAGGATTTCTGTGTTACAGACTTGAGGCAGAATTCCTTCTTTTTCCCTGCTCTCTTGAGAGTCTTTGCTCTCAAGTCCTTCAACTGAATGGGTGAGGCTCACTCTCATTATTGAGGGTAATCTCCTTAAAGTCAATGGATTGTAGATATTAATCATACCTACAAAATATCTTCACAGCAACTTCTAGACCTAGTGTTTGAGCAAACAACTGGGCACCATAGCTTAACCACAGTGACACATAAAATTAACTACTGCAGGCTGGGCGCGGTGGCTCACGCCTGTAATCCCAGCACTTTGGGAGGCCGAGGTGGGTGGATCACGAGGTCAAGAGATCAAGACTATCCTGGCCAACATGGTGAAACCCTGTCTCTACTAAAAATACAAAAATTAGCTGGGTGTGGTGGCGCGCACTTTAGTCTCAGCTACTTAGGAGGCTGAGGCAGGAGAATCACTTGAGCCTGGGAGGCTGAGGTTGCAGTGAGCCGAGATCACACCTCTGCACTCCAGCCTGACAACAGAGTAAGACCCTGTCTCAAATAAATAAATAAATAAATAAAATTAACTACTGCAGTCAACTGTTTGTCAACGTGGCACCTCTACATATCTCCTTAAACTATACTTAATCTCCAGATAACAGCAAAATCATACTTGCACCTCACCTGATTCAACTATCTTGGGTAAAACCAGAGACACACTAAACCTTCCCCAGAAGAGGACGTAGGGTTCTTGGGTCATGTTTACTCTTCTCTTTGGTATCCTGTAACTGAAATATTAAGATATGTCTTATGTAATATAAGGGAATAAGAGAGAGAAGAAGACAAATATATTTTCTAAACACACACACACACAACACATTTGTAACCAAATAAGGAAGAAATACTCGTAACAATTACAGTCCCCATTTTTGTAACTGGCCATGTGGTTTAGCTGGTATTTATAACCATCTGCTTCCACTACCCATTCCAGATTCCCTTTGCCCTCAGCAAGCACCTCAGCTGGTCATGGTTTGTCACCTGGTGGGGTGACCCAAACCTTCCTTCCTGAAGAGTTTGGACCATTTAGTAGTATGGCCTGAATTAGGTTGTTATAGTTTTCCATTGATCTGAATCACAGTGCAGAGTAACATTGAGATCTCCTGTACTCCAGATGCACTCTTACTTACCTCCGTCGGGGAGTAGCAGCCCAATTTTCCCTTGGTAGCCAGGACCAATCACCCCAGAAAACACAGCAGCTCCCTTCTTAGCCTGTTGACTCAGAAGCATGAGGAGCCCCAAGTGGCTGGGTGGCACGTTAACTGAGAGTTTGGTGGAATCACTGTTGTGTTTCCTGGTGGAAGCACTCTTCCCTTTGGAACTAAGACTTTTAGATCAGCAGAGCATTAGGTTACAGAACAGGAAGAAAACATTTTGCTAGTGGGTCAGTATAGGGGTAATAGTGAATGGTGCCAACTCCATTTCCATCCCTTGATTCCTGGACTTATGTATCATGGCTATTGGCGAAGCAGCACCCTATATTGGATGCTAACTTATATTTATTTATTTTGAGACAGGGTCTTGTTCTGTCACCCAAGCTGGAGTACAGTGGCATGATCAAGGCTCACTGCAGACTTGGCCTTCCGGGCCCAAGTGACCCTCCCATCTCAGCTTCCTGAGTAGCTGGGAGTACAGCTGCATGCCACCACGCCCAGCTAATTTTTAAACTTTTTTTTTTTTTTTTTTAAATAGAGACAGGGTCTTGCTATGTGTCTCAGGCTGGTTTCAAACTCCTGAGCTCAAGCGATCCCCCAACCTCAGCCTCCCAAAGTACTGGGATTACAGGCATGAGCCACCACCCCCAGCCCCTTGGGTGCTAATTCAGAGCATACACAACCTCCTGGAGAATATTGCCCCAGCCCTGCAAGGCATTACCACCTACCTGACACTGTATCTGAGTCTTCAAAACGCCGTTTCACTGTTCTGATCAAGGCACTCACTTCACAGCAAAAAAAAGTGCAGCAATGGGCACAGGCTCTTGGAAGTCACTGGTCTCACCATGTTCCCCACCATCCTGAAGCAGTAGGCAGATTAGAACAGTGAATAGAATAGAACGGGCTGAATAGGATAGAAGCAATGCTTTGTGGAACCTACCACAGTGGTGAATATGGCATTCTGTGGCTCCATGGATAAATTTTGGCAGAGGCATTGTGTACAGGGAAAGCAAATCCATATTCAGACTAAGTGTCCACCCCAGGAAGGACAAAATACCGACCTACCATGATGGAAGGAGTCCAATGTAACCAACATGCCACCTGTAGCTGGCTGATCATCCCGGGGAATGGTGCCATATTGGAGCCTCAGTGTTGGTCTCTACCACTGACAGATTGGGCACTCGGTGGTGGGTGTAGCCAGGTTGGCCTTAGTGGGTGGAAGTCCATATTGCTGAACCCATGTGTAACCTCCATCCTGACACCATGGCTGCTTTGTTCGTGAACTCACTGGGCATGACAGGGGTGGCTACGGAAAGAAACCGCCTCGCATCCACAGAACAGGTCATTCTATTCTATTATTAAAATTCTCCTCTGTAGATGTCACCGTTTGGTGGGCATTCATATGGAACACAAATATCTTCCATTTTTTGCTCATTCAGAGAGAGAGAGACATCAAATTTCCTTGTCACCAATTTCCAATAATGTTCCTTCTAAGTCCCTGACCATCAAGCAAAATCTCATAAGTGAATATACAATTATACCTCTTGCCATGTCTCCTTCCAAACAAAAACCACTGGATTCATTGCCCAAAGTTGGGGATTGCTCCCACTGGGAGGAATTCCCTTCACCACTGTTTCTTGGGGATGTCCCAGAAAGGGACTATTATGCTGTAGTTGTCCATATTGGGGTGCCTGCATATCATGCAGAACCACCTATGTGCCTGGTATATCTCGTCTCGTCTTCCTCAGTCAACTGATTGTAGGAAACTCTGTATGAGGCCATAGATAGGGGCGTGAACTGATAAGATTGTGTATCAGGACTAGAAGCCAAGGGCCCCACTCAGAGCTAGCAGCTTTTTGGGTCACTTGGTTGATGAGCTGGAGTGGCACACCCAAATGAAGAATGTCTTGCCTCCAAAATCCAAAAGGGCATTGTACCTCTTTTTTGGTTATAGGCGGAGCCAAATGCAACAACTTGTCTTTCATTTTGTAAGGAATATCTTGACATGCCCTACACCACTGGATCCCTAGAAATTTCACTGAGGGAGAAGGTCCCTGAATTTTAGTTGGATTTATTTACCATTCTCTGACATGCACATTTCTTACTAATAAGTCTAGAGCAGTTGCTGCATCTTGCTCATCAGGTCCAATCTGCATAATGTCATAAATGTACTAAACTGGTGTGATATCTTGTGGAAAAGAAAGGTGATCAAAATCCCTGAAGACTATACTGTGATAGGAACGGAGAGTTTAATCTACTCCTGACATAAGACAATTGTTATGGACTGAAATGTATTCTTCCAAATTCTTATGTTGACGTCCTAACCCCTAATCTGACTATGTTTGGAGAGAGGGCCTGTAGGGAGGTAATTAAAATTAAATAAGATCATAAGAGTGGGGCCCTTATCTAATAGAACTGGTGACCTTATAAGAAAAGGAGGAGACAACAGAGATTTCTCTCTACACATAAGCATAGAACAAAGGCTGTGTGAGGACGCAGTGAAAAGGTGGCTGTCTACAAGCCAAGAACAGAGTCTTCAATAGAAATCAAATCTGCCAGCACCTCCATCTGGGACTTTTAGCCTCTGGAATGGTGAAAAAGTAAATTTCTGGGCCTGGTGCAGTGGCTCATGCCTGTAATCCTAGCCCTTTGGGAGGCTGAGGTGGGTGGATCATCTGAGATCAGGAGTTTGAGACCAGCCTGGCCAACTTGGTGAAACCCTGTCTCTACCAAAAATACAAAAATTTGCCAGGCGTGGTGGTGTGCGCCTGTAATTCCAGCTACTCGGGAGGCTGAGGGAGGAGAATCGCTTGAATGGAGGTGGAGGTTGCAGTGAGCCAAGACCATGCCCCTGGACTCCAGCCTGGGTGACAGAGTGAGACTCTGTCTCAAAAACAAAAACAAAAAAAGTAAATTTCTGTTGTTTAAACACCCAGTCTGTGGTATTTTGTTATGGCAGTCTGAGCAGACTAATAAAACAGTAAAGATGTATTGCTGGCCTTGCTAGCTGGAAGCAAATTGCTTCTGGTAATCTTTATTAACAGATACTGAGGAAAAAGCATTTGCCAATCAATAGCTGCACACCAAGTACCAGGGCACCAAGGCATGTGTTAATTTACTCAAGCAGTGAAACCACATCTGAAACAGCAGTTGCAATTGGGGTGGCCACCTGGTTAAGTACACAGGTGTCATTCTCCAAGAGCCATCTTTTTTTCTGCACAGGCCAAATAAGCTAATTGAGGGGGATGTGGTAGAAGTCACCATCCCTGCTTTGTTCAAGTCCTTGATGATGACGCTAATCTCTGAAATCCCTCCGGCAATTTGGGATTGTTTTTGGTTTACTATTTTGCCTAGGAAGAGGCAGTTCTAGTGGCTTCCACTTGGCTTTTCCTACCACAATAGCCCTCACTCCACAGGAACCAGTGTGAGGATTCTGCCAGATGCTGAGTAACTGGTCTATACCAGTTATGCATCCTGGAACTACGAAAGTAACCACTGGATGGGTTTAGGGACCTGCTGGCCCAGAGTGAGATGGACCGGGGCTCCATCGACCATTTTACTTCCATAAGCCCCTACTCTGAATGGCCTCCTGGAATTAGTGTGAGTTCAGAGCCAGTTCAGTAATCCCACAAAAGTCTGATTATTTTATTTTTCACAATGTACAATCACCATGGTAAAAAAACCGTTGGTCCCGTTGGGGACACCTGAGAGGAAGATTAATAGTATACATTTTTGACAGTGTATCAGGGTCCTTCCTCAAGGCGACCTTGATTTCCCTTCATTCAAGGGATTCTGGGTCTGTAAACTGGTTCAAGTCTGGGAATTGAGTGAAGAGCTGCGACTCTTTGTTTTTATGATTCAAGTTAGGTGTTTGTTCACTTGACCTAGAACTCTTCTAATTATACAGATCAAGTAAGAATTTAATAGGCTGTCCGTCTACTCTCTTCTACGGACACCACGATCAACAGCCAATGCCATAGGTCTCTGCCAGTCAGACTATTATTGCCGTTTTGACTCTACTGCCCATTATGGTGACCATGCTCTCCTTGCTTTTGGCAATTACATGTTGCCACTTGTCCCCTTCTGTCCCAGAAACCAATGATCTGCACTGCACCTAAGGATTCCAAGTTCTGTGACAGTAGATCCCACTGCAATATCTGACCTACAAGGAAAAGCAACCACAGGAGCTCCTCAAGGATGCAGGGGCTCCCCTCACAAATGTATTTATCAGTCATGGTGAAAGGTGTGTCCTCTGGATGCTCCTAGGGTGGGTGAGCAGGGGTCACGTGTTAAATCTAATATTCCAACCTCCCTATACCTTCCTCTACGGTGCACAAAGTCAGCTCTGCCATTTCAGCTTTATTTAGTGTGGGCCACCTTTTGGTCCATACTTCAGCTAAACCAAACTGTCAGAGCCCTTTTCTAAGCCCTGGAGGTACAGCACTGAATCCAGATCTGACTAATGGGCCCATCTCAATAAGTTACCCCCAATCCAACTTCATGTTCCTTGCATCATTATCCCACACATTAATACTCATTCCCAAGATTTTGTCTGTACAAATTGGAACCACCATGCAGTTCTTTTGGATCTCAGTGAACCTCCTGAGTCACACTTTGTATCTCACGTTTTGGGGCCTGTAGGGACTTGAGTCTTGTCATAGTTCTAGAAGCAAAAAGGGGTTCCTAGGGTAGATCCTGAGGAATCAGCACTGTCTTCTGAGGCAACTACCTCAGAAGAGGCCACCACAGGCTCCTGCTTGATAACAGAGTCAATATCCTCAGATGGGGTGGAAGGCTTGCTTCTACTGGCAGAGAAGAATCCACAGAATTTAGGAGCTCAATGTCGCCAGTTTCACCAGGATCTTCCCACAGGTCCCCATTCAAATTTTTAGGTGTACTTCTCATATGAAGGCACTAGGAGAGACAGAAAAAATTCAGGACCCTGTTCCTTCCCAATTCCTGCCCTTACTTTAACAGCAGACGTTCCCGTGAGGTTGGGAACTCAATTTGTGTCATAATTCAACGACTTGCAGGATGAGACTCTGGATTTGGCTTCCAGAAACGTCAGCTCTGTGGCTACAGGAGATGTGTTTTTCTTTTCTTTTCTTTTCTTTCTTTTTTTTTCAGGGCAGACACAGAAACTTTCCATTCAGTTATGTAATGGTTGAGCTGGGAGTTTGAAACCCTGAGTTCATCCTTTCTTTCCCTATCTTGTCAAGCACAATTAACAGCAACAGCCAATTTCGTTATACTCATTAATTTGATAAAAATGTTCTAAGGTGGCAAATATATGGTCACCCAGAACCTTGCCTCTCATGAATATTTGAGTAGGAGTGTCCAATGGCGGTATTTTGGGTATCTCTACTGCCATATCACACTATAGGTGCTCTGTTTACCACTGAAAGTAGAGTCATTAGTGCATTAAAATCCAACCAGATTAGAGAACCAATTCCAGAAACCACAGAACCAATTCCAAAAACTCATCCTTAAGATTCTGTTCTTCTAGGCTGGGCGTGGTGGCTCACGCCTGTAATCCCAGCACTTTGGGAGGCCAAGGCAGGCGGATCACAAGGTCAGGAGATGGAGAACCATCCTGGCTAACACGGTTAAACCCCGTCTCTACTAAAAATAAAAAAGAATTAGCCGGGTGTGGTGGCGGGCGCCTGTAGTCCCAGCTACTTGGGAGGCTGAGGCAGGAGAACAGCGTGAACCCGGGAGGCGGAGATTGCAGTGAGCCGAGATCTCGCTGCTGTACTCCAGCCTGGTGGGAGACAGCAAGACTCTGTCTCAAAAAAAAAAAAAAAAAGACTCTGTTCTTCTAGAACCAATCTTTGTATAAAATCTGTAAAATCTGTATCAGTCAGGATTCTCCAGAGAAACAAGACAATATTTACATCTTTCTTTTTTATTTCTAAGAATACAAAAGGGTTTTTTTTTTAAAGCAATTGGCTCATGTGATTGTGCAGGCTGTTAAGTCTAAAATCCTTGGGACAAACTGGTGGGCTGGATATGGGGTAGGAAAGGATGTTGCAGTCTGAGTCTCTCATATGTAGGGTAGGTTAGGAACTCAGGAAGGATTTCTGTGTTACACAGACTTGAGGCAGAATTTTTTTCTTTGGGAAACCTGAGTCTTTTATCTTAAGGCCTTCAACTGGATGGATGAGGCCCAGCTACCTTATCAAGGTTAATCTCCTTTACTTAAAGGCAACTTGTAGGGACAAGAGTGACTTTTTATTTTTATTTTTTATTTTTTTTGAGATGGAGTCTTGCTCTGTCGCCCAGGCTGGAGTGCAGTGGTGTGATCCCAGCTCACTGCAACGTCAGCCTACCTGGTTCAAGTGATTCCTGTGCCTCAAGCCTCCTGAGTAGGTGAGATTACAGGTGCCCGCCATCGCACCCGGCTAATTTTTGTATTTTTATTAGAGACGGGGTTCCACCATGTTGGCCAGGCTGGTCTTTAACTCCTGACCTCACGTGATCTGCCTGCCTCGGCCTCCCAAAGTGTTGGGATTACAGGCGTGAGCCACCGCCCCTGGCCAATTTAAAACGCCAATCTACCATGTAAGTTCCCACTAACCCTGAGTTTGAGAATGCCTCCAAAATGTCTAGTTGATGTATTACTCTTTATGTAGGAAGAGCTATTTATTGTAAGTTGCCTCCAAAACCACCTTTGTTGTTGCAGAAATCACAGGCTGTGATACCCACAGCCACCTATACATTCCTTCCAGAGCACGTATGCATTTTTCCCAAGCTGTGTGTCTGGGGGGTTGTGGAGTGGAGATCTACCTGTCTTGCAGCCACTCAAGACCGCAAGACCCAAGACTTCTGTCTGTAAGTTCCCCTAATAAGTCAATAAATATAATCCCCTAATAAATCCCCCAAAATATAATCCCCTAATAAATCATCCAAAACTGACCAACTGGATTTGTCTGCCTCTTTCTTTGGTTTCTCAGCTCCTTCGGCAGTTGGGGGTCGCTTTGTATATATTAATACGACCCTTTCACGGAACACAACTGATTGCAGATGTTAATCCCATCTACAAGATACCTTTATAGCAACATCTAGACTAGTGTTTGAGCAAAGAACTGGGCTTCATAGCCTAACCATGGTGACACATAAAATTAATCATCACACCAACCTATGCTGTTAGGAAGGAGGTCGGTAGTTACTGCTTGGGGAGGGGTGTAAAGACCAGAAGGGACCACAGGAGAGCTTTAAGGGTGTGAGTCATGCTCCCTTTTTCGAGGTGATGATGGCTGCACAGATGTGTTCAGTTTGTGAAAATCCAGTGAGCTGTGTACACTTGTGATACGTGTACATTTTGGAATCTATATTATACTTCATTAAAAAGCAAAATGTTAAGGACAAAGGCAGTAAGACAAAAAGCAATGGAAATAAGAAAAAAAGCCTTACATCAGATATGGAGACTTTAGAAATTGCAAGACATTAACATATATAACTCTATATTAATAAGTTTAAATATTTCAGTGAAATGGCTGATTATTTATTTATTTGAGACAGTGTCTCACTCTGTCGCCCAGGCTGGAGTGCAGTGGCACGATTTCAGCTCACTGCAACCTCTGCCTCCTGGGCTCAAGTGATCCTCTTCCTGCCTCAGCCTCTTGAGTAGCTGAAATACAGGCGTGCACCACCACACCTGGCTAATTTGTTTTCTGTAGAGACGAGGGCTCACTATGTTGCCCAGGCTGGTCTTGAACTCCTGAGCTCAAGCAATGCTTCTACTTCGGCCTCACAAAGTGCTGAGATTACAGGCATGAGCCACCATGCCCAGCACAAAATGGCTGATTTTTTAAAGGAAGATATAAATGATCAAAATTGTCTTGACAAAAGGTAAAAAATCTGAAGAGGCCATGAATAAAATAATTTTAAAAGGTAGTTAAAATTAACTATACCTATCATCACCCAAGGCATGAGGCTGATAAAATTTTGTGAACGTCATCTACAAAATCTTCACGGAATCTTCTACAAAATCTTCATAGGAATCTTTCAGTTCCTATGCTATTTAAACTGGCGCAGAGCAGGAAAAAAAATGTGAAAGCTTCTTAACTCATTGTAGGTTATTTATTTATTTATATTTTTGAGATGGAGTCTCGCTCTGTTGCCCAGGCTGGAGTGCAGCGGTGCAATCTCAGCTTACTGCAACCTCTGCCTCCAGGGTTAGAGCGATTCTCCTGCCTCAGCCTCCTGAGTAGCTGAGATTACAGGCGCTCACCAACACGCCCAGCTAATTTTTGTATTTTTAGTAGAAACGGGGTTTCACCATGTTGGCCAGGCTGGTCTTGAACTCCTGACCTCAAGTGATCTGCCCGCCTCAGCCTCCCAAAATGTTGGGATTACAGGTGTGAGCTGCCACGCCCAGCCTTCACTGTAGGTCGTATTCTTTCCAGAATATGAACTGGAAACCTCCAAGCTTGTTTTTCCAGACTCTTATTAGCTCTCTATTTCTAGTTAGGTTCTGAATTGAGAGACAGTAGGGGATTCAGATGCAGGAGGAAGAAGACCTTTTCTCCAATTTGTGGAGGCAGCTCACATAGCTGAGTAGTGGTGGTGGTGGCAATGGGTGAGCCTGGCTTCCTGCTCGGGGGTGATGTGAACAGCAGCAGTAGCAGCAGCACTCAGCCCTAGCTCCAGCAGTACTAGCAGAGGCTCCAGGAACCTCAGCTGTTCAGAGCTTGTGGGCTCCCATGGCTGTTACTCTGTTGGACGCCTGCAGTGTAAGCTGGAGTATTGGCTCCTGGCTTTCTGCCTGCTGGTGGTAAAGGTGCCAATGTCAGCAGCCTCAGAGTCAATGATGGTAGCACTGGGTAAAACTATTTTCCCTTTCACGCTCCCAGCCCAGAGTTTCCCGTAGTTACTAGTCTCTGGGTAATCTCACATGTTCCCTTTTTGCTCTTAATTAACCCCTTGGATATATATGTAACCAGTTTCCTGTGTTAAATTCTCTCTCTCTTTTTTTTTTTTTTTTGAGATAGTGTCTCCCTGCGTTGCCCAGGATGGAGTCCTGTGGCACAATCTCGGTTCCACCACCACTCCTGGGGCATTTTTTTGTATTTTTATTTTGTATTTTTAGTAGAGAAGCGGGTCTCGCCACGTTGCCCAGGCTGGTCTTGAACTCCTGAGCTCAGATAATCTGCCCGTCTCGGCCTCCCAAAGTGCTGGATTACAGGGTAATTTAGCCACCAGGCCTGGCTGACACGACCACTTTGGAAGACAGTTTGTAAGTTTCTTATAAAACCAGGCCAGGCACAGTGGCTCATGCCTGTAATCCAAGCACTTTGGGAGGCCAAGGCAAGAGGATCGCTTGAGCCCAAGAGTTTGAGACCAGCCTGCTCAACATGGTGAAACCCCATCTCTGCAAAAAACAGAAAAATTAGCTGGGTGTGGTGGCACTGTGCCTGTAGTCCCAGCTGCTCGGGAGGCTGAGGTGGGAGGATCATCTGAACCCAGGGAATTTAAAGCTGCAGTGAGCCACGATTGTCTGCCATGACAGAGTGAGACCCTGTCTCAAAAAACAAAACAAAACCCCAAAAAACAAAACTAAACTTACTCTTACAATATGATCCAGCAATCATGCTTCTTGGTATCTACCCAAAGGAGTTGCGAACATGTCCACACAAAAACCTGTACACAGATGTTTGTAGGAGCTTTATTGATAATTGCCCAAACACAGAAACAACCAGAATGCCCTTTAGTTGGGGAATGAATAAACACTGTTACAGCCTGACAATGGAATATTATTCAGCACTAAAAAGAAATGAACTCTCAAGACAAGACATGGAGAAAGCTTAAATGCATATTACTATAAGGAAAGAAGCCAATCTGAAAAGGCTAGCCACTCCAAGATTCCCATTATATGCCATTCTGGAAAAGTCAAAACCATGCAGTCAGTGGAAAGATCAGCGGTTGCCAGGTGTTGTCGGAAGAAAGGGATGAACAGGAGCACTAAGGATTTTCAGGGCAGTCAAACTATTCCGCGTGATACTATAATGGTGGATCCATGTCATTATATATTTGCCAAAACCCACAGAATAAAACACCAAGAGTGAACCCTAATGCAAACTCTGAATTTTGGGTGATAATGATGTGTCAATGTAGGTTCACTGATCATAACAAAGGTACCACTTTGGTATGGGATGTTGACAGTGGAGGATGCTGTGCATGTGTGACAGTAGGGGTACATACGGGAACTCTATTTTCTGCTCAATTTTGCTGTGAACCTGAAAGTGTTCTAAAAACTAAAGTCTATTTTAAAAAATCCACTGTTTCACCTAATTCAACACTTCACTCCCACTCTGATAATCTCTGGCAACCAATGATCTGTTTACTGTCTGTATTTAAATTTAATTAAAACAATTTTTAAACTGTTTTGATATTTTTATAATAATCAATATATTTTGATTGGACTTTTATAGTGAGCACTTTCTTTGGAAATGAGTGTCTTTGACCTTCAAAAAAGTTATAGTTGTTATCAGTTATCATAAGAGGTGGGGCCCACCTCTTAAAGTAGCAATAAAATCTTATTTATGGTTGAAAAAGGTCAGGTCATTGCGCCACTTCTCTTTGCAGGTTTCTGTGCAATCCATCAGGGGACAGCTGGGACTAATCATTTAAAAAACTTTCCAGCCTGCTAATTTTACCATACCTCACATTTTTGTCATTCCTGGCCAAAATCCAAAGGGCAAGTCCCTTCTGCAGCCTCATTTTTTTTTTTTCTGTACTTTCGCTCCCCTGACGCAAGCTTCCACTGTCTCCCATCCTAACTTTACCACTACGCCCTCTAGAATGCCTTTTCCTGATAAGCAAAACCCCCCGAGTCGTTGGCTCCTCCACTTTCCGGTTTTGGCAGAATCCTTGATCTGAGCCAGGCCTCTTCCCAGGGGCTCTGGCCCTCTTCACTTCCTTTTCCCCGGAGGACTCTGGCTCCCGGGTAGCAAGCAGCCCACTTCCCCGGCCGCTTCCTTCCCCCGGGATGACACGTTTCTACAGGCGGACTCTTCTAATTCATACTATTTCCCTACCCCCGTGGTGGCTCCTAGCACCCCCAGGCCTGTTCTACCTGTAAAATCTTGACACATTTAAACTACTACTTCTGATCCTTTCCTCCCCGTCCAGCCTTCGCTCTTAGGCTGCCGAGCCTGGACTGCTTGTCATCCCCTCAGGCGTCTCCCCGGCCCTCCCTGCTCTTCAGCCGTCCCGACGGAGCGCGGCTCCTGACCAAACCCACGGTTCGTCTTCTCCACCTGCTCCGCGCGCCTCGCATGTGTCTGGGGGGAAACACATCCAAACGTCGACTTAAATGATTCAGGGCCGAGGACCGTGAGAGGCAGTCTTCACTTTTTCATCTTTCTTCATTTGCACAGTATACCAATAAGCTCTTACTACTTCTCAGCACAGGTAACTCGCCTTTTGCAGAGCACCCTCCGCCGCCGAACGGTCAGAGCCTGGAGGAACCCGCACCAGGATCGTAGGGCATGACGGGCCGGGGGCGGGACGAGGATTGACGAGCCGGGAACAGGGCGGGGCTTGAGGGGGCGGGAGGGTGGGGCGAGGCATGACGGCTCTGGTGGGAGGGTAGGCGGGGCTTGACGGGCCTGGGGGCGGGGCGGGGCTTGAGGGACCGGAAGGTGGGGCGAGTCATGACGGGCCGGGGCGTGGGCAGGGCTTGAGGGGCCAGGGGACTGTGTGGGGCCTGACGGGCCGGTGGGTGGGGCGGGGCTTGAAGGACCGGAGGGTGTGTGGGCGGGGCTTGATAGGCAGGGGCGGTGCGGGGGCGTGGGCAGCACAAGCCGTGCGCTCCCGGGCTGCGAGGTCTGGCTAGGCTACGGGCCACGCGCCGCCGCCGCTGCCGCCGCCACTGTCCTCTTCGGAGGCGCGGGCCCGACGGAAACCATGTTTGTGGCTCGCAGCATCGCGGCGGACCACAAGGATCTCATCCACGATGTCTCTTTCGACTTCCACGGGCGGCGGATGGCAACCTGCTCCAGCGATCAGAGCGTTAAGGTGCGCGCGGCGCTTGCGGGCGGGGCCGACCCCGGAAGGAAGGAAGGGGAGTGGGTGGGCGGCGCGGGGAACGGGGCTGTGTCTTGGTTCAGTGACGCCGCTGGAAGCTGTGGGGTGGCGGGCGAGCCCTGGCTGGACTGAGCGGAAGCCCTCCCCGCCCGCGTATTGTGGGGTCACGGCGGCCTCGCGGGCCGCCCTCCCGTGCGCCTGCGCAGCTGGTGCCACGTGCGCGCTCCCGCCCGCAGGGTACGCCGGGCCCTCTCCCAGGCCGCGCTGCCGGGGCTGCGGGCGGGAACCCAGGGGCATCCCACCGTCAGCCTCGGCGTCGTGGGTCTTGCCCGCGCTGTTCACCCGACGACCTGCAGTGGGACCTGGTGGGAGACTTTGCCTGGCTGGCGCTGCGTCGAGTTCTGTGCCCCGCCGGTGTTCTCTCACCAGGGCACATGGTTTTCTCCGTGGGTTCAGAGCAGAAGCTCACTTTGTTACGCCGAGGAAGAAAAATACAAACCATTTACATCCAATGATTTCCCTGCTTGCTGCCCAGGAATCGGAGGGTTTGTTTCTTGAAGTTCCCGTAAACGTCTGTAGACACTTCCGACAAGCAGAATTTCTTTTCTTTTTTTTTTTTTTTTTTTGAGACCGAGTCTCACTCTGTCACCCAGGCTGGAGTGCAATGGCACGATCTCGGCTCACTGCAACGTCCGCCTCCCGCTTTCAGGCGATTATCCTGCCCCAGCCTCCCAAGTAGCAGGGATTACAGGTGCACGCCACCACCCCCGGCTAATCTTTTTTTTTTTTTGTATTTTTTAGTAGAGACAGAGTTTCACCATGTGGGCCAGGCTGGTCTCGAACTCCTGACCTCGTGATCCACCCGCCTCGGCGCCTCGGCCTCCCAAAGTGCTGGGATTACAGGCGTGAGCCACCGCGCCCGGCCTACAAGCAGAATTTCTAATGTGGGGATGCTACATGAGATTTAGGAACCTCCCAGATGTGTTGCAGGATGAATGAAAGCTGGAGTGCGGATTATTTGGTTCTCGACAACTCCAGAGTAACTGGAAATCTGAAGGATAGTTTATCCTTTTTCACATTCGAGTTTGATACCAGTGATCTCTCAAAGATAAACTTTTTATAAATAGTGTTGCAATTTTTAAAAGATGTAGTTTCTTTTTTAAAACAAGTTTATTTTTGTTGTAATAAACTACGTTAACCGTTTTTTTTTTTTTTTTTTTTTTTTTTTTGAGACGGAGTCTTGCTCTGTCACCCAGGCTGGAGTGGGGTGGCGCAATCTTGGCTCACTGCAAGCTCCGCCTCCCGGGTTCACGCCATTCTCCTGCCTCAGCCTCCCAAGTAGCTGGGACTACAGGCGCCCGCCACCACGCCCGGCTAATTTTTTGTATTTTTTAGTAGAGACAGGGTTTCACCATGTTAGCCAGGATGGTCTCTATCTCCTGACCTCGTGATCCGCCCACCTCGGCCTCCCAAAGTGCTAGGATTACGGGCGTGAGCCACCGCGCCCGGCCCACGTTAACCGTTTTAAAGTGTAGAATTCAGTGGCATAGAGCACAGCATTCACATTTTTGTGCAGCGTCGCCCCTGCCCATCTCCAGAACCTTTTCATCATCCTAAACTGAAACTCTGTACCCAAGAGCACCCTGTTCCGCCACCCCATCCTCTGGTAACCTCTATTCTACTGCTTTCTATTAATTTGCATATTCTAGGTACCTCAGATAAATAGAATCATAGAATATTCGCCCTTTTATATTTGGTTTATTTCACTTAGTATAATTTTTTTTTTCTTTTTTCTTTTTCCTTTTTTTTTGAGGCAGAGTCTGGCTCTGTCACCCAGGCTGGAGTGCAGTGGTGCGATCTTGGCTTGTTGCAGCCTCAACATCCCAGGTTCAAGCCATCCTCCCACCTTAGCCTCTCCAGTAGCTGGGACTACGAGTGCACGCCACCACGCCTGGCCAATTAAAACATTTTTTTTGTAGAGGCAGGGTCTTGCTGCGTTGCCCAGGCTAGTCTCGAACTCCTGAGCTCAAGTGATCCTCTCACCTCAGCCTCCCAGAGTGCTGGGATTACAGGTGTGAGTCACCTTGCCCAGCCCTCTTAGGTCCATTTATTCCAGAGTACTTTTTTTTTAAAGGAGGAGCCATGTATTTATTTGTATATATTTTTAATTGAGCAAGTAATATATTTTTCTTTTTAGAAAGTGAAAAAATTATAGACTTATTGCTAATGTGTTAATATTTATTGATTTCCTCTGTTTTTCCTTTAACGTTTTAAGTTGTCATGGTAGAGTGTGTGTATATACGTATATGTCTTGTCAGAAATAGTGTTGTACTGAAATTTTTCATTAGTTTAGCATTTTATGTATTTTGAATGATTTTCTTAGGCTAATTCTAGAAGATAAATTAGTGGATATTTTAAACACTATTGAAGAGAATTGACAAATTGCTATTTTGCAGGTCGTACCGTTTTATACCGCCAGTGATAGTATTGATTTGATAGTGTTATTGCCCTCGTTACATTTTTAACAGGTGAAATTGGCACCTTCTTATTGTAATCTATATTTTTTCTGGGTAATAAGGTTTAATTTTTTTGTTTTGAGATGGAGTCTTGCCATGTTGCCCAGGCTGGAGTGCAGTGGCTATTCACGGGCGTGATCATAGCCTTAAACTCCTGGGCTCAAGTAATCCCTCCTGCCTCAGCCTCTTGAGTAGCTGGGACTACAGGTGTGCACCACCATGCCTGGTTTCAATATTTTTGCTTT
The DNA here is from genome assembly GCF_000001405.40 of Homo sapiens. Classification (NCBI taxonomy): domain Eukaryota; kingdom Metazoa; phylum Chordata; class Mammalia; order Primates; family Hominidae; genus Homo; species Homo sapiens. The sequence goes on from NC_000018.10 coordinate 12,951,003, forward strand.
ACCATTTGTTACATGTACAGTTGAGCCTGTTGTTTGTAGATTCTGTATTTTTTGAATTTGTCTACTCTGAAATTTACTTGTACCCCAAAAGTCACACTGGTTTTGCAGTCATTTGTGCATGTGTGAGGAGTGGTGAAAAAGTTTGAGTCTCAGGACAGACGTTTCCCATTGAGGTGAAACCAGGCGATACTCTATTTTGGCTCATACTGTAAGCAGGTGTTTTTCATGATTTATTTAGTGCAATGATTATTTGTTCTTTCTGTTGGTGATTTTGCTGTTTAAAATGGCCTCCAAGCGTAGTGACTGTAACTAATTGTCTCTGTTACCTAATAGAGCTCAGCTTCCTGAATCCCTTGGTGCTTGGCCCAGTGCTTGACACATTCAAGGTTCTCAATGTAAATTTTTTGAGACGGAGTCTTGCTTTGTCTCCCAGGCTGGAGTGCAGTGGCGTGATGTCAGCTCACTGCGACCTCCGCCTCTGGGGTTCAAACGATTGTCTTGCCTCAGCCTCCCTAGTAGCTGGGACTATAGGCATGCGGCACCATGCCTGGCTAATTTTTGTATTTTTAGTAGAGACGGGGTTTCACCACGTTGTCTAGGCTGGTCTCGAACTCCTGACCTCAGGTGATCCGTTTGCCTTGGCCTCCCAAAGTGCTGGGATTACAGGCATGAGCCATCGCACCCAGCCTCTCAATAAATACTTAATTGAATGAATGAATGTTTACTTGCTGATTGTGTTCTTTTGTTAACTATATGTTCACCGCTTTCCTTGTACACTGATTCAGTCTTATAGTTTTTGTATCAATTTGTAGGAATTTTTGTATAAAATATCTGCCTTTTATTTTCTTATAGGTCTGGGATAAAAGTGAAAGTGGTGATTGGCATTGTACTGCTAGCTGGAAGGTTAGTATTTATTTTTACATTTATTAAAAATACAGAAATATTTACTGTTTATTTTATAGTTATCTATGAATTGTTTTGAGAAAATAACATTTATACAGTAGTTCTTTTCCTGGGAAGACATTTTACTGTTTTTCGCTATTAAAGTAACAACTGTGTTTCTCAGAATTTGAGAGTAAGAAAATCTGTAATTCTGTAGCATTCTAACATAATTATCTTAGTAATTCAGAATATTCCTTTTGCCTTTACATATTTTAATTGTTGTGATGTTTCATACATAGTTTTCTCTTAAAAAAAAAAAACAAAACCTTTACTCAAGTAGAAATTTTCTTTTTTTTTTTTTTTTGAGACGGAGAGTCTTGCTCTCTTGCCCAGGTGGGAGTGCAGTGGCGTGATCTTGGCTCACTGCAACCTCCGCCTGTTGGGTTCAAGTGATTCTTCTGCCTCAGCCTCCCAAGTAGCTGGGACTGTAGGCGTGCACCACGATGCCCGGCTAATTTTTGTGTTTTTAGCAGAGATGGGGTTTCGCCATGTTGGCCAGGCTGGTCTCAAACTCCTGACCTCAGGTGATCCTCCCTCGGCCTCCCAAAGTGCTGGGTTTATAGGCATGAGCCACTGTGCCCGGCCAAGTAGAAATTTTCATACCTTAAAAGTCATCCATTTTAAATGTACAGTTCAGTGAGTTTTAGTAAACTTACATAGTTGTGTAGTCATCACTGTAATCCAGTTTTAGAACTTTTCTCTCAAACTCAGAAATTCCTTTGTATCCTATTCCCACTCCAAGCCCCAGGCAACCACTGATCCATTTTCTGTCTCCATAGGTTTCTTCTCTCCTCTGCCCTCCCTCTCCCCTCCCCTCCCACCCTCTCTTCTCTTCTTTTCTTTTTTTTTTTTTTTGAGCTGGCGTCTTGCTCTGTCGCCCAGGCTGGAGTGCAGTGGTGCGATGTTGGCTCGTTGCAACCTCTGCCTCCTGGGTTCAAGCGATTCTCCTGCCTCAGCCTCCTGAGTAGCTGGGATTACAGGCGCATGCCACCACACCCGGCTAATTTTTGTAGTTTTGGTAGAGACAGGGTTTCACTATGTTGACCAGGCTGGTCTCGAACTCCTGACCTCAAGTGATCCGCCCGCCTTGGCCTTCCAAAGTGCTGGGATTACAGGCTTGAGCCACCATGCCTGGCCTGGTTTATCCTTTCTAGAAATTTCATAGAAATGGAATTTTGAAATACATAGTCCTTTGTGTCTGGCCACTTTCCCTTTGCATGTTTTGAGGTTCATCCATATTGTGTCATGTGTCAATTTGTTCCTTTGATACTGAGTAGTCCGTTGTATGTATATTGCCACGTTTTGTTTGTCTGTTCACCAGTTGACGGACATTTGAGTTGTTGTTTTTGGCTGTTATGAGTAATGTTAAGAACGTGCCATGTAAGTCTGTGTAGACATATATTTTCATTTCTTTTGGATAGATGCGTAGGAGTGGAATTGATGGGCTATATGCACTTAGCTTTCTAAGAAACTGCGAAACTCTTCCAAAGTGGCTGTGCCCACCAGCCATGTGTGAGGTTCCAGTTTCTCTACATCCTCACCTACACTCGATAATATCTGTCTTTTTTATTATAGCCATTTTAGTAGTTGAGAAGTGACCACAAAAATCATTGGATTTTGATTTGTATTTCCTTAATACCTCATGTTGATTATTTTTTCATATGCTTATTTACCATTCATGTATCTTCTTTTGTGAAAGGTCTATCCAAGGTCCCCCCCCCTTTTAAGGTGAGGTTAACTTATAAAATTAATAATTTCAGAGTAAACAATTAATTGGCATTTACTTCATTTACAGTGTTGTGTAACTACCACCTTTTTCTAGTTCTAAAACATTTTTATTATTCCAAAAGGAAACCCCATCTCTTGCTTTTAAGCCTAATATATTTCATATGTACTTTTCTATATCTTTAAAGGCTTTTTATTAACAGCCAATAAATATACCATTTTGCTTAACTAGTGGATATTTCAGTTTCCATTTTATTGTGATGAGCATCTTTGTGCAAACCTTATTCTTTAGATTGCATTTTACTGTAAATCTAATAAAACTTATCTGCCTTAGTGTGCATTTTTAATTTTATAGCCCTGTATAAGTAAGAATTAAAGATGATACAGAAAAGACTGGACAAAACAAGGTTAAAAAAAAAGGGTGCAAAATGTACCTTTAGTTGGTGACATTGTTACCATGTAGAAGTTATTGGTTAAACTATTTTTATGTTGTTGAATGTAAAAAATGTTAGCTATACAGTGTGAAACACATTTTCTGAATGTTATTTGTTATTATACAGTATTTTCCCTGAGAAGCACCTAGCAAATTCTTTTGATGGTGAAATTCTTTAAGACCTTTGTATCCCTTCTCCAGCCACCTCCCCTCCCACCCCTTGGCCAACAGGAGGGGTGTAAGGATTTGGGCTTCCCCATATTTGCTCTTCCTACAATAGTCTGTTATCGATAGACTGTATTGTCAGTTAAAATCATTTAAGCATTCTATGGCTATAATCTCTATATATTGTTAGACTTTTGAAGCAAATAATTTTTTTTTGGAGACAAGTTCTTGCTCTGTCACCCAGGCTGGAGTGCAGTGGCACAATCTTGGCTTACTGCAGCCTCAACCTTCCAGGCTGAAGTGATCCTCCCACCTCAGCCTCCCAAGCAGCTGGGACCGTAAGTGCATACCACCACACCTGACTAATTTTTTGTATTTTTTGTAGTGATGGCATTTTGCCATATTGCCCAGACTGGTCTTGAACCCCTGGGCTCAAGCAGTCTGCCCACCTCAGCCCCCTAAAGGGCTGAGAAGACAGGCGTGAGCCACTATGCCTGGTTGAATCAAATGAAAAAAAAGTATTTTTTTGATTGAGCTATAATTTACATATCATAATGTGCACCCATTTAAAGTGTACAATTTAGTGATTTTAAGTATATTCATTTAATTGGCAACCACCACCACTTCTAATTTCAGAACATTGTTTACCACCTCTAAAGGAAACCCTGTGCTCATTTAGCAGTCACTTCTTGTTTACTCTGCTCCCAGCCGCTGGTAACCACTAATCTACTTTCTGTCTGTATGGATTTTGGAGCAAATAAATCTAATGTTATTTATTTTATTAGGTGGGTATTTTCTGTAGAAAGAATTTGCAAGTAAAATGGTGGACTTACAGAATCTTTGTTTCAAAGGTTGGTTACGCTAAACTCTGAAGCAACTCTCCAACTATCAGCACTGGAAGTAGTCAAGTTTATCTGGCTAGATTTTTCTTTTATTAGTAAAATGTCAGAAGAACTGGACTTCAGAAGCATTACAATCCTAAATATAGAATGTCTTCTAAAGGTTAAAACATTCTGGAATTTAACTTTTTATTTACATGTTATGTTGATCAGTTTTCTTCTCTCATAGAAGTAAAACTATATTCTGTTTCCTGATGTAAAACCAGTGTTTATGAAATATGAATAAGTATTTAGGAAAAAAGAAGCCCTGGGATAATGAGTATCTGTTCTTTTCTTTTTTTTTTTTGATTCCCCAGACACATAGTGGATCTGTATGGCGTGTGACATGGGCCCATCCTGAATTTGGGCAGGTTTTGGCTTCCTGTTCTTTTGACCGAACAGCTGCTGTATGGGAAGAAATAGTAGGAGAATCAAATGATAAACTGCGAGGACAGAGCCACTGGGTGAGACATTTATTAGTATTCTGGGGACCGGGAAGACATGAGCAGCCAAGGAGCATTCATCCGAAGGCTACCTCAGATAATTGGTAAAATATCACCACTCCCCTCTAGTTTTACCAGTTCTAAAGTTCTTTCTTCCATGTTTTTTTCTTCCTTTTTTATTTCATTTTAACTTGGGTCTGAAGCAATACTTAGGAGCATCACTGCATTGTTTATAACTTTTATGATGAATCCAGAATATTTGCATTGTATTTGATTTTACCTATTAGTATATTTTATGATAGTAATATATGATTTTAAAGTATTCTGGCTCACTGCAGTCTCAAACTCCTGGCCCCACCTCAGCCTCCTGAGTTGCTGAGATTATAGGCATGAGCCACTGTGCCTAACTCTAAAATTCTTTTTTTTTTTTAACTTTAAACTCTTAAGGGTTAATAAAATTCTTTTTTTTTTTTTTAGACGGAGTCTCACTGTGTCACCCAGGCTGGAGTGCAGTGGCACAATCTTGGCTCACTGCAAGCTCCGCCTCCCGGGTTCACGCCATTCTCCTACCTCAGCCTCCTGAGTAGCTGGGACTACAGGCGCCCGCCACCACGCCCATCTAATTTTTTGCATTTTTAGTAGAGACGGGGTTTCACTGTGCTAGCCAGGATGGTCTCGATCTCCTGACCTCGTGATCTGCCTGTCGGCCTCCCAAAGTGCTGGGATTACAGGCGTGAGCCACCACGCCTGGCCAAGGGTTAATAAAATTCTTTAAATTTTATTTAAATTTAAATAAATTTAATGGGCCAAATTCAGGATGGGCCCATGTCACACGCCATACAGATCCACTGTGTGTCTGGGGAATCAAAAAAAAAAAAAGAAAAGAACAGATACTCATTATCCCAGGGCTTCTTTTTTCCTAAATACTTATTCATATTTCATAAACACTGGTTTTACATCAGGAAACAGAATATAGTTTTACTTCTATGAGAGAAGAAAACTGATCAACATAACATGTAAATAAAAAGTTAAATTCCAGAATGTTTTAACCTTTAGAAGACATTCTATATTTAGGATTGTAATGCTTCTGAAGTCCAGTTCTTCTGACATTTTACTAATAAAAGAAAAATCTAGCCAGATAAACTTGACTACTTCCAGTGCTGATAGTTGGAGAGTTGCTTCAGAGTTTAGCGTAACCAACCTTTGAAACAAAGATTCTGTAAGTCCACCATTTTACTTGCAAATTCTTTCTACAGAAAATACCCACCTAATAAAATAAATAACATGGCTAACATGGTGAAACCCTGTCTCTACTAAAAATACAAAAAATTAGCCCGGCATGGTGGTGGGTGCCTGTAAGTCCCAGCTACTCTGGAGGCTGAGGCAGGAGAATGGTGTGAACCCGGGAGGCGGAGCTTGCAGTGAGCCGAGATCACGCCACTGCACTCCAGCCTGGGCGACGGAGCGAGACTTGTCTCAAAAAAAAAAAAAATTCTATAAAAATTGTTTCTTTTGTTTTGTGGTTACTTTTGTTTTCTTAGGAAATATACTGTCCTCGGCCGGGTGCGGTGGCTCACGCCTATAATCCCAGCACTTTAGGAGGCCAAAATGGACAGATCACCTGAGGTCAGGAGTTTGAGACCAGCCTGACCAACATGGAGAAACTCCCCCTCTACTAAAAATACAAAAATTAGCTGAGCATGGTGGCACATGCCTGTAATCCCAGCTACTCAGGAGGCTGAGGCAGGAGAATCGCTTGAACCCGGGAGGCGGAGGTTGTGATGAGCAGAGATCGTGCCATTGCACTCCAGCCTGGGGAACAAGAGCGAGACTTCGTCTCAAAAAAAAAAAAATACACTCTCCTTTATCTACATCTGCTTTTATCGCTGTCTTTGCCTTATTGGATGTTTGAATTTGGGCAAGAACATAATATAATCTGTGTGCTGTTGAAGTTCCTCATCTATAAAGTGAAAACATTGAACTAGATTATATTTAAGACTCTTTCCAGCATTTTCATATGAAGGTATTATCATCTGCATGCTTTTTTTCCCCCTTTATGATTTGTTTTTTGTAATAGATAATCATGCACATGGTGTAAAATTCAAAAGAAACAAAAGGAAGTGTGTAGTGGGAGTGTCCTGCTATTACCCCTCACCTGCCCTCCCTAATGGCATGATACTACGTTAGAGCCAGTCACAGCTCATTGCAGTCTCAACCTCCTGGGCTCAAGTGATCCTCCCACCTTAGCCCCACAAGTAGCTGGGATCACAGGCATGCACCACAGGCTGATTTTTTTATTTTGTAGAGATGGGGTTTCACCATGTTGCCCAGGCTGGTCTTGAACTCCTGGACTGAAGCAATCCTCTCACCTCGGCCTCCCAAAGTGCTGTGATTATAGGCGTGAGCCACTACGAGGGCCATGATGCAATTTTTTATTGTGGTAAAATATGTATAACATAATATTCCTCATTTTAACTTTTTTTTTTTTTTTTTTTTTTTTTTTTTTTTTTTTTGAGACAGAGTCTTGTTCTGTCACCCAGGCTGGAGTGCAGTGGTGGGATCTCGGCTTACTGCATTCTCCGCCTCCGGGGTTCAAGCGATTTTCCTGCCTCAGTCTCCTGAGTAGCTGGGACTACAGGCATGTGCCACCATGCCTGGCTAATTTTTTTGTGTTTTTAGAAGAGACAGGGTTTCACCATGTTGGTCAGGCTGGTCACGAACTCCTGATCTCAAATGATTCTCCTGCCTTGGCCTCCTGAAGTGCTGGGATTACAGGCGTGAGCCACCATGCCTGGCCCATTTTAACTATTTGTAAATGGTATAATTCAGTAGAATTAATTACGTTCACAGTGCTGTGTACCCATCACTGTTATCTGTACTCAAAACTGTTCATCACTGCCAACATAAACTCCATATTTTTAAAGAATGCCTCCCCCTTCCTCCTCCCTCTACCCCCTATTCAACTGTCTGTCTATAAATTTGACTAGGTACTGCATGTAAGTGGAATCACAGTATTTGTCCATTTGCAACTGGCTTATTTCACTAAGTAAAATGTTTTCATGGTCTGTCCATTTTGTAGCATATATTAACTTTATTCCTTTTTATGGCTGAGTAATATTCCATTGTGTGTGTATACCACATTTTGTTTATCCATTCATTTGTAGATGGACCCTTGGGTTGTTTCTACTTCGTGGCTATTGTGAATACTGCTACTATGAGCATTGTTGTACAGATAAATGTTTGAGACCGTGCTTTCGATTCTTTTGGAAATATACCTAGGAGTAGAATTGCTGGCTCATATGGTAGTTCTATGTTTCACGTTTTTAGGAACTGTCAGACTTTTCCATAGCAGCTACACCATTTTACATTCCTACCAGCAATGCTCAAGGGTTCCAGTTTTTCCAAATCTTCATCAGCACTTGTTGTGGTGCTATTTATTGTAGCCATCCTAGTGACTGTGTTGTGAAGTGGCATCTCCATTGTGGTTCTGATTTGCATTTCTCTAATAATTACTGATGTTGACCTTATTTTCATGTGCTTATTGGTCAATTGTATGTCTTCCTGGGGAAAATACTATTCATATCCTTTGCCCATTTTTTTAAATTGGGTTTTTTGTTGTTATAGGAGTTCTTTATATATTCTGGATATTAATCCCTTATCTGTTATAGGTTGAGTATTCCTTATCCATAATGCTAGGATCCAGAAATGTTTTGGATTTTGGATTTTGGATTTTGCAATATTTGCATTTATACTTACCAGTTAAGCATTCGCCTACTTATTTATTTACTTAATAGAGTTGCCCAGGCTGGTCTTGAACTCCTGGGTTCAAGCGATCCTCCACCTTGGCCCCCCAGAGTGCTGGGATTACAGGTGTGAGCCACCGTGGCCAGCCCCAGTTAAGCATTCTAAATCCAAAAACTTGAAATTCGGTATGCTTCAATAAGCATTTTCTTTGAGCATCATGCCAGTGCTCAAAAAGTTTTGGAGTTTGGAGCATTTCAGATTTCAGATTTTTGGATTTGATATGCACAACCTGTAAATGATTTGCAAATATTTTCTCCCGTTCTGTGGGTTGCCTTTTTCACTCTTGATGGTTTCCTTTGATGCACGAAATTTTAAAATTTTGAAGTCTAGTTTATCTAAATTTTTTTCTTTTGTTTCCCATGCTTTTGGTGTTATATCCAGGAAAGCATTGCCAAATCCAGTGTCATGAAGACTTTCCCCAATGTTTTCTTCTAAGATTGTTATAGAATCCTCAATTCAGGCTTGTATCCCCAATGTGGAGCTGAGAGCAAACACTGAGTCACCGGTACTTGGAGATAGAGAAAGGTTTATTCGATTTGGCTAAAGCAAGAAGATGGGAGGGCAAGATCTCTCGAATCCATCTAAACAAAAGGAAGCATTGGGTAGATTTTATGTGACTAGATCTAGTAAGGGAGGGGGAGTTTCACAGAATCCAGTGGAAAAGTCTGTGTTTCTTTGGTCTCAGGTAACGCCTTGAGCAACCAGATGTCTGGTTGTTAGCAGCTGGTCACAGTGTCCTTAAAGCCATTCATTTCTTCTGGCAACATTTTTCTTTACATGACGCTGAAGTTATCTTCTCTTGATTGACAAAGAAGCAGTACATCAACAGTTTATCATTATATTGTGGCAACAAGGGATATTCAGCAAAAAGTGAGTGGTTAACATGCGCAAGCAAGCAAGGGCCTGATACAAATTATTTATTTCAGTCATTAAAAAATGTTAGGGTGCTGAAATCTAGTTTTCCCAGCACCATTTCTTGAAAAGACCATTCTTTCCCCTGTTGAATGGTCTTGACACCTTTGTTGAAAATAATGGCTATATATATGGAGGATTGCATTCTGGGCTCTCTTGTGGACATTTATCTGTATGTCTCCTTGTCCTAATAGCACACTGTTTTAATTCCGGTAGCTTTGTAGCTTGAGTGGCTATTCAGACTGTTTTACAGCTCTTCTCAGGGGAGGAGTATGTCTGATTGCCTTTGCACTAGGGCTTCCCTAAGCCAAACAGCTGCTTATGGGGAGGAAGGAATAGAAATTTATAGAATTATAAAAGTTTTTTTGGCGTTAAGTCTGAGGTGTGTCAGTTCAGTATACTATAGATTGGATTTGGGAGTGGTGGCATAAGAAGGACTTTTCTTTGAATTTCAAGATACTTATTTGTATTTAGTTTAGTCATCTTTCATTAATATATTAGCAGTGGCAAATCCATATGGGTCTGCAGCAGCCTCATTTCTTGCCTCTTCAAAAGAAAGAATTCCACCTAGGGGCATAAGGCAGAGTAAGAGACTAAGATAAGTTTTAGAGCCAGAGTGGAAATTTGTTAAAAAATTTTACAGCAGAAATGAAGTAAAATACATTTGGAAGAGGGCCAAGTGGGTGACTTGAGAGAGTCAAATGCATGGTTTGATCTTGGACTTGGGTTGTTACACGTTGGCATGCTTCCCAGGGGTTGCGTCTCTTCTCTGATTCTTCCCTTGGGGTGGGCAGTCCGCATGTGCAGTGGCCCACTAGTGCCTGGGAGGGGCTGCGTGTGCAGTGTGTTTACTGGAGTTGCGCAGATGCTCACTTGAGGCGTTTTTCCCTTAACAGAATGTTCCTAGAAGGTCATAGATCAGTTAAGCTCCACCATTTTTCCTCTTAGTGCACATGCTTGAGCCCAGTCATCCAACTCCTCAGATCTTATCAGGAAGCTGCTGATCACCAGTTTCAGGTGTTTCTATCTGTTGGGAGACTACCTTTCCCTGGCACTGGCTGCAACCAATGATTAGTTTAGAGAGAAAGTTTAACAACTGCCTGATCATCACCTGATGGTTGCTTGACATTCCTGGTGGGGTGGGGTCCTCTGCTGCCCTGCTCATGTCTGACTACCTACTGTAACAAATGCATTTATTTTCTCAACATTTGTGTTTGTATTAATTATTCAGTGGTGTCTGTAGACAAAAGTTTGCTAAGATGTTATCTTTGAAGTTTATGTAATATTATCCTTTTAATGTTGAGACTCTTTAAGAAGGATTTTGGTAACCATAGACAGTAATCTGTTGATTGCTAAACTTTATTGACTTAGTTTTTTTTTGAGACAAAGTCTTGCACTGCCACCCAGCCTGGTGTGCAGTGGCATGATCTCGGCTCAGTGCAGCCTCCGCCGACCACACTCAAGCGATTCTCCTGCCTTAGCCTCTCTAGTAGCTGGGATTGCAGGCGCCCGCCACAATGTCTGGCTAATTTGAATATTTTTAGTAGAGATGGGGTTTCACCATGTTGGACAGGCTGGTCTTGAACTCCTGACCTCAAGTGATCACCCGCCTCAGTCTCCCAAAGTGCTGGGATTACAGGCGTGAGCTACTGCACCTGAGCTTATTGATGTTTTTAGTAAAGTTTCATCTTATCTGTGTGCCAGAAGATAACTTTTAAATGTGATGTTGGAATTTTACAGTGATCATAAAGCTTGCTTTCTACCATTCTTTTGGTCCCTGTTAAAAGCCTTCACTTAAAAGTGCATGGTAGCTGGGTGCAGTGGCTCACACCTGTAATCCTAGCAACTCGGGAGGCTGAGGTGGGAAGATCAGTTGAGGCCAGGAGTTTGAGACCCATCTGGGCAACATAGTGAGACCCCCCCATCTCTATAAAAATAAGAAAAATTAGCTGGGCATGGTGGCAGGTGCCTGTCATCCCAGCTACTGGGAAGGCTGAGGCAAAAGGATCACTTGAGCCATGATCATGGTACTGTACTCCAGCCTGGGTGACAGAGCAAGACCCTGTCCCTAAGAAAAAAAAAAAAATAATAATAATAGTGGTCCAAATGGGATTAACAGAAAATTATTCTTGAGAGAAGAAATTGCATGCCTTTCTTTTTTTTTTTTTTTTTTTTTTTTTTGAGAGAGGGTCTTACTCTGTCACCCAGGCTGGAGTGCAGTGGTGCGATCTTTGCTCACTGTACCTTCTGCCCCACTGGCTCAAGCGATCCACCCGCCTCAGCCTCCGGAATAGCTGGGGCCACAGGCGTGCACCACCACACCTGGCTTTTTTTTTTTTTTAGTTTTTAGTAGAGACGGTGTCTTGCCATGTAGCCCAGGCTGGTCTTGAACTCCTGAGCTCAAGCAGTCTGCCTGCCTCGGCTTCCCAAAGTTTTGGGATTACAGGTGTAAGCCATCACGCCCAACTCATTTACAGTTAAAGGGTCTAATGCTTGCAGCATGCTTTGTGTGACAAAACTTCTTGTCTGAAAATTCTAACATTTTCTTTTTTTTTTGTGATCAGTTTGCTTAAGAGAGATTACTTATATAACAAAGGTAGGCTTTTGGAGGTAGACTTTTTTTTCATTAAAGGGAGTAATTAATTATAGCTCACTAATTTGTTAGTGATTCCCAGCTATATATGTGGTATTTTGCCATGTACTTGTAGGAACTTGTGGCCCAGAGATGTATCCAAGCTTATATACCTAGTGAATGATAGAGGAGTTTCTGTGTGATTCCAGAGTCTGTGTGTCTTTTCCACTCTACCATGCTTTCTTTTTGTATATAATTTAAATTGTTATTATTTTTTTTTTAGGTTAAAAGGACAACTCTGGTGGATAGCAGAACATCTGTTACTGATGTGAAGTTTGCTCCCAAGCACATGGGTCTTATGTTAGCAACCTGTTCCGCAGATGGTATAGTAAGAATCTATGAGGCACCAGATGTTATGAATCTCAGCCAGTGGTCTTTGCAGCATGAGATCTCATGTAAGCTAAGCTGTAGTTGTATTTCTTGGAACCCTTCAAGGTAAGTTTACATATTAAACCTCTGATAACATCCTAGTAAAATAAACTAGTAACTTTTAAGCTAACAATTTGATAATTTATTCTCTCAAAGGTGCTTCTTCTCAAGATATATAGAGTATATGTTCTCCATTTTTCACCCAGGCATGTCATTTGTCCCTGTTTTCACTCAACAGAGGAAGCCGGCATTGTAAATATTTTCATGTGAACCTTTTGGATGTTTTCTATGCATATGCAAATAACTATTTAATGTTGTCATAAACACATATATGCAAACACGCCCAGATATTCACTAGCACAAGTAGACACAGAACACCAGATATTGAAACCCATACATTTGATTGATTGATTGATTGGTTGATTGAGACAGAGTATTGCTCATTTGCCCAGGCTGGAGTGCAGTGGCACCATCTTGGCTCACAGTAGCCTCCACCTCCTGAGTTCAAGCAATTCTCCTGCCTCAGCCTCCCAAGTAGCTAGAATTACAGGCATGCGCCACCACGTCTGCCTAATTTTTGCATTTTTAGTAGACATGGGGTTTTACCATGTTGGCCAGACTGGTCTTGAACTTCTAACCTCAGGTGATCTGCCTGCCTCGGCCTCCAAGAGTGCTGGGATGACAGGCGTGAGCTGCTGCACCCAGCCAGAAACCCTTACATTTTCCTTCCTTGCAATTAGCTTTTTTCACTTAAAGATACATTGTGGGCATTTTTCCATATATTAATATATCTAGTCTTACCTCATTTCTTTTTAACTGCTGCATAGAGCATGACTATATGAATATTACCATAGTTGCTTTTTATTAAACTGTTTTTAAACAATTATAAGAATCACTTGGTGAAGAAAAAAATTGAAATAATCCATAAGAATACAAAAAGAAAGGTAAAGTTCCTTTACCCCCTAAAAACAAATGCTGTCAATAGTTCTGTTTTCAGACTTTAATTCTGGTAGTCACTAGTATATTTTTAAAGGATTTACTTATACCTTTGGTTCTTGCTATGTTATCTTTTTTTTAAAAATTTTTATTCTGCTATTTTTCCACATGTTCTTGCTATGTTATCATTAAAGAATATCCAAACTGATAGAAAAGATGAATAGAGCACATTTATACAACTTCCACATCCCAAGGTATGACTAGATAGATATCTTATTTGTGGTGATGTTGATAGTTGTTGGAGTTATACTGGTAATTATTATAATTTCAAATAATATATATATCTCTACACATATTTATCAATTTTTAGACTATATATTTACTCCCGTCTCTTTTTTTTTTTTTTTTTTTTGAGATGGAGTCTTGCCCTATTGCCCAGGCTGGAGTGTGGTGGCATGATCTCGGCTCACTGCAAGCTCCGCCTCCTGGGTTCAAACGATTCTCCTGTGTCAGCCTCCCAAGTAGCTGGAATCACAGGTGCCCGCCACCACATCTGGCTAGTTTTTTTTGTATTTTTAGTAGAGACGGGGTTTGTCCATGTTAGCCAGGCTGGTCTTGAACTCCTGACCTCAGGTGATCTGCCCGCCTTGGCCTCCCAAAGTTCTAGGATTACAGGTGTGAGCCACTGTGCCTGGCTTCCCCTCTCTTAAAAAAGAGGGAATTAGTTTATTGCTTCCCCCTCACATTGCCCCTTCCATTTCCTCATTCTTTTTTTTTTTTTTTTTTTTTTGAGGTGGAGTCTCGCTCTGTCACCCAGGCTGGAGTGCAGTGGCGCAATCTAGGCTCACTGCAAGCTCCGCCTCCTGGTTCAAGCGATTCCCCTGCCTCAGCCACCTGAGTAGCTGGGACTACAGGTGCCTGCCACCACGCCTGGCTAATTTTTTGTATTTTTAGTAGAGACGGGGTTTCACCGTATTAGCCAGGATGGTCTCGATCTCCTGACCTTGTGATCCGCCCACCTCGGCCTCCCAAACTGCTGGGATTACAGGCATGAGCCACCTCGCCCAGTCCATTTCCTAATTCTTATATTGCTTGTATACTGGCAAGATTTATAATATTTACATTCTGTAAACATTTAACACATGTGTAAGTATTTTGTCTTTTGACTACAAATTGATTCTAAAAATTAAGTGGCAGCCAGCTTTACAATCTAGATTATGTAAGTATTCATTTGAGATGCCAATATGGAGATGGAATGGATGGCAAACTCTTCAAATACCTGAAAATGTCTTAATTTGACTCCATGCTTAATTGATAGTTTGGCTAGTTTTAGAGTTCCGAATGTAAGAATTTCAAAAGATACAGTTCTTGCATATTTTTAACTAGGTTTTATTAACGAGCTGTCGTCAGTCTGATGCTGGTTCTTTTGTAGGTAGCTTTTTCTTTTTGGAAGGTTTTAGGATTTTGCGTTATTATTCTGAGCTCTCTTGCACATATATTTTGACATTTTTTATGATGGATTTTGATAGCCAATGGAAATGAGTTTTAATGTAATCACATTTGTCAGGCTTTATTGTTGGAGTGCTTTTTGTGTTTTATTTGAGCAGTTTTTTCCACCTTGGGGTTGTCTAGTGTATTCATTAGAGAAAATTTCAGATACACCAGAAGTAACAGAAGTACAGTAGACAGACCCTTCCATACTCATCTCCCAGCTACAGTAACCCAAAGCTGCTGCTGTACTTTCCTCATTCCCCTTCTCCAGGAAAAACCCCAACCTGGATTATTATGTGTTGGCCTTTGTTGATTAATCTTACTTATCACTTACCATTTGTTTTTTATTTTTATTTTTATGGTTTTTTTTTTTTTTTGGAGACAGAGTCTTGCTCTGTCACCCAGGCTGGAGTGCAGTGGTGTGATCTTGGCTCACTGCAAGCTCCGCCTCCTGGGTTTAAGAGATTCTCCTGCCTCAGCCTCCTGAGTAGCTGAGATTACAGGCATGTGCCACCATGCCCGTCTAATTTTATATTTTTAGTAGAGATGGGGTTTCTCCATATTGGTCAGGCTGGTCTCGAACTCCTGAGCTCAGGTGATTTGCCGGCCTCGGCCTCCCAAAGTGTTGGGATTACAGGCGTGAGCCACCGCACCCAGCCACCATTTATTATTTATTATTTTTTATGTATTTGTTTTCGAGACACGTGTCACTATGTCACCCAGGCTGGAGTGCAGTGGCACTCCCTGGACCTCCCTGGGCTCAGGTGATCCTCCCACCACACACAGCCTCCCAAGTAACTGGGACTACAGGCATTCACCACCATGCCTTGCTAATTTTTTGTTATTTTTTGTGGATATGGGGTTTCGCCTTGTTGCCCAGAATGGTGTTGAACTCCTGGACTCAAGTAGTTTTCTTGGCTTGGCCTCCCAAAGTGCTGAGATTACAGGCATGAGCCACTGCACTTGGCCAATCCTGCTTGACACTCAGTGGTCCCTTTAAAAATAAATGTTATTGTCTCAAATTGGGGATATCTTATGATCCTTTGATAATTTCTTTTTATTCTCTTGTCTCTGTTCTGTCTTTCTGGCACTCCTATTTGATTATTCCAGGATTTACTCTCCATTTAAAACAAAATTGTTTGGAGATTTAGTACTCCATCTCCCAGATCTCCACTTTGTTCTCCAGGTATACATTTTTTCCCATCATTGAATTTTTGTATGAATGGCAATCATTTTTAATTGTTCAGAGTTTCTTTTTCTCTGATTACTTCTTTTTTATACCAGTTTTTGTTACATGTATTACACTATTTCCCTGTGGTTTCTAGTGAAGATTTTTTAAAATTTGCATTTGTTTGCTGAATTACAGTCAATTATCATTTGCACTGGCAATGTTCTATAAAGTTGCCATGAACACTGAATTAGCTAATACTGAATACCGAATTGCTCCTTGGGGAAATACAGGGTTTCCACAAGTCTCTCACTACATTTTTGTCAACTGATCAGTGTATAACCTTTTTGTGTGTCTTTCTTTTTAAAGACAACTTATATGTTGTTGATTGACTAACATTGAACTCATAGCCAACAACACAAACTACTCAGACCTGAATAAAGCATTTTGAATACACCTATTTTCTCCATAAGGCACATCCCAGCCTTCCTATGTTTAGGAACACCAGACAGCACTTCAGCAGCATCCACAGGGTTTTAAACTATGAAATCACTTTTAAAAAACACAAAAATGTGAAAAACGTGAGGCGAACTGACTAAACTGTGTAAAGGACATTCGTTTACCAATGACAGCCAAAGGAAGAAGGCACTTCTGCTGGGAAACTGCATCAGGCAACTGGATTTTTTTGCAGAGCTGCTCTGCACCTGCCGATGAATGACCATGAAAGCCTGGGCCGGGCACAGTGGCTCACGCCTGTTATCCCAGCACTTTGGGAGGCTGAGGCGGGCGGATCACTTGAAGTCAGGAGTTTGAGACTAGCCTGGCCAACACAGCGAAACACTGTTTCTACTAAAAATACAAAAATTAGATGGGCGTGGTGGTGTGCGCCTGTACTCCCAGCTACTCAGGAGGCTGAGGCAGGAGAATCGCTTGAACTTCGGAGATGAAGGTTGCAGTGAGCCAAGATGATGCCACTGCACTCCAGCCTGGGCAACAGAGCGAGACTGTCTCAAAAAAGAGAAAAAAAAGAAAAAAAAAAAGAAAGCCTGAGAGAATTGGGTTTTATGGTTACAAATAAATTTTAGGCCAGTTTACAAGTGCAGAATCTCTAAATAGTGAGGATTGGCTATATGTGTTTTCTCAAATATCAGTTCTTTTCGTGTGCCTTGGTCTTTATCTTCTGCGCCACTTGTTTTTCTTGGGTGTCTGCTGATCTTTGCTTATTTATATTTATGAGTGAGTGACTGTTACTGCTATTAGAGCAAACTGGTATTGGCATTTTTCTCCTGCTGGGTGCTCTGTTGTGTTAACAACTTACTCTCTCAACTAGGGAGGCTGACTGAATTTTGTGGAATGGGTGGAGTGGGTTGACAGGGTTTCCTAAGGATGTGTGAGCCAAGAGCAGGCTGGGGCACCCTCCAACTGACAAAGCAAGAAAGATTTTCCGTTGAGCACGATGAACCATTGGGGCGCAGTTCCTTCCTCCCTGCCCCTTTCCCTGTTGGTTTTGGAGTGCTCCTTTATTTCCAGCTCTTACCTTTTCTTTTTCAAGTTCTAATTGTCTCACTAAGACAATGTTTTTTGACCAAATCACTCCATGATTGTCCGTGACTCATTTATATTCTTTGCATTTATTAATTGGAGGTTGGACCTTCTGGAATTTTCTACTTACTGATGGTGATACGGACTCTTTTTTCCTTTGTATTTTCTTTCTCAGTCTGATCTGCTTCCTGACTTCCTGGAAACCCTCCAAATTTCTTGATTTCTAATGGCACTCTTTCTAGATTTCTAGCCCTGTACGATAATATTCTTTCATCATTTCAGTGGGCTTTTGGAGGGAGGCGGAGATCCAGGTGATCTGTCTACACTATTCAGTCAGAAAGCTGGATGGTTTTTCTCACTGTTTAGCTGTGACTCATACTTAGAAAGTGGTTTAAATGTGAATATCTTAGTTCTGGTTGTACAATTGAGGTAATCCTCAATTCAGGTTGCTGTCTGGACATTTCATGACTGGATTTAAAAATATTTTTAAGGCCAGGTGGGGTGGCTCACGTAATTCCAGCACTTTGAAAGGCTGAGGCGGGCAGATCACCTAAGGTCGGGAGTTCGAGACCAGTCTGACCAACATGGAGAAAACCCTTCTCTACTAAAAATACAAAATTAGCTGGGTTTGGTGGCACATGCCTGTAATGCTAGCTACTCAGGAGGCTGAGGCAGGAGAATCATTGAACCTGGGAGGTAGAGGTTGCGGTGAGCTGAAATCACGCCATTGCACTCCACCCTGGGCATCAAGAGCAAAACTCTGTACCCGCCCCCCCCCCCCCCCCCACCTCACCAAAAAGAAAAAACAACAAAGAATTTTTAAAATCTCACATTTTTTTAGCTGGGTGTGGTGGTGCACACCTGGAATCCCAGCTACTTGGGAGGAGGATTGCTTGAGCCCAGAAGTTCAAGTCCAGCCTGGGCAACATAGTGAGACTCCAGTCTCAATTAAAAAAAAAAATCTTGGCCAGGCATGGTTGTTTACGCCTGTAATCCCAGCACTTTGGGAGGCCGAGGTGGGCGGATCATGAGGTCAGGAGATCAAGACCATCCTGGCCAACATGGTGAAACCTCATCTTTACTAAAGATACAAAAATTAGCTGGGCGTGGTGGCGCGTGCCTGTAATCCCAGCCACTTGGGAGGCCGAGGCACGAGAATCGCTTGAATCCAGGAGATGGAGGTTGCAGTAAACCAAGATCATGCCACTGCACTCCAGCCTGGCGACAGAGTGAGACTCCATCTCAAAAAAAAAAAAAAAATCAAAACCAAGTATTTGTAGAACACTGAAAAAGGAAGTTTGTGGCCAGGTGTGGTGGTTCACGCCTGTAATCCCAGCTACTCAGGAGACTGAGACAGGAGAATCACTTGAACCCAGGAGGTGGAGGTTGCAGTGATCAGAGATCGCCACTGCACTCCAGCCTGGGTGACAGAGCAAGGCTCTGTCTCAAAAAAACAGGAAAAAAACGCAAAAGGAAGTTTGTGAGACACAGAAATTGCTGTGGAATTTACATCTATTTGAATGGCCAAAAATTATTATAAATAACTTATAATTTTATTTTATTACTGTAGCATTTTGTAGTTTGCCTGGTACTTTTCTTAATTAGATAATTTGATCTAATTACCTGAAGCTTTAGTAATAAAGAACTAATTTTTTTTGTCAGTTACCACATTTTGTTTTTAGCTTTAAGAGGTTAGTAGTGCACAATACTGAGGCTAAAGGTTAAGCAAGGGTGCCAGGTTTACAGAGATATTAATTAATCTGGATGAGGGAGGCAAAGGAAATTATGTTAATTAGGCATAGAAATTAAAAAGTCATTCAGCTTATAGTTCAGGAGAGCCATTCTTTCATTGCTCATCTTTTGCCTTTTTCAAAATGAGGTTGACCACAGATGAGTCTAGGGAGGGGAATGACGTGGGGATCGTGACTTCTGCAGGGGTAGTCTTTTCCACTTTTCCCCTGTCCATCTGTTTTTTCTTCTTCTTTTCTTTTTTTCTGAAAGAGACTCTCACTCTGTTGCCCAGGCTAGAGTGCAGTGGCACGATCATAGCTCACTGCAGCCTCCAACTCCTGGGCGCAAGTGATCCTCCTGCCTCAGCTCCTGAGTAGCTGAGACAAACGGCACATGCCACCACACCAGGCTAATTAAACAAATTTTTTTTTTGTAGAGATAGAGTCTTATTATGTGGCCCAGGTTCTTCTTGAACTCCTGGCCTCAAATGATCCTCTCTCCTGAGTCTCTCAAAATGCTGGGATTACAGGCATGAGCCACCCTGCCGCAGTGTTTCTTCTTTTTGTCAAAGCACTTAAGATCTTTTTGTCATGAAGTTAGTCACAGTAGGGTTACTTTTTGTTTCATAGTTAATGACCAAAAATTTCAGGAGGAAAAATTACTAAGACCTCTTAAGTATCTTTTAAAAATATGTTGAATGCTTGAAAGCTTTTTTCAGGCAAAGAGCTCCTTTCTATCTGAGCCATAAGAATATGCTAAAAACAGTTCATAAGGATGGAATCTTCAGTTCCCATGTGTGACATTCTCAGGTGCATACTTGCAGTGTGGCCATGTCAGCTATGTGGCAGAGACCTAGATTCACTAGTAGTGTGACAGGCTAACTGTAAGCTGGTTGTCTGCTTGCCTCCAGTGTGTTCATTCTGTGAATGAAATGTGTATTTCTTTTGTTATCTAAAATGTTCTTTCTCCCCGTTTCTAGCTCTCGTGCTCATTCCCCCATGATCGCCGTAGGAAGTGATGACAGTAGCCCCAACGCAATGGCCAAGGTTCAGATTTTTGAATATAATGAAAACACCAGGTCAGTCCTGCTTTGGTTTTAATAATTGTTCAGAATTGCATTTAATTTTTTAAAATGTTATTTCTTTATTCATTTACAGAATTATGTGTCATTCATCATATGTTTGCTGATTTACTATAATATACCAAGTTCTGTGCTAGGCTGTGATAGCACAGGCATGAGTGATAAAGAGGAGAAAGTAGACCAGCCTGGCCAATATGGTGAAACCCCGTCTCTACTAAAAGTACAAAAAATTAGCTGGGTGTGGTGGCAGGTGCCTGTAATCCCAGCTACTCGGGAGGCTGAGGCAGGAGAATCGCTTGAACCCAGGAGGCGGAGGTTGCAGTGAGCTGAGATTGCGCTATTGCACTCCAGGCTGGGCAACAAGAGCGAAACCCTGCCTCAAAAAAAAAAAGAGGAGAAGGTAATTGATCTCCCAGTATGATGTACCATCTTGCAGTGAAACAAAAAATAATAGTAAAAAAGGGTGATGAATCTTATGAAGTGGAAGAATTAGGGTGCTAAAGAGCTTATACCTGGGGAACCTAATCTGGTTTAGGGGCTAGGAAGGTTCACCTAGAAGATGACCTATAGGGTGAGTAGAAGTTAGCCAGACAAAGAGGGCAGAAGCACTCCTGGTGGAGAAAACTGCATGTGGTAAGGCCGTGAGCAAGAGAGAGGGAGTATATTTATACTGTTGTTGGAACATGCTGGGCAAAAATGAGTGTGGAGAGAAATAGGCAAGACTTGTATCTATAAGAAGTAATGTCCATTGTTTCAGTTTTATCTTACAGGTGATGTGAATAGGGAATAATGGGATCAGATGGATCTTCTATAGGTGTGACAAGTGTTTTGGAGGGAAACATGGTGGATTCACGGCTAGGATGCTATGAAGACAGTCCAGGTGGGAGAGTACGTGGCTTTGGGATAGTAGTAGCAGTGGCATGGAGATAAGTGGACAACTTGAGAATAATTGAGAAGTGGTATCAATAGGATCTGGTGATTGATTGGATTTGAGAACTGAACTGAGGAAGAAGGGGGAAGGTGTTAAGATGATTTCCAAGGTTCTGGCTTAAGAGTTCAGTGTGTAATTTCAATGTGTGTAATTTCTTGAGATAAGGAACTCTGGGAACAAGGCAGATTTGGGTAGAGTGTGGCAGCATGTGAAGGTAAGTTAATTTTGGTCATGCCGAGATACAAGTGTCTGCAAAGCTTCTGAGAGCCAAAAGCAGTGTCTCAGAGGCACACTACTCAGTCTTACAGGAGAAGAGAGCACTTGTCAGGTGATCAGATGGGCTTCGCAGGTACTAGACAAAATTCTTGAGTCTAATAGTCAGATCTTAGGCAGGGCCAGCAGTAGAGAAGGAACTAGTGTTACTCCCGTGGGCTCTGCAATTCCAAATGTTACCATCTGGGTTACCAAGGGGATCTTACACCTTCTACCTTCCTAGATTGTTGGTGTCTGCAGAGAGGCTCAGTCTTCAACAGTGCTGTCCAGTAGAATGTGCTGCAGTGATGGGAAATGGTCTTAGAGATTTTCATGGAGTTTTAAGCTGTAAAAACTATGAGCCCTATTAATAGCACATTTTATAGAGGCTTCATGAAGTGTTGGGCTTGTTAAAGTAAATTTCAACCTGAGCTGAGCAGAATGAATATGTAGACATAAGCCCAAAAACGTAAAAGGTGTATCATTGGCCACGCGAGGTGACTTATGCCTGCCATCTCAGCACTTTGGGAGGCTGAGGTGGGTGGATCACTTGAGTCTAGGAATTCAAGACCAGCCTGGACAACATGGTGAAACCCTTTCGCTACAAAAAGTACAAAAATTAGCTGTGGGGATGATGGCGCATGCCTGTAGTTCCAGCTACTTGGGAGACTGAGGTGGGATGATCACCTGAGCCTGGGAGGTCGAGGCTGCGGTAAATCAAAATTGCACCACTTCACTCCAGCAGTGTCAAAAAAAGATTTTTTTCTAAAACATAGGAAAAGAAAATATTTCATAAGTAAGATTTGAGTAAAAAGATAAATAACTTGCAGTTAGTTCTGAAAGAAAATACAGGCAAATAGAAATTACCTATTTTTTTTTTTTTTGAGAGTCTCACTCTGTCACCCAAGCTGGAGTGCAGTGATGCAATCTCAGCTCACTGCAACCTCTACCTCCCGAGTTCAAGTGATTCTCCTGCCTTAGCCTCCTGAATAGCTGGGATTACAAGTGCGTGCCACCACGCCTGGCTAATTTTTGTATTTTTAGTAGAGACGGGGTTTCACCATGTTGGCCAGGCTTGTCTTGAACTCCTGACCTCAGGTGATCCACCCACCTCGGCCTCCCAAAGTGCTGGGATTACAGGTGTGAGCCACCACGGCCGGCCTAGAAATTACCTAAGTATTTCTAAATTACCTAAATAATCCAATGTTAAAAATAATCTGAGATTGCATTTGAGTCTAGTCTCTTAGCTAACAGAATAAATCTAGACTGGGGGATTCCCTGTATTATGTCATGTGACAAGGAGCCTGAGGGTGGAGCAGTTCTGGGGTTAGGTAGTGACTCAGTTGCTCAATGATGACATCAAGGACCTACCTAAATATTTTCCACTTTTTTCTTGCTGTCATGCTTAGTACACTGGTGATAGCTCCCTCTTATGATCACAAAAGAGCTGCACAATGTCAGGTTTTACATGCTAATACAAAGAAGGGTATTCTAGAAAAAAACACCTTTCCTAGAAGTATCTTAGCAGGCTTCTTATCAGGTGCTGGCGGCTGGAGTTTGGTCATCCAGCCATGCCTTAGCTGCAAGAGAGTGAGACAGCAAGTGTCTGGCATTTTCAGCATCAAAAACGAGGGGAAGTGGTGTTGGGGAAAGAGTGTCTGCAGGTGGGGGTGTGTGCTATTGACTTGGGAAGTAATCAAACCTATTAAGTTCAGCACTTTTTGGAGTTCTGTTGCTGGTTCTTTGAGGTAAGCATTGTTTGAAGGTTCTTATTTAGATTGAACGTGGAGGAGATGTGATAGTGGACTATGTAGTATCGTTATTAATACCTGTTTATCTTTTTCTCTCTTTTTTTTTCTTTGAGATGGAGTCTCACTCTGTTTCCAGGCTAGAGTGCAGTGGCGCAACCTTGGCTCGCTTCAACCTTTGCCTCCCGGGTTCAAGCGATTCTCCTGCCTCAGCCTCCCCGGTAGCTGGGACTACAGGCACCCGCCACCATGCCCAGCTAACTTTTGTATTTTTAGTAGAGATGGGGTTTCACCATTTTGGCCAGGATGGTCTCCATCTCTTGATCTTGTGATCCGCCCACCTCAGCCTTCCAAAGTGCTGGGATTACAGGTGTGAGCCACCACGCCCGGCCTGTTTATCTTTTTCTAAGTAGTATCACCATTTAGTAGACAGGAGACATTTGCCAAATTAACCAGTGTTGGATATATTTGTTTTTATTTGTGAGTGAAAATACTAAAACAGATCTAGGATTGATAGTGATAATAGAAGTGCCATGTGTTTATATAGGTTACCGGGCATTTTTATGTGTGTTATGAAGTTTGAATCCTACCAACCACCTTGTAAGTAGAGGAGACAGCTTTTATTAACACTGTTTTACAAATGAGAAAACTGAGACCAACAGAGTGAATGACTAGTCTAAGGTCCAGAGTCAGGACCAGAAACAAAGTCTTTTTTGTTCATTCTCTTTATTTACACTCTCATTGAGGATCTTATTTGGCTCCTTCTGATAGGAGAAGCTTTAGATAACCTTAATTATTTTTATTTTTATTTTATTTTTTTTTTTGAGATGAAGTTTCACTCTTGTTGCCCAGGTTGGAGTGCAATGGTGTGATCTCGGCTCACCGTAACCTCCGCCCCCTGGGTTCAAGAAGTTCTCCTGCCTCAGCCTCCCAAGTAGCTGGGATCACAGGCATGTGCCACCACACCCAGCTAATTTTGTAGTTTTAGTAGAGATGGGGTTTCTCCATGTTGGTCAGGCTGGTCTCGAACTGTCGACCTCAGGTGATCTGCCTGCTTCGGCCTCCCAAAGTGTTGGGATTACAGGCGTGAGCCACCGTGCCCAGCCACCTTAATTAATTACAATATATAGCTTGCCTCAGGTAAGAAAAAAAAAATCTCACTTTTTCAACATTTCATAAGCAGCATGGACTGTACTAAGAGCTGAAGGAGCTTACAGCGCCTAGGATATGGATGAGGATGGTCACCTGCTAGAGATGGCAGCACATACCTGCCTGGTAGGGTGAGAAGTTTCAGCTGATGATGTTTGAGCATGAATCTTGAAAGACAGAGGGTGTTCTGCAAGCAGAGAGGAGGCAGGAGCAAAGACAAGGGCGTGGGGTCGAGGCGGTGGGTGGGGAGGCTAATGCAGGAGAGAGACAGGGGAGGGGCAGGCCAACAGGCCAGGCAGATTTTGGAGAGTGGTGCTTGCCAAGTCTGATCTCTATCCTGGCAGCATTTGGACTTTTGCAGGGTCCAGTAGAGTCACAAGGTTGTATTTACCTTTTAGGGAGATGACTTTGGCAGCTGTGTGGACTGGGAGCAGGAACTCAGGGATGAATGCAGTAGCCCACTATGATGTGGAATGAGGACATGCACTGTGGCGTGGGATGAAGAGGGACCGGGGAGACTTGTCTAGGAGGCACCAGCTGTAGGTCACGTGAGTCTTGGTTTCTGACCTAGCTGATGGTAGTGCCACTTGTTGAGATGGGGACTGAGCAAAGAGGAGTGAATGTGGTAAGCACAATTTATTTCAGACATATGTTTGAGGTGCGTTTGGAACATCCAGGTGGGGATGTGTAAAGGCAGATGGATAGAATAGCTGAGATTAGTTGTCTATTGCTGCATGACAGCATTATCACTCAGTGGCTGAAACAGTACAGATTCGGTATTTCAATGTCTGTGGGTCAAGAGTCAGGCCAGACTGGGAAAGACTCCACTTCGGAGCTCACCTGGTTGTTGGCAGCACTCGTGTTCCTGCCACGAGACCCTCCCTTGTGTCCTCACAGCATGGCAGCTGCTTCTGCAAGGCCTGAAAGCAGGAGAGTCTTCTCATGAGGCAGGCGTCACAGGCTTGTGTGTTGTAGTCACACGGGTGTTGTCCCACCACCTTGCCATGTTCCGTCCCCTGGGTAGAAAACAAGCCACGGGCCCCACTCACACTCATGGGGAGGAGCCTCCACAAGGGCGGGACCACCAGGAGGTGCGGGTCATGGGGGCACTTAGAATCTCTCTGCCACAGTACGGGTGTTCCTCCCACTTTACGGAGAACTTGCTGAAGGTCGTTACAGCCTGGATTCAAACACGTTCTGGCTGCAGCATGTGTGCTCTTAGCTCCACCTGTCCTATTTCTGGCCTTTGGTAGAAGGCCAGAATCTATCCCCTGAATTGCAGGGGATAGATTTAGGAATTATTGGTTTATAGGTACTGAAACCATGGGTGTAGAAACCATGCATATTCTGGCCGGGCGCAGTGGCTCACGCCTGAATCCCAGCACTTTGGGAGGCCGAGGTGGGCAGATCACGAGGTCAGAAGATCGAGACCATCCTGGCTAACATGGTGAAACCCTGTCTCTACTAAAAAATACAAAAAAAACAAAAAACATTGGCCGGGCGTGGTGGCAGGCCCCTGTAGTCCCAGCTACTCCGGAGGCTGAGGCAGGAGAATGGCATGAACCTGGGAGGCGGAGCTTGCAGTGAGCCGAGATCACACCACTGCACTCCAGCCTGGGCGACAGAGCCAGACTCTGTCTCAAAAAAAAAAAAAAAGCATATTCTGATTGTGTAGGCCCCAGGAGGGGGCTGAGATTCTGGATTTCCCAGAAGCTCCCAGGCTGCTGCAGACCACACAGTAGAAGCAAGGATGTGGATGAGATTGCTTAGGGTGATTGGATGGGTGAGAAAGATCAAGGAGAGAACCTTGAGGTGTGTACCAGCTTGGTAGAGATTTTAGGAAGAATGTTGGGATGAAAAGAAGGTCAAGTGAAGAATGCTGTAGAAAGGTGGGATGGGGAGATGTCTCCACCCAGTCTCCTACATGCAGGGGGTTAGGTGCTGCCGTTCTGTCCAGGATATTCAATCTTAGAAGAACCTAGTAGAAAACTCTGATCTACCACTGCCTTCATTATCCTCTTATTCTGTATTTATAGATAAAGAAATAGAATTGCAAGGATGAAATAGCCTTTGCATAGTTTCCTTTTATTATCACTTAACTCAATTCCTGCTGGGCGCAGTGGCTCACACCTGTAATCCTAGCACTTTGGGAGGCAGAGGCGGGTGGATCACCTGAGGTCAGGAGTTCAAGACCAGCCTGACCAACATGGTGAAACCCTGTCTCTACTAAAAATACAAAATTAGCCAGGCGTAGTGGTGCACGCTTGTAATCCCAGCTACTCAGGAGGCTGAAGCACGAGAATCACTTGAACTCAGGAGGCGGAGGTTTCAGTGAGCCAAGATTGCGCCATTGCACTCCAGCACAAGAGTGAAACTGTCTCAAAAAAACCTCAATTCCTGTTACCAGCTTTACTTTTTTATTTACATTCAAATACTTAGGCAATGTGTTACTCTTTTCCTAAGAAAGATGTTAGTGGCTAATAAATCAAGCCCTTTTTTATTTTTTATTTTTGCAGTTGAGTCTTACTGTGTTGCCCAGGCTGGAGTGCAGTGGCGTAATCTCAGCTCACTGCAACCTCCGCCTCCTGGGCTCAAGCCATCCTCCCACCTCAGCCTCCTGAGTAGCTGGGACAATGGGTGTGCACCACCATGCCCAGCTATTTCTGTATTTTTTGTAAAGATGGGGTCTTGCTGTGTTGCGCAGGCTGGTCTTGAACTACTGGGTTCAAGCAATTCTCCCACCTCAGCCTCTCAAAATGCTGGGATTACAGGTGTGAGCCACTGTGGCCAGCCAAGACCTTATTGTAATTAAATTTTTATTAAAGCGTTTCGAGCTAAATGTACATTATTAAAGGAGGAAACGTGGGAGGTTGTATTAATTTCCTAGGGCTGCCATAACAAATTACCACAAATCAGGTGGCTTAACACAGAAATGTATTCACTCACAGTTCTGGAGGTCGGAAGTCTGAAATCAAGGTGTTGGGGCTGTGCTTCCTCTAGAATCCTTCCTGGTCTAGTCCAGCTCCTGCTGGCTCCGGGAGTTCTTTGGCTTGTGGCAGCATAACTCCAATCTCTGCCTCTGTGTTCACATGGCTGCCTCCTCTCTGTCTCTGCGTTTCTTCTCTTCTTTTTAAAGAATACTTACTGCACGTTGGATTTAGGACCCACCCTAAATCTCGGATGTCATTCTGAGGTCCTTAATTACATTTTCAAAGACGCTATTTTTGAATAAGGTCACATTCACAGGGTCTGGGGGTCAGGACTTGGACATATTCTTTTGGGGGCTGCTGTTGAGCCCACTACAGAGGTGAGCACTACATGATTGTGAGCAGTGTGAAAAAAAGGTGAGATGCAGTGATGTGTGGATTTTTGCACATTTTATTTCTAAAATGTTAATGTCAATTGTTTTTCCATTAGGAAATATGCAAAAGCTGAAACTCTTATGACAGTCACTGATCCTGTTCATGATATTGCATTCGCTCCAAATTTGGGAAGATCTTTCCATATTCTAGCAATAGCGACCAAAGATGTGAGAATTTTTACATTAAAGCCTGTGAGGTGAGTTTTAGAAGCATTTATGAATTTGAAAATACTCTTGCCTTCTGATTACCTTTGTTTGTGGAGGAGAGAGTAGAGGTAACTATGATTTGGTTTATATTTCTGCTCTGGAAGTTTTACTTAAAAATGTAAACTTTGAAATGTTTTTTAAAAATGGTCTTTTACAGTTACTTTTTTTTCTTTCTTTTTTTTTTTATTGATCATTCTTGGGTGTTTCTCCCAGAGGGGGATTTGGCAGGGTCATAGGACAATAGTGGAGGGAAGGTCAGCAGATAAACAAGTGAACAAAGGTCTCTGGTTTTCCTAGGCAGAGGACCCTGCGGCCTTCTGCAGTGTTTGTGTCCCTGGGTACTTGAGATTAGGGAGTGGCGATGACTCTTAACGAGCATGCTGCCTTCAAGCATCTGTTTAACAAAGCACATCTTGCACCACCCTTAATCCATTCAACCCTGAGTGGACACAGCACATGTTTCAGAGAGCACAGGGTTGGGGGTAAGGTCACAGATCAACAGGATCCCAAGGCAGAAGAATTTTTCTTAGTATAGAACAAAATGAAAAGTCTCCCATGTCTACTTCTTTCTACACAGACACGGCAACCATCCGATTTCTCAATCTTTTCCCCACCTTTCCCCGCTTTCTATTCCACAAAACCACCATTGTCATCATGGCCTGTTCTCAATGAGCTGTTGAGTACACCTCCCAGACGGGGTGGTGGCTGGGCAGAGGGGCTCCTCACTTCCCAGTAGGGGCGGCCGGGCAGAGGCGCCCCTCACCTCCCGGACGGGGTGGCTGGCTGGGCGGGGGGCTGACCCCCCCACCTCCCTCCCGGACGGGGCGGCTGGCCGGGCGGGGGGCTGACCCCCCCACCTCCCTCCCGGACGGGGCGGCTGTCCGGGCAGAGGGGCTCCTCACTTCCCAGTAGGGGCGGCCGGGCAGAGGCACCCCTCACCTCCCGAATGGGGCGGCTGGCCGGGCGGGGGGCTGACCCCCCCACCTCCTTCGCGGACGGGGCGGCTGGCCGGGCAGAGGGGCTCCTCACTTCCCAGTAGGGGCGGCCGGGCAGAGGTGCCCCTCACCTCCCGGACGGGGCGGCTGGCCGGGCGCGGGGCTGACCCCCCCACCTCCCTCCCGGACGGGCGGCTGACCCCCCCACCTCCCTCCTGGACGGGGCGGCTGGCCGGGCGGGGGGCTGACCCCCCCCCACCTCCCTCCCGGACAGGGCGGCTGTCCGGGCAGAGGGGCTCCTCACTTCCCAGTAGGGGCGGCCGGGCAGAGGCACCCCTCACCTCCCGGATGGGGCGGCTGGCCGGGCGGGGGGCTGACCCCCCCACCTCCCTCCCGGACGGGGCGGCTGGCCCCCCCACCTCCCTCCCGGTCGGGGCGGCTGGCCGGGCAGAGGGGCTCCTCACTTCCCAGTAGGGGCGGCCGGGCAGAGGCGCCCCTCACCTCCCGGACAGGGCGGCTGGCAGGGCGGGGGGCTGACCCCCCCACCTCCCTCCCGGACGGGGCGGCTGGCCGGGCGGGGGGCTGACCCCCCAACCTCCCTCCCGGACGGGGCGGCTGGCCGGGCGGGGGGCTGATCCCCCAACCTCCCTCCCGGACGGGGCGGCTGGCCGGGCGGGGGGCTGACCCCCCCACCTCCCTCCCGGACGGGGCGGCTGGCCGGGCGGGGGGCTGACCCCCCCACCTCCCTCCCGGACGGGGCAGCTGGCCGGGCAGAGGGGCTCCTCTCTTCCCAGTAGGGGCGGCCGGGCAGAGGCGCCCCTCACCTCCCAGACAGGGTGGCTGGCAGGGCGGGGGGCTGACACCCCCCACTTCCCTCCCGGACGGGGCGGCTGGCCGGGCAGAGGGGCTCCTCACTTCCCAGTAGGGGCGGCCGGGCAGAGGCGCCCCTCACCTCCCGGACGGGGCGGCTGGCCGGGCGGGGGGCTGACCCCCCCACTTCCCTTCCGGACGGGGCGGCTGGCCGGGCGGGGGGCTGACCCCCCCCACCTCCCTTCCGGACGGGGCGGCTGGCCGGGCGGGGGGCTGACCCCCACCTCCCTCCCGGACGGGGTGGCTGCCGGGCGGAGATGCTCCTCACTTCCCAGACGGGGTGGCTGCCGGGCGGAGGGGCTCCTCACTTCTCAGACGGTGTGGCTGCCGGGCGGAGGGGCTTCTCACTTCTCAGACGGGGCGGTTGCCAGGCAGAGGGTCTCCTCACTTCTCAGACAGGGCGGCCGGGCAGAGATGCTCCCCACATCTCAGATGATGGGCGGCCGGGCAGAGACGCTCCTCACTTCCTAGATGGGATGGCGGCCGGGCAGAGACGCTCCTCACTTTCCAGACTGGGCAGCCAGGCAGAGAGGCTCCTCACATCCCAGACGATGGGTGGCCAGGCAGAGACGCTCCTCACTTCCCAGACGGGGTGGCGGCCGGGCAGAGGCTGCAATCTCGGCACTTTGGGGGGCCAAGGCAGGCAGCTGGGAGGTGGAGGTTGTAGCGAGCCGAGATCACGCCACTGCACTCCAGCCTGGGCACCATTGAGCACTGAGTGAATGCAACTCCGTCTGCCATCCCGGCACCTCGGGAGGCCGAGGCTGGCGGATCACTCGCGGTTAGGAGCTGGAGACCAGCCCGGCCAACACCTACAGTTACTTTTAAATTAATGTCATTTTTGAAGAATGGATTATTTAATGAACATTTTATATATAAATATATGTCTTTTTGGAAAGGGGAATTGAGTCAAGAGCAGATTTATATTCTCTTAACTGTGCTTTATTTAGGCTGAAACTAACAATTCTCCAAATATAACTGATAATCTATAAATATTTAATGACAAGTGGCAGTCTATTTAGGGAAAACTAAATTAGTATTGAGACAGTCTTGTGAATAACATATTTAACTTTAATTTTGAATTGTGAATTTCAGTTCTTTTCTTTCCATTCTTTCATTCTTTCCTACTTGCTGCCCTGCCCATTTTTTTTTTTTTTTTTTTTTTTTTTTGAGGCAAGGTCTCACTCCGTTGCCCAGGCTGGAGGGCAGTGGCTTGATCTTGGCTCACTGCAACCTCCACCTCCCAGGTTCAAGCAATTCTCATGCCTCAGCCTCCTGAGTAGCTGGGACTACAGGCGCCCGCCACCATGCCTGGCTAATTTTTTATTTTGTATTTTTAGTAGGGATGGGGTTTCGCCATGTTGGCCAGGCTGGTCTTGAACTCCTGGCCTCAAGTGATCTGTCCACCTTGGCCTCCCAAAGTGCTGCGATTACAGGTGTGAGCAACTGCACCTGGCCTTGCCCTGCCTTTTTAAATTAATTATTGTCATCTATTTTATTCTTCTGCCTTGTGTGGGAGAATAAAATCATCCTGTTTTGTTGTTTCTTTCTTCCATGAAACAGTCACTGAGTATCATTTATGTGCTGGGATCACTCCAGGTCTTGGCGAGTTAAATGAAAATGACATTGGCCCAGCTCAAGGGCCAAGGTGTGGGGTTTGGGCAGATGTGCACATTATTATAAAGTGATGTGGTGGCGAGACCACTTGTATTAATTTAGAATTTTACGTGTGTATATATATATGTGTGTGTATATATATATGTTTTAAAACTTTGTTTGGAATGCCTCAGAAAATGTTTTTTATTAACAGGAAAGAACTGACTTCCTCTGGTGGGCCAACAAAGTTTGAAATCCATATAGTGGCTCAGTTCGATAATCATAATTCTCAGGTCTGGCGAGTGAGTTGGAATATAACAGGAACGGTGCTAGCATCTTCAGGAGATGATGGGTGTGTAAGATTGTGGAAAGGTAAGAGTTCAGTGAAGGGGTAATTGTTGGTTTATATTTCTGCTCTGCAATTTTTACTTAAAATGTAAACTCTGAAATATTTTTTGAAAATGGTCTTTTACAGTTACTTTTAATGTCATATTAATTTATGTTATTTTGAACATCAGTTTACCTAGTTCATAGAAGTTAATGACTGAATTGTTTTTTAAGTTATGTGGAACAGAGCAGTTTTCAAAACTAAAGTAATTACAACAGAATATGCAATATCTCCAATAAAAAGATACCAGTTGTCATATATGTACCTTACATGACTGCTCTACAAACTCAGGCTAGGACTGTAGTGGCTCCTTTTTTATCAAATAAATTGCTTTAGACAATCCATCCTTAATAGGAGAAAATCCAGTATCTTCCCTGCTTCTTCTCTGCAGCTCCCATAAGTTAAGAGCCTTGGGGGCCCTGATTGTAAGTTTCTTCTAAGTGCCAGGCTGAGTGAGAAGGTCTGGTCAGTTGACACTGACTGTGGTCTCTGTAGCTTGGTTCTGCACTTCTCCTTGGATGATTATCCATTAGGCAGAGATGTCTGTGATTTGTGCACCACCATAGAATGGTGTCCCATACTTAGCATTCAGAATTATAGCTATCTTTGTTTATTTGCCATTTAGCAGTTATTGTTTCCCAAAGTGCAGTTTGGGTAAGCTTGAGGGCCTCCCATGTTCAATTTTGGGCTTTGGTAAAACCAGCCCAGACCTTCCTTTCCTCAGTGTAATTTGATTTTAGGGGCTTTGCTGTCCTTTTCTGCCTTTAGGCTTTATTCAGGACCACCTTGCCATGCTCCCCAGCAGGGTGCCTAACTTGATTTTCTTGGGCTCATTGTCTTCAGAGACCAATTTTTCATTCAAACTAATAAGGCCATTTTGGATAAGCCACTGAAGCTCCAAAGGTTTTGTTACCTACATCCATTTCAGAAGACATGATAGGTACCCTTATAACTTATACTTGCATAATTAAGAAGACAACTTCATTACCTTACATACATATGTAAGTGAAATTCATTATAATGAAGACTTTAATATTATAATGAAGATTTTAATATTAACTTCATAATGTGGTAGCTCAGAGAATTGTCTTTGCTAGTATCTGTAAGATGGGTGGTGAAAGCTTTATATTTTTAAAATTAGTGATACTTTGAAAACTTCTAAAAAGTTGTTAAAACTGAGATAATATGTCTTTCATTTAAAAAGTGTCTTTAATGTTTATCCTGAAAGAAATGTAGCTCATAGCCTCTGTCTCGTTTCTTTAATTGTAGTTTAAGGACATGGGTACAGATTTGTGCCCTTAGGCATTGGTATTAATCATGTTAATGTATTTGATTATTTTCCTTTCAGCTAATTATATGGACAATTGGAAGTGTACTGGTATTTTGAAAGGTAATGGGAGCCCAGTCAATGGGAGTTCTCAGCAGGGAACCTCAAATCCTTCCCTAGGTTCAACTATTCCAAGTCTTCAGAATTCATTAAATGGATCTTCTGCTGGCAGGTAGGCTGCTTCATGGGAAAACTGGAAATCATCTTTGTTTTAAATCATTCTGGTAGCCATACTTAAGGTGGATTATTTCATGGATTATAAGATGGAGTGGAAATGTTCACATGTGCTTGTATTAGCATTTAAGAATTCATTTTGTTAGCTATGTATTTGGCTTACTTGGTCATAATATTTGCAGGTAGGTTATGAAGTCATTACATTATATTCTGAAGCTTTAGTGGTCTATTGGTAGAAATGTTTACAGGTTTAAGATTCAACTTTGCTTCCGCAACAGTGAGAGGAAGGTTATCTGGTTTAATGGTGAGAGTTTTAGTCCAAATGAACATTAGTGTTTTTTAGTGCTTGTAGTGTGGTCTTTGCATTAGGTCAAACTGAAATTTTAAATAAAATACATTTCTTAAGGCTTTCTAGAAGAGGGTACATTAAGTTATTTGGCTTTTGTGTTTAAAACTTTAATAGAAATAAGAGGAAATAATAAAACACGAGATTGATTTTTAGAATATTTAGCATATGTTACATTCTTGTATATCATAATAAGGAATATTTGATGTCATCTAGAGTCTGTTTCCATGTTCAAATTTTAAATATGTGAATTTGTAAGATAAAATTATTTTAATATGCCTTTGTGAATAATTTGGAATAGAATTCAGGAAACGTCAAAACACAGCCTAATGAATTGTCCTGTGGTTATATCCTCTTGTTATCCTATATAAAAGAAGAAAATTGTATTTAAAATTTCAACTATTTTTATATTGTTATGTTTTCATAAAGAAGTTCTGCTTTTGATTTTGAGGTTTTAAGTACATGCATCAAAACAATTTCAGGTTACCGTGGAAGATACCAGATTATAAAGATTATTTCATGAAACAAATAATATTAGAGTTGATTTTTTAAAGTCTGGTTTTTGGTCACTGCCTGTACTGCATATTTTCTTTTGTAAATAGCTTCTATTTTTTGATCTGTATTCTTATTGTGCCAATAACCATCTGTGTTAGATCTGTGATGCATTTTCCCTTTTCCATTTGTATTATGTCCTTTAACAGAAAGCACAGCTGAGTACAAGCTAACTGGAGTAACTTTGCTGTTTTGCTGCTTGTTGCATGCACACAGGAATGGAAAGCGAGCTCCTTTTCCCCTTCCCCAGCGCCGTTTGACCTCTCCCAAGATACACCAGCAGCCTGCTTACTACTAAACGCAATCCAAAAGGCCTTTAAAAATACAGTGTATATTTTTTGTACTAGTCAGTTTATTGACACTATTTGAAACTTTTGAAATATAAACGGAGAGGCTTTCTGTTGAGACATTGTCACCAAAACAATTTTTTGAAATGTTCCTGAAACTAATTTGGGTTTAAAGATTAAAAGGGTTGTTACCATTCTTATCTGAGTAGTTGGGAGGAGGGGAATACCACTTTAGTTCATTTGGAAAATATAGACATATTTCTTTTGCTTTCTTAAAACAGCTTAAAATGATGAACTTTTATAATTTTAATTTGAAGATTGAATAAATATTTTTTATAAAGATTGTTTTGAGTGCTGATTTGTTTACTTTTTGTAGATTTGCTTTATCCATGATATTCAGTACAACTCTGTCATTTCTTTGTAATATTTAAAAAATATTAGTAAAGGAGTGAATTAATAAAGTAGTAATAGTAAAATGAAAGGAACTTGACTGTACAGTTTGTAGCCAGGTTAAGCATTTGGTATTGTTTCATTTACAATTTGGGACTAAGATGGAAACACTTTTTTTATAAGTTTTTAATTCATAGTCACTAAAGAGATAAATGTTTCTTATATACATTTGTGTATTTTTATGGTGTTATTTATTCCATGGCTTAGCTTCCTTCAAATCAAAATTTGGACACACACTATTAAGAGAAGCCATTAAAATTTTACTAAAATTGTGCATGTAAATTAATTGTCAGCATTCCATGTCTCAAGATTTTCTTAATTTAGTTCGCTGTTTAAATTAATTCATGTCCTGTAAAGTTCTGACCTTGATAACAAAGCTATAAATATTTAAGTTTGCTAATATGCGTAAGTATTATCGGTAAGTTACAAGATGGAAGAAGAATAACAGTAGGGCACAGTCATTCTGTGAATCCTTTTACTTATCAAAATTTGGTAGCTATTCTAAGGCTTTTGCAGAAAAATAAGTGTTCAATGTTTGTAGTTCTTCAAAAGCATGTTGCAGTAGCCAGCCATACTATGTGTATTCCCAGTATCATGTACGCACTAAAAAAAATGTGTGCTTGCTGCTGCTGTGAGTGAACCATTGCTTAAGATAAAAAACTTAACTAGATCTGTAAATGTACAGAATAGCATCAGATGTTTCTGAGAGATTAGAAAATGTTTTGAATTTATAAAATTAATGTTTTTCTTTGTAACATTTATATATATTTTTTAACATTTTAAGTTTAACAGATTGTATTCCTTTCAAGTTTCTATACTTGCTTAAGCAATCTTGATTTGAGTAAGGGTCTTGATTTGTGCTATTATGTTCTGTTAGTTTTGGCATGAATATACTAAAGCTTTTTTTTTTTTTTCTAGCATGTGTTTTCTCCTCTTTGGTTCTCTTTGTATTTACTACTTTTCTCTTTTTCTTGTGTTTTTTTTTTCCTGTTTTTGTTTTGTTTGGTGTTTTGTTCCTGTCTTCATTGTTTCAGGTATTTCTTTACCCCTCTGGATTCCC
This sequence comes from Homo sapiens, assembly GCF_000001405.40. Classification (NCBI taxonomy): domain Eukaryota; kingdom Metazoa; phylum Chordata; class Mammalia; order Primates; family Hominidae; genus Homo; species Homo sapiens. Next base: position 12,986,888 of record NC_000018.10, read on the forward strand.
CACGGGCTGGATCGAGATGGTCCAGTTATGCCCAGCTCCTTCCTCCTCCTCCTCCTCCTCTGGTAGAGCACTCTTGCGATGCTGACACTGCCAACCTCCAGTATCCTCACCCTCGCAGACGATATCTCTCTCGGCCTCTTAATCCCTTACCTGAGAATGAAGGGATTTAAAACACTGATTTAACATTGAAAGGCCTTATTCAAGTGCTTGTAAATGCTTTCATTTCTGGCTGCTTTTTGTTTTTCATTTTCTTTCAGAAGATTTTTCTAACTTAGGGTCTGTCTTGCATGTATTACAACCAGAATACAGTGTTTGGAACCTAAATCTGTTTGTGCGTCTGCATCAAAGGAACATTTGCTTCACTGGGTGATAACCTTTGATGAAATGAGATATGTCCAAGTAACGTTAACTGTGAAGTTACACACAGTAGCTGACTTCAAAGTGCCTGTTCTGTAAATTTTATTTTAAACTGTTACCATAGTCTTAAGTTGTTTATGCTTTATCAGACTGGCTAATGTGAAAGCATAATATTATGAAGTTTATTCTGCCTTATGAGACCTTAAAAAATGGATTTCATTTTACAGGCTAATGTTGTAACTGACTAGTATGTAAAATAAATCATTCCTGTGTATAAAGCAGCAAAACCTAATGTGGACTTTTTGGTCTTTTTTTTTTTTTTTTTTTTTTAAAGGAAATTGCCTTTCACTACTTGGAATTACTGTTTAAAGCTTTTGTAATTATTATCCAAGTAGGTTATGTAATAAAATATATTTAAAAATATACGAATCTCTTGCCTTATAAAAACAGAATGTATTTTATTTAAGATAATTGCCAAGGCTTACTCTTCTTTCACTATCTCACAAAAAACCCAAACAAAAATTAGGAGATGTGAGCAAATATTACATTTATTTAAAAGGTAGAAAGTCAGTATGTAGACTACTAACATTTAGAATGGACAGATGTTGACTTTCAGTCTAATTAGTCAACATTAGAATATTTTCTAGAATATTTTAAAATGAGAATGTACTTGATTATAATTGTGGTAAAATGATTAAAACTAGTAATATGCTTGTTGGTTCAGTTTTGTCAGGAATTGTCAAGGGTTTAACCTCTTATCAGGGCTAGAGAGAGAGGTGTTTTGAACAGTATTTCATGTAACAGATTACATGAAATATCAGGTAATCACATAGGTGACATAGTTATTATAACTATTCTAATTTTCAAAGACGCCTTTCCTTGAATAGTGTCATAGCTCTAGTACTTCTTAATATGCAAAGGATTAAGAGCTGATAGAAAGATTCTGTTCATTTTATTTTATTTTTTATTTTTTAAGACAGTGTCTCACCCTGTTGCCCAGGCTAGAGTGTAGTGGCATGATCATGGCTCACTGCAGCCTTGAACTTCCGGGCTCAAGCGATCCCCCCACCTCAGTCTCTTGAGTAGCTGGGACTGCTGGTGCACGCCACCATGCCCTGGCTATTTTTTTAAAATTTTTTTTTAGTGAGGGGTCTCACTTTTTGCCCAGGCTGGTCTCAAACTCCTAGGCTCAATCCATCATCCCACCTTGGCCTCCCAAAGTGCTGGGATTACAGGCATGAGTCACCTCACCTAGCCTATTCATTTTAGTTTAAGGAACATTTGAGTTTTATTGTCTAATAATCAAAGTGTTTTGTCTCTAAAGTTAGCATTTCAATGTAAATATCTTTTTCAAATAATTCTCAAAGGTCTTCCTCTGGTTAAATGACTTGCTAGGCTTGTAGCCTTATGGAGGATCAAACAAGAAGTCTTAATGCTGAATCTAACCCAGAATTAAGAAGCCATGTCTTTGAGCTTTCAGACATAGAGGTACCTTGGGTAAGAATGGAATAATGAAATTGAGACCATTCTCCAGTTTAATTTAGTGAATCCTGAGCATCTACCATGTGCAAGATACTGTGCCAAACACTGGGGTATGTAGAAAAATAGGTAGTCTGCACACAAACTTACACTCGTGGGAGAAGGCATTTTTAGAATTTACAAAAGGTAATGGGTTCAGCTTTGTAATAATGGTAGAAATTGTATAGTAGGCATAAAAGAGACAAGTTATTTGAGCTGGCAGAATTTGGAAGGGATGTCTGATTTCAATAGGTAAAAGAGGGCCGGGGTGTGTTTACGGAATAGGATATAAGTAACAGTCTGATGAAAGAGTAGGGTTCATTTAGGGAACTACTGGGACATTAACCTGAAATCATACCTTGTGGTTACATTGTAGAAGGTTTTGAGTATTGGCTGAGGCATACCACTTTAAGCAGTTGGTAAAAGGGGAGCTGAGAGATGTCTGAACTTAAAACTGGATAGGCCTCACTTCTAATTCCCTGGGAGGCACCCTGGTCATGGGGCCTCTGCAGGCTCTACTCAGTGTCTAAAGAGATTTGGAAATCACAGTGGGAGTTCTGTTCCTCCTTTCCAGTTGGCAAGTGAGGTGAGATACTGAGGTATAAGATAATAGCTAATGTTTGTTGAGTATTTCCATGGGCCATTATTTTTCTAGATACCTTACAGAAGTAGCTTTAAATCCTCACAGTAAGCCTCTGAGGCAAGCGCTTTAATTATCCCCACTTTACAGACAAGGAAACCGGCTGGTTAAAGCTACTTGCCCAAGGCTACACAGTTTGGAAGAGGGAGGTAGAGCCAGGATTCAGATCCAGGCAGCCTGGCGTCAGAGTCCAGGCTCTCCTGCTGCCGAGACTCTGAATCAGAGATCTCTGTTAATAGAGTCCTATCAGGTTACTGAGTGTTGTGGGGAGTGCTGTGGTGACTTGAGGATATTTATGGAGGAAGGACATTTATTAACAAGGATCTGGTGTGAGTGACAGTCCGGAACCTGTAGACACATTTAAGCAGTTCACCTCCAATGTGTGACCGCTTTGTAGAAAAAGAGGTTAAGAGAGGTCAGCTCTAGGGCTGAGCATTTGGCTTACTTTTTTGGGATTCAGAAAATCTTGAGATTTTCTGCATTTATCTTTGCTCACTGAGTGTGGACAAAGGTAGAATAAAGGTAATTACTCTTTGCAAATACCAAGGCTGCAGGGTTCCAAGAAGAGGTGTCGAACTGTGGAGATATCACTGAGTTTGACAATTAGGAGTCTATTCCTGATAAAGTTTTAAGGACCCAGCTAGACACCATGAAATGCGTCAAAATAAGGTGTAAAAAGTGGAAGCCTGGCTTCCTCTATGGAAAAAAAAGTGGAGACCATTAAGGGAAGGAAACAAGAATGGTCATTAGGTGATGAAACAGAATCAAGGAAGGGGTGTGTGTGGGTGTGTGGTTTGAGTGGTGTTTGTGTGTGGAGGGTGTGTGTGGTGTGTGGGTGATGTGTATGTGGGTGTGTGTTGTGTATGGATGTGTGTATACGTGTCACACACGTGTGTGTGGTGCATATGTGGGTGTGTGTGGTTTGTGGTGTGAGTGGTGTGTGTGGTGTATGGGTGTGTGGTGTGTGTGTTTGGGTAGAGAGGTGCTGCATTTTTGTAGGCAGAGAGAAGGAAACCAGTGGAGAGGATATCCAAGAATGACAGGTGAGCCATGTTTGCAGGAGGTAGAAAGTGGTCAAGTAAACAGACGTCTTTCCCCACCAAGTAACCTCAGGTCTAGGGACTTCTAAACTTTGCGTTTTCCCTCTTCTTTCCTCCAAGGTGCGCCGGACATCTTTCAGTAACTTGAACGAAGTTAAGGAGTTAGCTTTGGAAAAGAGGGACTCTTTTCCCTCTGTGACTATATGGAATAAATTTTGAGATAAGGGACCTTACTGAAAAAGACTGAGATACATTTTGAGTGAAAGGCATGGTCTCAGTGAAGTAGTTAAGGGCCTGTGCCGAGCAGATGGCGGTGATGGGTTTTGTGGCCTAAGAAGGATGGAGAAAAGTAGGAAGCAATCGAGACAAAGCCTACTCTGTCACAAAGAGGCGACTAGATGTGGCGAAATGTCATGAAACTTGGATCCCGAGGAATTAGCTGATTGAAGGTGAAACCTGACGCCTTTCAGCGCCTACCAACAGGAAAGGTCTGCATCTGCCCACGGAAGGACGAAACCTATCGGGGGGGATTTGTTGGCGGGGGATACTTCTTTGCGCATAGAGTGACTGGCGGTGCCCTGGAGACCCAAACTGAATAAAGTAAGCATTATTTTCAAATTCGCCAAGACCTTGAAGGCGGCGCCAACGGGAGCCGTCCCCCGGGTCCCACGCAGCGCAGAGCTCCATTTCCTCCTCCGGACTCGCAGGGCGCGCGGCTTCCTCGCTTCAAATCCAGGAACGCGCTGTCCCCACCAATCACCGGGCTTCTTCCCGCCCCATGTCTTCCCGCTGTCCAATCAAAAGCCAGCTCAGTCTCCTCCCCTTGCCTGGTGCCGCGAACAGACGTAAACCAGAGGCGGGCGCGGTACGGCCGTTCCGGGCTCCAGCCGGTGCGGGGGCCACGCGCACGCGCACTTGCAGTGCCCTGGGACACCTCTTCAGTCCGTGGACTTTCCCGCTGCACACTGCCCTCCGAAGTCGGGGACGCGGGCTCGGTGAGGGGGGACGCTGGTGCCTCGGCCTGCGCCTAGGCGGGAGGCAGACGCATGCACCTTTGGCCTACGTTTCGGCTGCCGGACCGACGGGACAGTGACGGTTGGGCCGGGTGGGGGCGCAGGCTGTGGGGCGGCCTCAGGGCGCGAGCAAGGGGACTGCCGCGCTTCCCGCGCCTCTGCGCCTGGCGCAGCCTCTGAGCTGAGCTCCGCCTGGTTGGGATTAATTGCACGCCTCTGTGTCATCGGGCTTTGGCCGGGCGTGATGAGACAGACTGTTAGGGGATCACGTCCTTCTTTCCTCCCCTCTTGTCTGGGGACTTCCACCTCTTGAGGGACAGGCCCTCTCCGTGCTACCCTCTGGAGTTTCTTGCAGTGTGCTTGTGAAGTGACCGGTGATGTTTCCTTTATGTGCCCTGTGATGGGCGGTTCTGTTCCTCCTTTTTGTTTAAAATTCTGACCCAGGAAGTAACCTTGTTAACTTAACTTAATGCCCTTGTCTTCCGTTTACTCACTTGATTTGGTTTCTGCTAGGTTGCGTTCATTTATTCCTAATAGTTTACCTACATTCCTTGCCTATGATTTCATTATCAACAGAACGTGAAATGAGACGAATGTTAATACACTCTACTTTTACTTTGCTGTTACTTTCAGAGTTTGTTTAGTAAAACATGAGGACCTCTTCAAGTCAGTCGTTTGGAGAACAGCTGTTTATATGACCATATTTCCATTTGCTCTTACTATTTTGAGGTCATTCGACTGGCGTTTTTACTGCTCCAAAATCAACTTTTTCTCCAAATTTCAGTTTTCTAGGCAAAAACGGCAAGCCTTGAACAATAATATACCAAATGCCTACCTAGTTTTAAAGTATATCTTAAAGTGCCAAGAGTAAATGATGAGTTTTGGGGAAGTTTGACTCGGCTTTGGGTTCCACGGCGTGTGCTTTTAAATGTGTTTAATTGTATACATAGACCTACGATTAATGACTATAGTCAGTAATCTTTTATGTACCTAGGAATGTAATTAGTGAGTCCAGATGTGAAATTTGAGGTCACTACTTTAAGGAAATAGCAAGAGAAATTGCAAATATAGCCACTCAGTTCAAATAGGATAGAAGAAAAATATTGTCTTCACTTGAGATGATGGAGGAGGGGTGGGTAATGCAATAATGTGAGAAATTAAAGGAAATTTCCTTTAGGAATGTGTTATGTCCATGAATGGTTTACAAGTGTAATCTTTTCTGGAGAAGAGACTAGGTATTAGGTTACATCTTGAGGAATCTTCCCGTGGGTTTTGTTACCTTTGCACCCTTAGCAAAGCTCTGTTGAAGCACTTAACACTATCGTAGTTGACAGGGATTGTCAGCTCCCTGAGGGGAGCTGCCTTATTTATCTTTGCATTCTTGGTGCCAAGTAGAGGGTTCTTCATGGTTTGTGTTTGATAATGAATGTTGCATGAATGACCTTTGCATAATTTCTGAGTTTTCTTTGGATTAGGCCCTTCTAAATAGGGACAACTGTTGAAGAGTTTTCTATAAATTTTAATAGTTTACATGTCTGTATATGAATGAATAACTTAGTAATTACAAGGCTAGACTTGGGGAGGCTAGTTGGGAGACTCGTGTGATAGTTCAGAATAAAAAGTGATGGGCAACGGGCATTAGGAATATAGAAGTGGGTCTCAGCTCCAGAAGTGTATTTGACGTTAGAAGCATTAGAATTTGGTGAGAGAGCAGGAGGGATCAGGATGGTCCTAGGTGTCAGGCTTGTATTGCCAGTTAATAGGGATGGATTTGGGTGAAGACTAAAGATAACGGCGGGAATGAATGGAGGAAAGGTAACAAGTTTGGTTTTGTATTTTGTATTGCATTCGGGGGTAAGGTAGATGTCAGAGAGCCATTTGGAAGTATGGTCGTTCCCTCAGGTTATCCATGGGATTGGTTCCAGGACCTGCCCTTGCCCCAGGATGCCAGAATCCTCTGGATGCTCAAGTTCCTTACATAGATTGGTGTAGTATTTACATATAACTGATGCATATGCTCCTGTATATTTATTTAAGACAGGGTCTCACTTTGTTGCCTAGGCTGGATTGCAGTGGCTATTCACATGCATGGTCATAGCTCACTGCAGCCTCAAACTTTTGGGCTCATGCTGTCCTTCCACCGTGGCCTCCTGAGTAGCTGGGACTCCAAGGCATGCACCACCAGGAGGTGGAATTAGTGCAGAGGAAAGAATACCCTGGGGCCAGACTTGCCTAGGTGGGAATCCTCTGGCCTCATTTGTGCTATGTGGACTGGAAACGTCTCTTAATTCTCTCTTTCAGCCTCAGTTTCCTCAATAATAGGGATGATGGCTACCTTACAAATTTGACATGGGGATTAGAAAAATGTATGTGAAATAATTAGCACATTACCTAATAATAGACACAGTATCAGCAAACTAGGGGTTATAGATTCTTTCTTAAAACTCGTTTTTTCAATTTGTATTTCCAGTTCTCTGTCAGGTATTGGGAATATGTGGATGAACAAGATAGACATTTCCCCAAGAAGCTGCTCTTCTAAATTTATAGGGGTTAAAGTTAAAGTAGAGTTTACCCACTGACTGAGAATGTTGTCATTCATTCGTTTCACAGATACTTACTGAGTACCTGCTGTGTGCTAGGCATTGTTCTAAGTGTTAAGGAAATAGTGATGGACAGATAGGCAAGGCCCCTGCTCTTAGGGAGAAATTATTTCATTGGAAGAAGACAGATAAATACAAGAATAAATAGTGATAAATGCTGAAGAAATTTAAATGGATGTGATTGACTGTGGCGCTGTTTGACTTAATAATAAGAGATAAACTTCTCTTAGAAGGTAACATATAAATTGAGGTGAACGTCAGGAAGGAGCTAGCTAGGCAAAGATCTGGGAGAAGAATATTCTAGACCTGTGGTAGGGGTGGGCTTTGGGGGTATTACAAGAATAGAAAATCTAGTATGTGGTGAATGAGCCTGAGAGGGTGGGAGAGAGTGACAGGCCTCATAGAGTTTTCAGGAGAGGCATGGCACTTGATTCATAGTTAATGGTCTTTTTGCTTGCTTCTTGGATAATTAATTGTAGGGTGGCAAGAATAAAAACATGGAAAAGGGTGAGGAGGCTTTTCAGTAGGGTAAGGTGGTAGTAATGGAGATAGGAAGATATAGACTATTTCAGGGTGTGTTTGGAACATAGACATGTTTTGCCCTCAGGAATGGACTACACCAGTAGATGTGTTTTGTTTGACAACAGTGTATTGAATTTAACTAGTTTTAGGTAAAGCCTGTAATTTCCAGCTGACCTCAGTCCTTATAATTCTGTTTTCTAACAATAGTTGTTCCTGAAGACATTTGAGTTGAGATCCCTAGTGTGTAAGAAGTAAATTGCATGATGCAAAGTCTGAGGTCAGAATCCTGGGTAACCCTAACATATGAGGAGCAAATAAAGGAAGAGGATGTCAGATGAGTTGTGAAAGTATGGATTATGGAGTATTCTTCTGAGATGCCTGGCCATGAAGGGAAGGTGAGAAGGTGGTGGCAGGACATGCAAATGAAAAATCAGGGCAGGTTGTTTCCTGCCTCCTCCATCCTAACATGGGAGGAATTTTTTTTTTTTTTTTTTTTTTTTTTGAGACGGAGTCTCGCTCTGTCGCCCAGGCTGGAGTACAGTGGCGCGATCTCGGCTCCCTGCAAGCTCTGCCTCCCGGATTCACGCCATTCTCCTGCCTCAGCCTCCTGAGTAGCTGGGACTACAGGCGCCCGCCACCTCGCCCGGCTAATTTTTTTTTTGTATTTTAGTAGAGACGGGGTTTCACCGTGTTAGCCAGGATGGTCTTGATCTCCTGACCTCGTGATCCGCCCGCCTCGGCCTCCCAAAGTGCTGGGATTACAGGCGTGAGCCACCACGCCCGGCCTCATGGGAGGATTTTGAACATGTTTATGGAAATCAAGAAGAGAGAATAGTTGGAAATATCAAAGAGAAGAAAATGCTGGGGCATGATCTGAGAGCAGAGTGCTTATATGATGGTGATGAATTTGCTGTATATTGACATAATTTGAAAATTTTTATTCATTCATTCACTCAAGTTTATTGAGCGTCTCGTGCCAGCACTGTTCTAGCTGGGAATGCAGTGGCAAACCAAATGGGCAAAGTTCCTGCCCTCATAGAGCTTACATTCTAATGTGGGGAGAAAAAGAGATAACAAGTGAGTTACATAGCATGCAGGTGGTGGTCAGTACTATAGAACAGAGAAAGCAGGGAAAGGAGGTTGGGAAGTGCCCTGTTCAAATCTGTAGGTTGAGGAGGCAAGGCCTGACAGCTAAGTGAACATTTGCACAAAGAACTGAAAGAAGTGAAGGTACAAAATGTGTGAATAGCTGGAGCATCAGGGGCTGGGCAGAGGTCAGAGCTAGGGTGGAGGTCCTGGAGCGGAGCTGGCTTAGCATGTTTCAGGAACAGCAGGGAGGTTAGGATGACTGGAATGGAGTGAGCAAGGGAGAAGAGTAGAGGAGACGAAGTCACAGATTATCTGGGCCCTGGTTGGCCATCTTAAAGACTGCCTTTTACTCTGAATAAGATGGGGAACCAGTGGAGGGAGGGTTTGAGCTAAGGAGTGAGGACGTTTCAGTAATGTTATAGGGTGACTTTCGTGTGTGGAGAGTAGACTAGGGGAGGCAGAGAGGAGGCCTGGAGACCAAAGGCTATTGCAGTGAGTGTCCAGGCAGGAAGTGGTGGTGGCCTGACCAAGGTCATAGCAGGGTTGGGGGGTAGGTTGGGGGGATGCAGCAAGGTCCTGGGCAGGTTGTTAATGTATAACTCTAGAGATTTGCATAGGGATTGCACGTGATGGGGTGTGAGAGGGATCTCAGAGATGACTACGGTTTTTGGCCTAAGCAGCTAGGTGTTGGAGTTGTCATTTTCGCTGGTGGGGAAGGCTGAAGGGCAGGCATTTCTTGAGGGGATGGGAATTAATTGGAATCAAGATTCAAATGTAGGTGCTTGTTAGACATCTAAGTGGAAGTGTTGTGGAGGCGGTTGAATACCTGAGGTTCGGGGAAAGGCCCAAGATGGAGGTGTACATTTTACGTGATATTTTAAGCTTTGAAATTGAAGGCAATCACCCAGAGAGGGTGAGTTGATGGAAGAAGTTGAAGATCAAGCCCTGGAGGCTTCCACTCTGTGGAGGTCTAGGAGATAAGGAGGAACTGGCCAAGGAGAAGGGAAAGCAGCAGCTTGGTGGAGTTGGAGGAGAACCAGACAGCTGTGTCTGAGAAATGAAGCCAAGAAAGTATTTCCCCAAGGAAGGAGTAATCACCTGAATGTTAGGCTACAGAAGAAGGACCGGAGGTAGATTATAGTATGCTACGGCTTGGCAACAGGGAGATCAGGGCTGATGCTGACAAGCATTTTTTTGGTGGTGTGGTGGGATGAAGGCCAGAGTGGGGTGCGTTCAGGAGAGGATGGGAGTGGAACTGGATGCCAGTCATGATTCCTCTGGAAGCCTGTGATAAAGGGAGCATGGATAGGTGTGGTGGCAGTTCAGGGGGATAATGGGGGTGTGAGGTAGAGGAAGGCTTTTTTTAAAAGGTGGGAGAAATAACAGCATGCCCAGCGTGGGAGGGCTTGCACAGACAGAAGACTCGATCATGTTATGGAAGGGGGCCGATTGGTAGAGTGGTTGTCAGTGCAGTGAGGGGTTGGGATCGAGTGCAAAGTGAAGAGGTGGGCTTCAGACAGGGGCATGGACACTTCATAAACTGTTGTGGGATAATTTAGGAATCAGACCGAGGGGTTGAGGAGGATATATTATTTAGGTGCACCGGCCCAGTCGGATTAACATCCAAAAAGTCTGAGCCCTGAACAAGTCTGAGCCCTGAACAAAGAGTTAAGTTACCTTTTAAGGATTTCGTGGGGCGGCAGGGGGGAATCTGTGCAGGAGGAAGCATATTACAGAAGCAAGAAACAAAGACAATTATTCAATTAATTGAGACATGCATTATATCATTTCTTACTTTCCAAGGAAAAAATGTGTTTTATGGCTTGAGTTTATCTGTCTAGTGACCTTGCAGCTGCACAGCTAGAGAAACAGGGTCTTCACAATGCCTGGGAAAGGAGGAGAGATAAGGCTTACTAGCCACAGAAAAACAGGCAGATAATTTTTAAAGGGCTCCAGCTCTTTCTCTTTCTCAGGGGGAATTGGGTTTTCTTACATAGAACTGAGTTTCTGCTTACACATTCTTTAATTTCTTTTAACTCCTATTCCAAAACAAGTAAGTTCTTCTTATTTTTGGGGGGGATAGAGTCTCGCTCCATCACCCAGGCTGAAGTACAGGGGCGCAATCTCGGCTCACTGCAACCTCCACCTCGCAGATTTAGGTGATTCTCCTGCCTTAGCCTCCCAAATAGCTGGGATTACAGGTGCCCGCCATGACGCCCAGCTAGTTTTTGTATTTTTAGTAGAGACGAGGTTTTACCACGTTGGCCAGGCTGGTCTTGAACTCCTGAACTCAAGTGATTCGCCTGCCTCAGCCTCCCAAAATGCTGGGATTACAGACATGAGCCATCGCACCTGGCCTCATAATCTCTTTAGTGGTCATAAAACTTCTTCTTTTTCTTTTTATATTTTATAATTAGTCCATACTGTCTAAAATCTATGCTTTAATCCAATTTGTCATTGATCCTAGTATACTCCTTTATTACTGAAGTAGCTCTTTGAATAGTCTTCCAGGTTTTTAAGTCCTCTCCCTTCCTGTATAATAGGTTGATTGTGTCAGTTCTTTGTTGGTTGCAGAGTACAGTTCAAACTTTCCAACACACCGTTTCAGACTTTTAGAATCTGGCTCCATTCTGTTATTCTAGCTTCGTTTACTGTGTTATTTTGTTCACCTGCTGCCAAAATGCATTGGAGTATTTGCTACTGCCAGCATAGACCTAGCACTTAGAGTGGATTTTCGAGTCAGACCTGGGTTTGAATCTTACTAATTGCAACCTTGGGAAAATTGAGCTAATTTAGTCTCTCAGTTTGTTTCTTCACCTGTAAAATGGGATAATACCTACATTGTAAGATTTTCTGTGGATTCAGTGAGCTAAGTTAGTAGATATGCAATAAAATTTAATTCTTTTCCTTCTTGGCTCATGTTTATCATCCTAAATAAACTCTCTCATCCCATACTCTGCCTATAAAAGTTCTTCTCAGTCTTCAAGGCGCATTGCCAATATCCTCTCATTTTTTTTAGCTTTTCCTGATTATTTATCTTTTTATCCTTCTGCCATTATTTCCTTTACTGATTTCCATGCAGTGTGTATATGATACGTACTCTGAAAAATTGTTGAGACTAGCTAACATCTTCAGAGCACCGTGGTCAGGTTCTCTAGTAATAGCATAGGTTTTGTGCTGGTGTTTTCCAGATTTAGTCATTTGGGTACCCCTTTTACCACTTTTACCTTGTCCATGTGCCAACTATACTTTAACTGAAAATTGTTCTTTGAATGGGTTCACTTTTTAATTCAGTCTTAACAACACTGAGATCCGGGCTAGATTTTTGCTGGTTGTACTTTTTCTGTTCCGTATTAGAATGAGTATGTAACTACCAAACTTTTAAATATGTCCTAAAATCATTTGTATATACCATCAGTGTTATGCCATCTTTGCTTTCTTTACTAGATAAGTTTGTAGTAATTCATTTTCCTAGCTACACCAAGCAAAGGGCAAATTAAAATGTGTTGTATTGCATTATTATGTTAATTATAAGAAGGTAAGTTTAATGTTTAAGGTTTCTATTCTCATCTATAAAGTAGCAAAGTATTCTGAGATTTATTTTACCTCAGACTATTTGCCTATTTCCCCCTTACTAATGCTAAAAAAAGGATTTTTTTCCTAAGATTTATTAGTTTTCTAAGACAATGCTTTTAATCATTTAAAAACATTTTATAGTAATATGTGACCTATAGAAATACTTTTGTTATTGCAGTGAGATGGAAGATTTTCGAGGTATAGCAGAAGAATCATTTCCAAGCTTTCTCACCAATTCATTATTTGGTAACAGTGGGATTTTGGAAAATGTCACTCTTTCTTCAAATCTTGGCTTGCCTGTTGCTGTTTCTACACTTGCTAGGGATAGATCCAGCACTGATAACAGGTAAGATTTGTTTGAGCAGATTTTTTTCCAGGTCCATAAAGCCTATAGCATGCTGATATTTATGTTCTGTTTCTCAGTCAAGCTTGAGCTTTTTGTTTTATCTATGAGGGGGATGGCCAAATATGTGAAATGAATATAGAAAAGACAGAATTTACTGTCTTTTTCCCCATTGCTTTGCCTTTTCAGTGGGTAGGTTTGGGTGGGTTTGGGATTTGAGCACCAGTTACCTATTTCGGTCTATTTTTTTTTTTTTTTTTTGTCTATAGTGTTTTGGATTTGTATTAGTTCAGTCACACTAATGGCTAGTAATGTAAAACAAGTTGTGTTAGCGAAGTTCAAAGGCAAATTAATCATAAGGTTATAGGAGTACCTCTTGACATCAAGGGGAGGAGTGCAGAGCTTTGCTGCAAGAAGGGACAGGAATTGAGATTTAGGAAGCCATCAGGACTTGGGTTTTTGTCATCCCACTCTATTTCTCTCTGTATAACTCATTGTCTTCTCTCTTTTTTTTTTTTTTTTTTTTTTTTTTTGCTAATTAAAAAAATATTTTATAGAGATAGGGTCTTGCTGTGTTAGCTAGGCTATTCTTGAACTCTTGGGCTCAAGTGATCCTCCTGCCTCAACTTCCCAAAGTGTTGGTATTACACAGGTGTGAGCTACCATACCTGGCCTCTGCTCTTTTTTAATACACTGGTTTTATTTGCTTTTCTGTTCATTTTACAGAATATGGCAACACAGATTCTCAAAAGACATCTATGAATTACATTTCTAGCTACACAAGGAGACTACTGAACTGTCTCTTGATATCTCATGAGTTTCTGGTCCATCTTAGGTTAGGTGTCTGTTCCAAATACAGTCACCTGTGACTAGAGTTTTGGGTCATTGGATCTATTTAGAGGTATGACAGAGCCTCACTTTTTAATTCATTTCAGCCAGGTTTACTCTTTACTGGACTTGTATGGCTGTCTTTCTCTTTCTCTTCCAGCTTTCAATCTGTCCTAGGTTTCTGAGGTAACTTGGCTCTTGTCATTCTAGTAACTTTCAGCTCCTGAAGTCAAGTTTCTCTTTCTTAGAAACTCAACCAGGCTGGGCGTGGTGGCTCATGCCTGTAATCCCAGCACTTTGGGAGGCCAAGGCGGGCAGATCACCTGAGTTCAGGAGTTCGAGACCAGCCTGGCCAACATGGCAAAACCCTGTTTACTAAAAATACAAACATTAGCCAGGCGTGATGGCGCACGCCTCTAATCCCAGCTACTCGGGAGGCTGAGACAGGAGAATCGCTTGAACCCGGAAGGCAGAGATTGCAGTGACCTGAGATTGGGCCACTGCACTCCAGCCTGGACGACAGAGGGAGACTCTGTCTCAAGAAAAACCCCCAAAACTCAACCAGCTTTTATTTTCTTTACTTTTAAAATTTCTGTTTTATTACCAGATTGATGTTTGGTTAAATACACCTTGTTTTGTATCTTCAACTGGATTGTGTATAGTTTACACATCCATTACATGTAGGGTCTTGCATAATATATAAAGTTTGCCTATGCTTAAACTGGCCACTTTCTTGTCTTTTCTCAACCTAAACATTTAGTGAGGAGCACCATCTTGACCTTTGGGCTGAAGGGGTTGTATTAACACTCTCAGCTCTTTTAGCTTTAAGATTTTTGTGACTGTATTGTTGAATACAGATAAACTCCCTATTGCCAAGCCACAGGTTTCCGTGCTTTGCACAGAGGATGATGGTTTGAAATACAGGGGCCCTATTTGTTTTTACCCCGGTGGTTGGTTTTACTGTCACGCAGCCCTATGTCATGATGACATTTAAATATGTGTAATTTAATTCTTAACAATTAAAACAAATTTTTTTTGTATAGGTATCCTGATATCCAGGCATCTTACTTAGTAGAAGGGAGATTTTCAGTTCCATCCGGGTCATCTCCCGGAAGCCAGAGTGATGCTGAACCAAGAGAGAGGTTACAGCTTAGCTTCCAGGATGATGAGTAAGTTCATACCTTCATTTGCTTGTACTGTGTTAAAAGTGGGTCTTACGCAGTCTTGTGGAAAATGACAATGTGATTGTGTATGTAATTAATTCTGATTAATTCTAAGAATCTTGAAGAGTTTTCTTTTATTTTGAGGCGGAGTTTCACTCACTCCATTGCCCAGGCTATAGTGCAATGGTGTGATCTCAGCTCACTGCAACCTCTGCCTCCCTGGTTCAAGTGATTCTCCTGCCTCAGCCTCCTGAGTAGCTGGGATTACAGGCAGGTGCCACCAAGCCCAGCTAATTGTTTTTGTATTTTTAGTAGAGATGGGGTTTCACCACATTGGCCAGGCTGGTCTCAAACTCCTGACCTCAAGTGAACCGCCCCACCCGCGTTGGCCTCCCAAAGTGCTGGGATTAGAATTGTAGGCGTGAGCCACCGCGCCCGGCCAAGAGTTTTCTTTATGCATTTTAATCACGTTTAGTCTTTCAAAACATTTTTTTTTAGATTCTAAAAGTAACGTGCTTTTGAAAAAATAGAGAATATAGAAAATTATTTGGAAGACAGTAAAGGCCTGTAATCCCACTAACTAGAGAACAGCCATTGAGTACATTTTTATTTGTAGTCTTCCATACTATTTTGTATGTGCATTTATGCCTTTAAATCTTCTTTTTACTTCTAATATGAGGCTATAGAAAAAGAAAAATGAAAATAAATTTTTTTTTTTACAAAATAAGATTAAGCTCTTATTCTATTACACAAAAAATTAGATGCAGTATTATGTTCAGTTTTCAATTACAATTAATATGAATCTGTGTCATAATGTTAATGACTATACTCAGGTCTGTGTTGGTCATTTAGATTATTGCAGTTTTGCTATTATAAAGGTAATGAACTTCCCTACATGTACATTTATATATACATTTTTCGCACCTAGGATATTATTAAGATTTCTAGGGTTTAAATTGCTGAGGTAAAAATAGTTTATTTTAAAGACCATTACAAATTAACACATTGCTCTTTAGAAAACTTGTACCAGTTTATTCTGAATGCCGACTTCTCCCAGCCCTGCCCAGCATTTGATGGTGCTATTTTTAATCTTTGATTTTTACAGGTAAAAATAATTTATATAATACATATGTATATATGCATGAAAGAAAGTCTGGAAGTCTAAAAAACCAAAATGGGAATGGTGGTATTATAGACAATCTTGTTTTCTGTGTTTAAATTTGTATTTGCGTATTTATGGGATTGAACCTACTTTAATGTCTATTCATTACTTATATTTATGTTGTGAATTGCCTCTTGATAGCCTTTATATATAAGTGCTTTCTTTATATTAAAGATGTTAACCCTTGTGTATTCATTCCTTCAGTGTGTAATTTTGACTGAGTGCCTACTGTGTGCCACACACTTTTCCAGGTGGTTAGGAAATACCAGTGACTAAAACAGATGTTAAACAAGACACTAAAATAGGCTAATTTTATAGTATATTGAAAGGGAAAAGTGCTAGAAAAAAATAGAATATAATAAGGAGGGTTATTAGGTAGGCTGAAGGCAGTGGTCAGTATGGGTCTCATTATGGACATAAGATATGAGCCAAGGGCATGATGGCTCTTGCCTGTAATCCCAACACTTTGGAAGCCTAAGGCAGGTAGATCGCCTGAGGTCAGGAGTTCGAGACCAGCCTGGCCAACATGGTGAAATCCCATCTCTACCAAAAACACAAAAATTAGCCAAGCATAATGGCATGTGGCTGTAATCCTAGCTACTTGGGAGGCTGCAGCAGGAGAATTGCTTGAACCTGGGAGGTGGAGGTTGCAATGAGCCGAGATCACGCCACTGCACTCCAGCCTGGGCAACAGAGTGAGACTCTGTCTCAAGAAAAAAAAAAAAAAAAAAAAAGAAGATATGAGCCAAGACTTGAGGGAGGGAGTTAACTATGTGGACGCCAGGGGGAAGCAGACTTCAGGCCAAAGGTGCGGCCAGCCTGAAGGAACTAAGGCAGGAGAGTAGCCCATGTGGTTCACAGAGCACCAGGGAGGCTGGGGAGGTGGTGAGCAGGACCTTGACTCTGACTCAGAGATACGGGAAGCCACTAGAGGGCTCCATCTGAATTGTGTTTTAAAAGTCCCACCCTGAGAATCACTTGAGCCCAGGAGATCCAGGCTGCAGTGTGCCGTAATTGCACCACTGCACTCTAGTCTGGGTGACAGAGTGAGACCCTATCTCAAAAAAAGGCCCACTCTCGCGGTTATGTGGAAAAGAGACTGTAGGAGGCGAGAGTGGGAGCAGCATGGGCACATTGTCTGGGAGTGAGGCAGATGGAAGAGAGCGAACAGGCGTGGTCCTCAGGATGCTTCACAGTGAGAAGCTGGGGACAGGAGGAATCAACAGCGAGATTAAGAGTTAGTGATCAGAGGAAGGAGAAAACAAGCATCCTGGAAGCCATGTCAAGAGCATGTATAAAAGAAGAGTTACCTAACTATGTCAAATAAAATGAGGGCAAAGAATTGACCCTTGGAATTAGCATAGATTAGGTCATTGGTAACCCCAATAAGTAGTTTGGTGTAAGTAGGGACAGGCACCATGGCCTACTCAGAATGAGTTTCAGAGAGAACAGGAGTTACTGTTTGAGGCAGTAGACAGCTTGTGGAGTTTTGCTGTGAAAGGGAGCAGAGAAACGAGGTTATGACAGCTGGATGGTTGTAGTGGGTGAAGAGAAGTTTCACTTTTTTTTTTTGTGGTGGGAGAAGTTGCTGCATGTTTGCGTGATAATAGGAATAATCTCCTGGAAAGGGTAAAACTTGCTGATGTAGAAAGGGAAGAGAATTGCTGCAGCAACGTCTGTGTCAGTAAGAGAGGGTAGGCCACAATGTGCAGTGCGGGGAGTGGCTTTAGCTGGGTAGGACTGCGGACAGTTCCCCTGCGGGAACAGGTGGGAGGACGGCCTGGGTGGGTGCATGTAGTGGTAAGAATCTGTGGAAGTTACCTTTTCAGTGCTTCAGGCTGAAAGTAGGGTTAGTGAAGTAGGAAGCATAGTCATCAAGTCAGCGTGAGGGTGGAGGAGGAGGAGTTGGTGGTTTAAAAAAAGGATGTAAAATTATCACATGGGACCACAGGAAAATGAATGGACAGAGTTGAAATGTTAGGATTCCTGGACAACATCAAGGGCCCAACTTGAGGGCCGTGGGCGTGACTGTTGAGGGTGATTGTGATGTTTCCCCAGCCACATTGAGCTGTAGGAGTGCAGGTGAAGAGGAGGCAGAGAATTGGATTTAACCAGGGTTGTAGTTTATAAAGGGAGTGAGGGACAAGGTTGCTGAGGATGTAAGATTGGCCATGTAAGATTGGCTTTAGGTTAAGGAGGAGGAGAGGGTATGGACAGGGGCAGGGAGAGTGATGTGGTGGTACAGATGGGTTGGAGGTGCAGGTGGGGTTAGCATCATATAGTTGTGGTACTAGAGGCAAGAGGGGTAGTAGGTGATTCAAAGCTGTGAGGCTCTAGGGAGAGCGACCTGGAAGTGGCACTGAGGGCAAGAAGGGCGTATATATTCCATCTCCACACCAGGTGATGATGCCACGGCTGTGGGAGAGATGAGGGTCCCCACTTGTCAGAGCTTGGGGGTAGCAATGTCCTCACAGGCTATTCAGGCTTTCATTAAAGTAGTAAGGTGAAAGGAATGTTCAGAGAAGAGATTCAGGAATGGCAGATCTTGTCAACCCAGCTCTGTAAATTATAGAAGGCACAGTAGAAGGGTTTTGTTTGTTGGGGAGTAGAAGGGCTGTGCAGTCTTAAGGGGCTTGGAGTGCCAGCAGTGAGGCATCCTGGGCTGCTTTTAGGAGCTGAAAATCAGTAAAGGGCATTGTGAAGTTAGTCCGACTCACCTGTTGCTGTGAGGAAACTGCAAATGTCAGGGATGGGAGGGCATCTTGAGGGTATCCTCTTGACTCTTGCTGGAGGCCAGGAGCTCTGGAAACTGGTCTTGTTGGTCCTTGTTGATGGAAGACAGGAGGCCTGGGGAGGTGGAGTCTTAGACTCAGTGCCTGGGGAGAGGTAAGTGCTTAGAGCTAGCTCTTGACTCTTGAATAGTCTGAAGCCCTGAGTTGCTGGTCTGAGTATAGGGCTTCCTTGGACACTATACTGGAGGGTCAGCAGCCTGGAGAGGCATGGCCTCAGTCTCCTGGTGAGGGATGGCTTCTTTGACCCCTTCTTGGGGAGGAGGGAATTTGTGTTTCAAAATGTCTTTATTCTAATCTTGGAATAAATTAATACTTTAGCTGAGTACAGAATTTTAGGATGAAAATAAATTTTCACACAATTTTGAAGATATTGCTACATTGTACATGAAGTCTGGTATAATCTTGATAGTTGGTTTTTTATCTGAACTATGTTTTCTCTCTGGAAATTTTAGAATCCCGTCTGAGTCCCTTGTGGGTGGGGCTATTTTCCCCCATTCACTGAATTCTAATTGGCATTGGTTTGGAGATCAGTTCTGGATAATTATGGTTTTTCTTCTAGTTTTTCCTTTTCTTTTTCCAGAACTACTGTTTTGGATTGCCTGGGTTGTTCTATATCTACTTTTTTTTTCCTTTTTTTCTGTTTTAGTGCAAAAAGACATCGTTCTAGGTAAGTTTCTTTTTTTCTCATGCTCATTAAATCATTTGGCAATCATAATTTTAATCATGAGAGCTCTTTTTTTGACCTTTTTTTTTAATGGGCCCTTTTTGTGGATGTACACTTGACCCTTGAACAACCCGAGTTTGGACTGTGTGGTTCCACTTATAAGCAGATTTCTTTCAACCAAACGTGGATGGAAAATACAGTATTCATGGATGTGAAACCCGAGTGTAGTCAGTGCTAACTGTAGGACTTGAATATTGCATATTTTGGTACATGCAGGGGTCCCGGAACCAGTCCCCCATGTATACTGAGGGTTGACTGTAACAGCTACATGGATACTTCTGAAGATTCTGATTAGAAATTTTGAAAGTTCTGTAAACTGTTCCTTTTCTCCGGGGCTGCTTGCATAGTTTGTTCATTTTTATTTTTGTCTCTTGAACTGCTCCTTTTTTTCTTGTCTGATTTGTGGCTGTCTTCTAGGCTGCCTAGTGTGGGCATCCTTATCTGTTGTGTATGTAGCTCTTATTTCTCATTGGCTTCCACACAAGAGGGACGTTGTTCCTGGCCATTTACTGTAGAGTGTGCAGGTTGGAGTCTTCAATTTTATGCCAGATGTTTAATGCTTTCTTCTGGGCCGCTGTAACTGCCATCGCTTCGTTCTCCACAGGCATTTTCTGTGCCTTGATTGCAGGCAAGCCCTTCCCTCCCCGTTGTCAGGTGTTCACTGTCGTGTGTGCATGGCTGTTGTCTCTGGAGTGGGAAAGAAGGGTGGGTGCTCCTGCCATGCTTCATGCCGGGCTTTCCGTCCCCACTCTCCTGCCCTCCCCGACTCCCTTCTGCCCTCTTTCTGACTGTAGTCAAGGAACATTTTTGTGTTTCTCCCTGGCAGATTTGTTTCCTTTTCTGCTTCCGGGCCCTTCTGTTCTTGGATTGTGGCTTTCTCTCCCCCTGCACACCCCATCTGCTTTTCAGATTCCAGAATCTGGGGTAAGCGTGGGTTAGGACTGGTAGTTCTTACCCAGATTGCTTCACTTTTATAGATTTCCTTACTGTCATTTTATTGGACACTTGGAAGTTGCTCTTGCCTCTTTAACTTGAAACTTATGACTTAGTTTGAAAATTTTTTTTGAGCTAATAAAAATATGGGATAGCTGTCGTTTTGAGGAAGTAGCATTTTTAGAGAGATGGTGGTGAATGTCGAGTGCCCTGCTCTCAACTGTCCCTGTCACTCTAAAGTTCTGGTGGTCATACTACATGCTTTTCTCAGGGAGGGCTTTAAACATGGAAATTGACCTAACTGTCCTGACTTGTTTATTTATTTCCTGTCACCATCTTGCTCCCCCACCTCTTTTCCTTTCTGTCCTTGCTACCTCTTGACTTTGTAACTATGTATAGTCTTTCCACCTATGCCTTTCCTTTCCTGTACTCAATGAAATTTTCCTGTACCTACCCATGAGTGCACCTTTGGCTTAAGCTAGTGACTTTTTATGTACTACAGCCCCAGTAAAGAGATGGAGAAACTGGGAAGTAAATTGTAGTTAGGGTTGGAGAGTTGCCTCAGGCATGAAAGGTTGGGATTTGAGAAATATGGAAGGACTTTTAAAAAAAAATCCATCCTGGCCAAATTTGAGTCTGGCTCTAGGTATCAGTTTGTCATGTAATGAATTTGTTGCATTTAGAGGCTTTTTCCTGAAGTTCCGTTCCCACCCCTCTCTTTCTGTGGTGAGCTGCTCTAGACCCAAGAGCTTTTGGAGTAGGGTGGGAGGAACATTGCCTGTAAGAAAAATACTTTCATCCACACAGAAAACAGCAGAGGTAGAAAGAAAGATAAGGACAAGAACTAGGACTAGGGATAAAAGTAAAAACGATTGAAACCTTTATTAATTCAGAGATTTGGCTATTTTGGCAAATATGCCAATATCCTTTAAGTCTGCAGATTTTAGAAAGCTGAATTATGTAGATTGGTAGTTTCAAGGATACTTATTTTGGAAGTAAAAAAACCACTTTTTGCTGCTTGAAAGAGTAGCAGTATGACGTTCTTTGATTTTGGTAGACTGTATCACTGGACCCAAAATGTTGGTTCAGTCCCCAGAATACAGTGCAGTGTTAGCAGTTGTAGTTTTCTGGCTAGACTCAAATGTTTCTTTTTATTGCTTCCATTTTTTCTTTTTAAGAGGTAAAATACATAACTGATTAATAAATATTTTGTAGATTTACCCAAGGTAACTAACATTTTATCATTCTTCTGTTTCCTAATAAAAAAGTTCTATCTCTAGGAAAAAGAGCTATGTGGAAAGTCAACGTTTGTCAAATGCTCTCAGCAAACAGTCAGCTTTACAAATGGAGACAGCAGGACCAGAAGAGGAGCCAGCCGGAGCTACAGAATCCTTGCAGGGCCAAGATCTCTTCAACAGGGCTTCACCACTGGAACAAGCACAAGGTACTGAACTATTTGAAATTATTTCTTAATGCATATGTTTTAATTTCCTTTTTCATTTCCTTATCTTTGGATTTTTTTTTTTTTTTTTTGAGGCAGGGTCGCACTCCTGTCGCCCAGGCTGGAGTGCAGTGGCGTGATCACAGCTCACTGCAGCCTCAACTTCCTGGGCTGCTCAACCTATCTTCCCATCTCAGCCTCCTTAGTAGCTGGGTCTACAGGCACACACCACCATGCTAGGCTAACTTTTTGTGTTTTTAATAGAGACAGGGTTTCGCCATGTTGCCCAGGCTGGGCTCGAACGCCTGGACTCAAATGATCTGCTGTGCCTTGGCCTGCCAGAATGCTGGGATTATGGGCCTAAGCCACTGTGCCTGGCCTTTTTGTTTTTTTTTTTTTTTTTGCTTAATTTTGAGATGGGTTCTAGCTGTGTTGCCCAGGCTGGTCATGAACTCCTGGGCTCAAGCAATTCACCCTCCTCAGCTTCTCGAGTAGCTGGGACTGGATGCATGCATCGTCACTCCTGGCTTCGATGTATTCATCTTGTACTATCATACCATGAACTGAAAATGCTTTGGTTTGCATTGTACCTATTAATATCATATTTACAGTACTTTTATAGGAAAGGTCTCCTCTTAACCTTGTTGACTCATTTAAGCTGAAATTCTCTTTGCTTTGGAAACCATGCTGTCGGATGGCCACAGCATACTTTATATTCAAGACAAGCCTATTTTTAGTGCATCTTCCACTTTTCTCCCACTAATTAATTTATATTCTTATCGAGAGTCAATTTTGTTTCTAAGCCTATTTTTTTTATAAAACTGATGAATTATAAGTTCTAAAAGAAATTACTGTTTCTAAGAAAACTAGGTTGAATGCATTGGAAATACTCAAGGATAAGTCATTTGATAAATTGCCCTCGGGCCAGGCATGGTGGCTTACGCCTGTAATCTCAACACTTTGGGAGGCTGAGGTGGGCAGATCACCTGAGGTCAGAAGTTCAAGACTAGCCTGGCCAACATGGCGAAACCCTGTCTCTCCTAAAAATACAAAAATTAGCCAGACATCATGGTGGCTACCTGTAATCCCAGCTACCCGGGAGGCTGAGGCAGGAGAATCGCTTGAACCCGGGAGGCGGAGATTGCAGCAAGCCGAGATCGTGCCACTGTACTCCAGCCTGGGTGACAGTGTAAGCCTTCGTCTCAAAAAGAAAAATTGCTCTCAAATTAGATGTGGAGAAGAAACTACAAAAATATGGGGGGTCAGGCACTGTGGCTTATGCCTGTAATTCCTGCTGAGGTGGGTGAATGGCTTGAGCCCAGGAGTTCAATATCAGCCTGGGCAACAAGGTGAAACTCTGTCTGTACAAAAAATACAAAAATTAGCAGGGTATAGTGCTGTGCGCCTTTAGTCCCAGCTACTTGGGAGGCTGAGGTGGGATTGCTTAAGCCCAGGCGGTCAAGGTGATCATGCCATTGCACTCCAGCCTGGGAGACAGACCCAGACCCTATCTCAAAAATAAATAAATAAATAAAAATATAGGGAAAGTTGTTTAAAAAAATCATAGGCTTCTGCTGTCTGATTCCTCTTAAGTACTCCACATTCACTTTCTTTTATCAAAGAAATCAAAGCTGGAAATTGAAAAGTACATTCTATGCACTTATATAGTGTGGTATTCTGTAACTCCAAACTAGTTCAGTACTCAAAAGGACTTGCCTGATTATATGTTGTAAGATTGATGAATGAGTACACATTATATGTTAGAAAAATTTTAAGGGAGGTTTGTATTTCTCTTGATGAAAAATGTTATATATATGAAAGAAAAGAGTGGTATTATCACTCAAATAAGCAATAAAAGAAAAAAATAGATG